>NC_000010.11:103930974-104234004 GCF_000001405.40 Homo sapiens | reverse complement strand
TACTTAAGCAGGCAAGTTGTACAGTAAGAGTCATAGGGCATTGTATGAAGCATTTAGGAGGCCTAACAATCCGTGAATTGTACAACATTTCTTGCATAAAATCACTTTCATAAATCCTTTCACAACTTACACAGACCATCTGAGACCATGTGGATATCTAGCCCAACTCCCTGGATCCCACCAGTCTCTAAGTTCCAAGAAGGAAGAAACTTTATTTGTTTTTCTATTTTTTCCAAGTGACTAGCACATGCATGAATGCATGCGGGATGCTCTGTAAATATTTGTGAAAGAAATGGAGAGAAGAAAGCAAGACAGGAAGGAAAGACCTAAAGAAAGGAAGGGAAGGGTAGAGAAGGGAAGACGACTGAAGGGAAAGGAAGAAGGGTAAGGGAGGGAGTCTAAGGGAAGGTATGGGAGAGAAGAAGGAATGACAAGCTGCCGACCATTCAATCAGGTTACTTCCAGAGCTGTCTGCTTCCCTGAGGAAGCAAGAGGGTACATTTCAAAGTGTTATATGGTACTTAAGGGCTTGGAGCTCTAAATTAGCTAGACCTGCGTTTAAGTCCCACTCAGGGCTGGGCAAGGTGGCTCACGCCTGTAATCGCAGCACTCTGGGAGGCCAAGGCGGGCGAATCACTTGAGGTCAAGAATTTGAAACCAGCCTGGTCATCATGGTGAAAACCCGTCTCTACTAAAAATACAAAAAATTAGCTGGGCATGGTAGCACGTGCCTGTAATCTCAGCTACTTGGGAGGCTGAGGCAGGAGAATCGCTTGAACCCAGGAGATGGAGGTTGCAGTGAGCCAAGATCAAGCCACTGCCCTCCAGCCTGGGCAACGGAGTGAGACCCTATCTCAAAAATAAATAAATAAATAATATAAATAAATAAAGTCCCACTCAACTTTGTAGCCATGGACAAATTATGTGCTTCTCTTTTCCTCACGTTACTTATCTGTAAAATGGGGCTGATGGGAGATGTGAAGACGTTGCAACAATGTTTGGCACAGTCAGCACTCTAAATGAAAGTCTGTTTAGAAATTTATTGATTTTTAAAAATAATTATTTATTTAGAGACAGGTCTCGCTCTGTCGCCCAGGCTGGAGTGCTGTGGCGTCATCCCAGCTCACCGCAGCCTTGAACTCCTGGGCTCAAGCGATCCTCCCACTTCAGTCTCCCAAGTAGCTGGGACTACAGGCGTGCACCACCATGCCCGGCTGCTTTTTAAATTTTTTTGTAGAGATGCGGCACGGGCGCGGCAGGTTTCGCTATGTCTTCCAGGCTGGTCTTCAACTCCTAGCCTCAAGCGATCCTCCCGCTCTGACCTTCGAAAGCGCGGAGATTGTAGGCATGAGTCTTACTTGCAATTATTGGCCCGGACCTGGGGAAATTTGTTAAAATGCAGATTCTGATTGAGTAGATCTGGTGTGGGAGCCAAGTTTCTGCATTTATAACAAGCTTCCCAGGTAGCACCAATGTTGCTGGTAAACAGACCACACTTTGAACAGCAAGGGGCCCGCCCCTCGCTTGGCTTGCCGCTCACCCATTGGCCGAGAGCGGCAGACCTTCCACCAATCTGCTCGGCTCAGAAGGGAGCGGGCCAAAGCGCAGAGCCAATGGGCGCGGGGCTTACGGTCTCCGGGATACGGGTGTACACAGCAGCGGCGTCGCGGCCCGCAGCCCCGCGGCGGCGGAAAGGTAACCGACCCGCCCTGGGGTGCTGCGTGCGCTGCCTGCTCCCGCCTGAGGAAAACACTGCCCATGGCGCAAGGCCGGGAGCGCGACGAAGGCCCCCACTCCGCCGGCGGCGCGTCCTTGTCCGTGAGGTGCGGTGTTCACGGCCCCGCGACCGATCTGGGTCTCGCGGAACCTCCTGCCCCAAGTCCCCTCCTCCCTCCTCTCCCTCCGGTTCCTTAGGGCGGCTTTCCCCGCAGCTTCGACCTCTTCCCCTCTGCCCCCAGTGCCTTCCCTCAGCCTCCCTCCCCGTGTGACCTCCCCTGTCCGCTCCCCATCCCCTTGTTCCTTGACCCCGTCCCCAGTTGTCTTTCCCACTCCTTATTCTGCGACCCTGACCCTCCGTCTCTTACCCAGCAACGTCCCCTGCACCCTTCATCTCTTCCTTCTAGCTCAGGATTCCCGCTAGTGATCCGGGTCTTCTGATCACATCCCCCTCCCCCTCCACCTGGCGACAGCCCGGATCCCGTCCTTGCTACCTTTGGTGATTTTCCCCAAAGTTAGGTCCCTGAATCCTTTCCTTCTAACTCCTATCCACTAGCTTTGGATTTATTTGCATTTATAGTAGCCTTTGAAAAGCATCAAGCACTGCGCAGATATAGGTGGCATTTTTTCCCCTACATTCTAGAGTGTTCCTCCCAGCCCCCACCTCCACTCTATACAGCATCCCCTGCTAGTCCTGGACACTCTAATGTCTCGAGGTTTCTCACCAAACCAGTGTCCTTCACTTGCCTTTTCCACCATCTTCAAGCATACCTTTAATATTTAAATAAAAATAGAATCTCCTTCATCTCCTCTCCTTTCTAGCATACACCTAGCACGCACTCCTTACTTGAGAGTATGTTCTTTTTGTGTGCTAGCCTTTCATTCACGTCGACTTCATTCCTTTTATTTTCTACGTTTATCTGTATTTTTAAATCTAAAATATGGCCACATACTCTTCATCTGTGTAAATAAGCAATTTTCCTACTCTGCTAACAACCACAAAGCAGGCTGTCCTATGCAAAGTTGTTTTTTAAAGTTTATTTAAAAAAATCAAACTAATTATAAAAGAATGGCCCAGGATGCCACTGTGTTGAGATCAAGCTCTTTTCTCTGTTATTTTCACTTTTTGTCTTCCAAGTATAGAAGACCCCAGAAGTCCTTCTGAGACTTTCTCAGGTTTGGTCAGAGAGTTTCCTTTGCTGAAAAAGTTATCTGAAGAAGGCCTGGGAGACCTACGGAACTTTAGGTCTACATTTAAATTTCTATAATTCATTGACTCAAATGGATCTCACAGCCAGCATGTGTGTTCTTTTATCTTAGAAATTGGGGGCAGAAAGGACATGAAAATAGAAATGTTTCAAAGATTTTGATGACCCTTTGCTTTGTTAAAAAAAAAAAAGTATTTGAAATGTATTATATTGATGTTGACATATCTTTTCCCAAAGATGGGTGCAAGGATTCCCTAAGCAGAATGTTCATTTTGTCAACGACAACACCATTTGCTACCCTTGTGGGAATTATGTAATATTTATTAATATTGAAACCAAGAAAAAGACTGTACTGCAGTGTAGTAATGGAATTGTGGGCGTCATGGCAACTAACATCCCCTGTGAAGTTGTGGCTTTTTCTGACCGGAAGCTAAAACCTCTCATCTACGTATACAGCTTTCCAGGATTGACCAGAAGGACCAAATTGAAAGGTATTCTAGAGAACCCTTCCTCTGCCCATAATTGAAGGATTTTGTTTAAAGAGTTGACTAAATCTATTATAAGTGAAGATTTATTTTTTGAAAGGTTTTTTTTGTTTGTTTTTTGTGTTTGTTTTGAGATGGAGTTTTGCCCTGTTGCCTAGGCTGGAGTGCAGTGGTGCGATCTTGGCTCACTGCAATCTCTGCCTCCCAGGTTCAAGTGATTCTCCTGCCTCAGCCTCCTGAGTAGCTGGGATTACAGGTGCGCACCACCACGCCCAGCTAATTTTTGTATTTTTAGTAGAGATGGGGTTTCACCATGTTGGTCAGGCTGTTCTCCAACTCCTGACCTAGTGATCCGCCTGCCTCACCCTCCCAAAGTGCTGAGATTACAGGCATGAGCCACCACGCCTGGCCCCATTTTTTTTTTTAATATACATTTTTAAAGAAGGAATCAAGCTGATCACTGAGGATTTAAATTATGTTAGCTAGAGCCTTGCTGTTCAAAGTGTGGTCTGTTTACCAGCAACATTGGTGCTACCTGGGAAGCTTGTTATAAATGCAGAAACTTGGCTCCCACATCAGAGCTACTCAATCAGAATCTGCATTTTAACAAAATTCCCAGGTGATTCATATGCACATTAAACTTTGAGAAGCACTGGGCTAGAAGACTATTGCCTTTTTCAGAGCAATGACTTTTTTTTCTTTCCTAATATTTGTTGAAAATCCAGGTGAATTGATGTTTGTATAGCTTCTAAAGTCAAGTCTCTGAGCCTCAATTTCCTCATTCATGAAATAGGGATAAAGATGGTGTCTAATGTGAAGGCTGCGGTGATGATGATAGATGAAAATATATAATATGCTGTATGTGTATGTATGCCAAGTGCTCAATGTTGCCTACCATTTGAATTATTAGTGTTTATTTTATTTATTTTATTTTAACAGAGTCTGGCTCTATCACCCAGGCTGGAGTGCAGTGGCATGATCTTGGCTCACTGCAGCCTCCACCTCCTGGGTTCAAGTGATTCTCCTGCCTTGGCCTCCCAGGTAGCTGGGATTACAGGTGTGCGCCACCATGCTCGGCTTTTTTTTTTTTTTTTTTATGTTTTTGGCAGAGGATGGGGTTTTACCATGTTGGCCAGGCTGGTCTCGAACTCCTGGCCTCAAGTGATCCACCCACCTCCGCCTCCCAAAGTGCTGGGATTACAGGCGTGAGCCACTGTGCCCGGCCTAATGACTCTTTCTTAGATACAGCTGACCCACACTGAGCTGCTGCACGTCTGCTGGAGCCACCAGCTAATGATTCCTTCATTTAACACCCCATGGGCAGAAAGCTCATGCTTGAGGCTGGACTTAGCTCTGTAGTCTTAAGGGTCAAATAAGTGTTTGGATGAAGTCAGGGAACTTCACTATAATTTATAATACTTTGTTTGTGGTGAAATTTGCATTCTCAACAGTTTAAGACAATTTTCAAAACATAACCCATTCACATGTTGGGGACTATCTAGGTGGACTATACCCTTTATCTTTAAAATTTCCCCAGGTTGGTTATTTGGCTGTAGTTCTGTTTGAACCAATTGAAAGTTAGTTCAAACCAATACCCAGGAGTCTTACTGAATAATGATGCCCTAAAGGAATTCCCAGTAATACTAATCAGTAATATTAATCAGAGAGACCTGTTATCACTATTATTTAATATCAACCTGGAAGTTCTAGCCAATGCAACAAAATATAAAACTGAAAAAAATATAGCTATGGGAAAGGGGATGATGGATAATGCGATAGTCTGCTAGGACTAACAAAAGAATGCTCAGTAAGATGCTGGTTTTGAAATAAGTACCCATACAATTAGAACATATACATACTTAGAAATAATTCAAAAAAAAGTGTGAGTGACCTAGGGGAAGAAAACTACAAAAATCATTGATTTAAAATATTTAAATATATAGAAATATATTCCTGGATGGAAAGCCTGGTTATTATAAATATATTTCTGAGATTTGTCATAGAAAGTAATTTGTAGGTTTATCCTATGTTTTAGACAGCAAGGAGTACTCAAATGATTCCAAAATTCATCTGGGAAAATAAAACATAGAGAATGAGAATAATTTGAAAGAGAATGATGGCAAGGCAGAGGGTCATTTTAATATTATGGTGCCATAGTAATTAGAAGTATGGCACTGGTGCAGGGATCACCAAATCAGTGGGAGAGTTGAAGACTTGGGACAGAATCTAAAGTATATAAAAGCTGAGTAAATGAAGAAAGAGGCTACCACCAAAAAGAAGGAGGAAGAGAAGGAGGAGGAGGAAGAAAGAAGAAAAAATATAGATTATTCAACAGTGGTTAAGAAAACTGCATATTTTAACAAAAGTATCAAGTTAGATACTCATGGTCTATATCAGATGAAAAAAAGCATTAAATATAAATAACAAATCCACTTGAAAATAGTAGAAAATATGGGCCGGGCACAGTGGCTCACGCCTGTAATCCCAGCACTTTGGGAGGCCAAGGCAGGTGGATCACGAGGTCAGGAGATCAAGACCATCCTGGCCAACATGGGGAAACCCCATCTTTACTAAAAATACAAAAGTTAGTTGGGCATGGTGGCGCATGCCTGTAATCCCAGCTACTCAGGAGGCTGATGCAGAATCGCTTGAACCCGGGAGGCGGAGGTTGCAGCGAGCCGAGATCACGCCACTGCACTCCAGCCTGGCAACATAGCAAGACTCTGTCTCAAAAAAAAAAAAAAAAAAAAAAAAAAAAAAGTAGAAAACATGGTAGAATAGAGGAGTGATTCCAGGAAGGGGAAGAACTTTTCACACAAAACAAAAACTTAGAAAAGACAGACATATTTGATTGTATATCTGTTTTAAACTGATTAACATCAAAAACACCATGAAAAATTAAAAGGGAAATAATAAACCAGGTAAAATATTTGGAACAAATATGATCAAATATTTTCAGAGCATTAATGAAACAAGAACAAAACAAACAGCCTCTTAGAACAATGGAAAAGAAATTAACCCAGACAAATCACTAAACTCCAAATAACCAAAGACATCAAAAAATGTTTCATCTCAAGATTTGTTTTAAAAAGTGTGATTTAAACCAAGATGCTATTTTTCTGCCTATCAAGGTCACAACTTTTTTATGATCATAATTGCTAGGTAGAATGCAGTGAAATTGGTAGCACTCTTATTTGCTGAAGGTGGGACTATAAATTGATAGAGTCTTTCTGTGAAATAAATATTGACTCTATTTGACCCAGTATACTCACTTCAAGACGAATTCAATTTTTAGGAAATGGTTAGAAATATGGTCAAAGATTTACATGCAAATGAGCTTAAAAAGCACTATGATAATAGCACAAGGTTGGAGCAACCTACATCTCCAGTATTATGGATATAGTTAAATAAAATATACTATAAAGGGGTATTATGCAAACATTAAAAATCACACTTTTAAAGAAGTGTTAAGATAATGATAAAATGGTCAATATAACGTAAATAAAAAACCAATAGGAGGCAACACTATGATCCAATTCCATTTAAAAATGGATTATCATATATTATATATATATGATGAGACAGAGTCTTGCTCTGTCCCCCAGGCTGGAGTGCAGTGGCGCAGTCTTGGCTCACTGCAACTTCCGCCTCCCAGGTTCAAGCGATTCGCCTGCCTCAGCCTCCCAAGTAGCTGGGATTACAGGTGCTTGCCACCACACCCGGCTAATTTTTGATTTTTAGTAGAGACGAGGTTTTACCATGTTGGCCAGGCTGCTCTCAAACTTCTGACCTCAGTGATCCACCTGCCTTCCCCTCCCAAAGTGCTGGGATTTCAGGTGTGAGCCATCTCGCCCGGCCTCATATATAATATTTAATCTATGGCTAGTATAGCTATAAAAAGCAAAGTTATATTTAAAGAAAATATATATGTATGTATTTTTTCAAGTAAACACAGAAGAAAAGACTAGAAAGAAATTTACCAAGTTTGGTAGTAGGATTATAGAGGGTATATTTTTCTCTCTTTTTTTTTGGCATTTTCTTCAAATACCATATTTTCTAAGATTTAAAGAATATCTAAAGTTGGTCATCTTCAATTGTGGGGGGAAACGTCTGTTTAGCAAGCATTTAAAAATCATTAAGATCTCTGCCTACAGAAAAACTAGTTTTTGTAGTGAATGCTCAATAAATACATTTTTTCTTTGTTGATTAGACTATGCTAAATATATTCAATAAATGACAAAAGCAAAATTTTAGGATTATATTATGGTCAATTAAAATGAGAATGAGAAAAAAAGCAGAAAACAGCTATTAAAAATCCACAGAACAAGCAATAGAGACACAAACATACAAAGACAGACTGAGATGAGGGCAAAGCTTGCACCTGTGGAACCCCACTGAAGAACAGCAGATGAAGAAGAGGGAAAATCAGACCACTCTGTACTGGGAAGCAGAGACAGGCGCTTCTTGTTTTGGCCTCCCCATGATACGCATTTTAAAACATGTTGTTGCTAAGACTTTGGAATTCATGTTGCTTTTTGTCAACTATAGGTACAAAGGAGTATGTCACTTTTTATAGCTGTTCCAAAAGCTGGCAGATATTAAGCTAAGGGCCAGATATGGCCTAAGATAATAGAAATAAGGAAGTAAGCTAGAATTATTACAACTTCCCAAGATATTTAAAGATGTCTGAATAACTATTCTAATTACAATGTCTCATATATTTATGAGATTATTCTTGGGTCATTTCAGACCATGCTGGGACATACATGGTGCGGTATGCTCAGTTCTGCATTGAAGTCTAGAGACAGTAACCTAATGGTCTTAATTCACTTTAATATATTTTACAAATGGATCTTAGCTTTGCTCTAAGCTTTCTGTTCATGGTCTTAGAAATTAGCCAGGATCTTTCTTATTCTAATAGTTAAATGCTTTTGAATTACGTGAAAATCATTAGCAAAGGAAAATAAACTGTAAGACCATAGTTAACTGAACATGGTCTTAACATAATCAAATCCTGATAATGGATTTTATATTTTAGGCAACATTCTCCTGGACTACACTTTACTTTCATTCAGTTACTGTGGCACCTACCTGGCTAGTTACTCCTCTCTCCCAGAATTTGAACTGGCCCTTTGGTAAGTTTCAGCATCCTGTGGAATTCCTTTTACTGGGTTACATTTTCCTCTTACTCTTCTGGATTTTATCGAAGGAAATAGACATGAAAAATCTGAAACAAGGAAATATAGAAGGAAAAAATGCCAATCACAAGTTTTAATACAGTTGCTATGTTTAGGCATAAAATTTGGCAGTCAGAGCAAAAACTATATAAGAACTAAATTAGTTATTGTCATTCTCTTTCATTAACATGCTTTATGTATTCTCAGATAGAGAATATATTTATAAATACATAAAGTTTCACTTAAAAAAAACAAATGGCATCTTGGAGTTGTTCGTATGTTTCCTGCTAATATTGAAATTGAGATGGTCTCTATATTAGAGTTCAGTTTAAAGTAATTGTTGTTAGAGACATTAGAACAATTATATGTTCAGAGAGTGGAACATTATACCACTTTTGCCCACTGTATGGGAAATCCTGTGGTTAAGACACATTTCTAGTCTTTCCTGGATCATTTCACGTGGCCAACTTTAAGGCTATACTCCCTTTTCTATCCATGATATAAGCCCCTTCAAGAGGATATTTTTCTTATTAAGGGGAAGTACAAAATATTCCAGAAATGATTAAAGGATAACATACTAACATTTCTTATACAAAAATGTAAGTACCTAGATTCAGGGAGCCACATTTAGTTTATGTAAATTTTTTTTTTTTTTTTTTTTTTTGAGATGGAGTCTCACTCTGTCCCCCAGGCTGGAGTGCAGTGGCACGATCTCAGCTCACTGCAACCTCCATCTCCCAGGTTCAAGCAATTCTCCTGCCTCAGCCTCCCGAGTAGCTGGGGTTACATGTACCCGCCATCATGACCAGCTAATTTTTTGTATTTTTGTAGAGACGGGGTTTCACCATTTTGGCCAGGCTGGTCTTGAACTCCTGACCTCAGGTGATCCACCCACCTTAGCCTCCCAAAGTGCTGGGATTACAGGCATGAGCCACCGCCCTAAAATTTTTTTAAAACAGCTTTATTGAGGTATAACTAACAGATAATGAACTGTTCATATATAAGGTAAATACTTTGATAAGTTTTGATTTATGTATAAACCCATCACCGTAATCAAGATAATAAATACATCCATCGGCCAGGCGCTGTGGCTCACACCTGTAATCCCAGCATTTTGGGAGGCTGAGGTGGGCAAATCACGAGGTCAGGAGATCGAGACCATCCTGGCTAACACGGTGAAATCCCATCTCTACTAAAAATACAAAAAATTAGCTGGGTATGGTGGCAGGTACCTGTAGTCTCAGCTACTCGGGAGGCTGAGGCAGGAGAATGGCGTGAACCCGGGAGGCGGAGCTTGCAGTGAGCTGAGATTGCGCCACTGCACTCCAGCCTTGGCGACAGAGCAAGACTCCATCTGTAAATAAATAAATAAATTCATCCATCACCCCAAAAGTTTCCTTGTGTTCCTTCAGAGCTTCTTCATTAGCCTTTGTCAGTAATGTAGTTTCTGTCACTCTAGTTTGCATTTTCTGGTAGTTCATATACAGGGAGTGACACAGTGTATATTCTTTTGTCGGGCTTCTTTCATGCAACATAATTATTTTGAAATTATCTTATGTTGCTGCATGTATGTGTCAGTAGTCATTCCTTTCTATTCCATGGTATGGATATACCATACTTTATTCACCTGTTGATGGATGTACTGTATTAGCTTGCTAGGGCTTCTGTAACAAAGTATCACAAACTGAGTGTCTCGAATAACAGAAATGTATTATCTCACAGCTCTGGATACACAGGATAGGAAGCAGCTGGGAAGAGATGACAAGTGCATAAATTCTGATAGTTCCAAAAGCAGAAGGCTCCAATTGTCCTTACTAAGAGCAATCTGTAAATATTAAAAAAGCAGTGAAGTGGAATGAGCACAAATGTGTTAGTGTAACAGACTTAGACCTGAATCCTGGCTCCACAAATTACTAGCTGTGTGATCTTAGAAAGGCTGAGCCTTAGTTTCTTCCTCTGTAAAATGGGTACATCAATGTCTCCTAAATATGGTTTTTCTAATAATTCATTGACTAAAAGTATGCATCATACCTAATAGTGTCTATTACATTATGTTTATTTAAGTCAGAGTTTCAAAAATGATGATTGTTAGGCTAATTCTGGGCCACCAGTGTATTTTTTTTTGGCCATAAAATATTTTTAAAATTGGAAAAATTTAGAGAAAAAGTTATCTGTATAACCTTTCTCAAACACAGGCAACCCTGGACCTGTATTCCCACATGGTCACAGTCTGGTTGGGCTAGTAAGTGGGTGCTCATTCTACATGCCCACCACCTTGAGCAGGGGTTGGTAAACGATGGCCCATAGGCCAAATCTGGCCCACCACCTGTTTTTGTAAAGTTTTGTTGGAACATGTTTATTTGCTTATATATTATCTATGGCTGCTTTTGCTCTATGATGGCAGACTTGAGTTGTAATAGAGCCCATATATGGTCTGCAAAGCTAAAAAGATTAACTGTCTGGTCCTTTATAGAAAGAGCTTGCCAACCCCTATCCTAGAGGTGTTTATACTCAGTACATTTCATTCATTTACATTAACTTCCTGGCCCCTATAAGCATTTGAGTTTGCTCACTGGATTTAATTCATTCAATACATTTGTATCTCCTGCTTCCTGCTGGATATAAAATGTATCTCAGGTACATTTTAGGTATATCTGAGCCTTCTGTAGAGGGCATTTTTGATAAGCTGAGGTGAGACTGAGACTATGGGTAGGTAGTATCTCCTCCCGGTCCCAACCCTTCCCCTAGATTTGTTTGCATGTCTTAATATTCATGCGCACTTCTATTTAGGAAATTTGAGTCAGAGGGGAGAGACAAGGGGGCAGGAGTGAGGAGGGCAGGGGAGGACAGGGTAGATGCTGTGCAGAGGACCAGACACTGCTCTCTCATGAGGAGATTCTCAGTGAGGCTCTGCGGCAGCAGAGGTGCCCTGGGGCCCAAGAATGAGTATGAACAGAGCTGGGAGACAGACACTCTTCCAGCCTCTGCTGTGGAAACCCAAGATGAGAAGCTTTGGGAGCAACCCCGATGGCACCCTCGGGTGCTGCATAGAAATGTGAGTGGGATTTAATCCTGTGATGAGGCCCAATAGTCCTCTTCACCAAGTAGCTTTGCCAGCAGTGGGCCTAAACACGAGGGAGCTAGAAGATGAACAGGGAGGAGGATGCAACTCACTTGGTGACAGCAGTTAGTCCGTGGACCCTGGGGACTCCCAGAAATAATTTAGTAAAAGTTCAAAAGAGGTGAAACTTCTGGAAGTCAGACCAGGAGGAGCCCAAGTACCATGATTTGACTCCTGGAAGTAAATTGATCTAAGAAGACTTTACCTTTATGTTCTAATGTTTTAAAAGAGCAGAATGGATTCATATATTATTTGTGTAATTAAAAATAACAATTCTGAAAAAGAATCTAAAGTAGGTGGGGAATGGTCTCATGGTTATAGTCCCAGGCTGGTGGGGTCTGGGACATCTGGGGTTCATAAGCAAAGACAATGTGCTATACACCAGCAATACCACCACCAGCAGTTTCATCAGAGAGGCATTCACTGAGATTTCCAATGGGTTAGTGCATTTAATCCCTGCCTCCCCCCTGCAGCAACCCCCATGAGACATCTATGATGGTCCTCATTTTAAAGAAAGAGACTGAAACTTCAGAGAGATGGGATGTTAAAGGAGAATTTTCAAACAGATTATAAGATGTAAGATGGTTTCATATAACTCCTTAATAATGGAACCAGCAGGAAAACAAAAGAAGCTGGTCCCTGTCTTAGTAAGCTGTCACAAAATCCCATAGACTGGGTGGCTTATAAACAACAGAAATATGTTTCTCACAATTCTGAAGGCTAGAAATTCCAAGATCAAGGTGCCAGCAGCTTCAGTTTCTGGTGAGGGCCTGCTTCCTGATTCATGGATGATAATTTCCACCATGTCCTCACATGGTAGAAGGGATGAGCTAGCTCTCTTTTATAAGGACACTTATCTCAACCATGGGGGCTCTGCACCCTTGACCTGATCACTCCCCAAAAGTCCCAATACCCCAATACCATCACCATTGGGGTTAGGATTTCAACATATAAATTTGGTGGGGGGAGGCAGCACACAAACAGACCATAGCAATTCCTGAGTGCTTAAAAGAACACACACACAGCTGGGCATGGTGGCTCACGCCTGTAATCCCAACACTTTGGGAGGCCAAGGTGGGCGGATCACCTGAGGTCAGGAGTTCGAGACCAGCCTGGCCAACATGGTGAAACCCCATCTCTACTAAAAATACAAAAATTAGCCAGAGTGGTGGTGGGTGCCTGTAATCCCAGCTACTCAGGAGGCTGAGGCAGGAGAATCACTTGAACCTGGGAAGCAGAGGTTGCAGTGAGCCAAGGTCATGCCACTGCACTCCAGCCTGGGTGACAGAGCGAGACTCCGTCTCAAACACACACACACACACACACACACACACACACACACACACACGCTCACTCATATAGAGTTAGAAAAAGTAGTGGTTACATAAAATTTCTAGGTTAGATATGTGAATGATTATCTTTCCAGAGGTCTCTAAAACCTTAGGACCTTAAACTTAACTGTTCTACCAGGGCATACAATCATAGCATTGAACATGTTCTAGAGTTTAACCTGTAAAAGCATGCCTGCCTTTATCACATCGAGGCTGTTAGTATGTATTATGACAACAAAGTTACATTCCCCAGGAGTGTCAGATATGGGGCAAAGCAAGGTACAAAGTCTGGTTTTTGTTCGAGGAGGCTTGCTGGAAAATGCTTCCCAGCATGATATGAGAAATCAAGCCAACACAATTTTTCTTTTTTCCAAGTTTCATTTTTTTTTTGTTCTTATAGCTACTTGCCTAAACTTATATAGTTGGTGAGTTGCTGAGTGGGCTTTAAACTCATTTGGTTTCTAAGCTCTTTTATAGCTTTCATTGATCTAAGGCACAATGGGAACCTGTAGTAGGGGCATCTCACATAGTCTGTTGGTGGAGGGGAATGGTCAGGGAAGGCTTCCTGGAAGGAGAGGTAATGTTTAAACAGATACTTCTATTAATTAGCTAGGCCTGCCATAGCAAAGTACCACAGACTGGGTGGCTTAAACAGCATGCGTATATTGCCTCCCAGTTCTGGAGACTAGAATTCTGAGATCAAGGTCTCAGCAGGGTTGGTTCCTACTGAGGGCTGTGAGAGAGAATCTGCCCCCGCGCCTCTCACCAACTTCTGCTCACTTGTTTGCTGGCAGTCCTTGGCTTACAGACACATCACCCAGATCTCTGCTTTTATTTTCACATGGCATTCTCCCTGTGTGTGTCTGTCTCCAAATGTTCCCTTTATATAAGAACACCAGACTTATTGGATTAGGGCCCATCCTAATGACTTCATTTTAACTTGATTACCCTCTGTAAAGATCATATTTCCAAATAAGGTCACATTCTGAGGTGCTGGGGGTTAGGATATTAACACGGGAATTTGGGGGAGGCACAGTTCAACCCATAGCAATACCTAAAGGATGAACAGGAATCAGCCTTGTGACGAGAAGAAAGAACATCCTAGGCAGAGGAATGGCATGTGCAAAGGCCATGAAGTAGAAAAAGCACAGCAGGTTTCAATGAAAAGGTCATGATAACGGGAACAAGAGATTTGCCATGAGAGAGGCAAGCTTGGAGGGACAGTCAGAGGTGAGCTTATGAGCAGCCCTATATGTAGGTGACCATGTGGTTTATCATCCAAATCAGGATGCTTTTGAGAGTGAAAGAGGGTGTTGCTGATGAATGCAGGGCACTTTAGCCTAAACTGGGTTTCTCCTAGGCATACTGGGAAGGATACTCACACTCCATATAAGCTAGGCTAATGGACAAATTCTTTATCCTAAAGGCAGTGGGGAGCTACTAAAGGGTTTTAAGCAGGGAAGTGACACAATTATATCTGCATTTAAGAAGATTCCTTTCAGCCAATTATTTCCAATGAAAGTATCTCCAATACTTTCGTACTGTGGAAGGTATATTGGAAGGAAACAAGGCATGAACATCAATTAGGAGGCTGTGGTGGTCCAGGTGAGAGATGACTGTGTCATGGACTAGGGTGGGAGTAGGGATGGAGGGAAGTGAAACTATTTGGGAGGTGTTTAGGAGGTAGCATCATGAGACTTGTAACTGACTAAATATTGGGTGTCGTGCTGAGGAAGAGGGATGGGTCTAGGGTTATATCCAGAGTTGCGTGTGACTTGGGCAACTTAGGGACACTCTGATGCTATTCAGAGAGATACTGAGGGCTTGGGGGCAGGGAATTTAGGGGAGGCAATGGGGGAAGATGAGCTGGGGGACAAACTGAACTGAGAGTGCTTGAGATGAACAAACGGAGATGTCTAGTTGGCAGCTGATATATCAGTTAGGACTTAGGTTCATTTGTGGTCACAGAAACCCAAATCACCAACATGTGTTTCCTTCTGTCACATGCAGTTGTCTGGGCACGAGCAGCTGTGGTTGGTGTGGTGGCTCCTCGGGGTCAGCGTCCAGTCTCCCGCTGTCATGCTGCTCGGCTGTTCCTAGGGTGTTTCTCTCATCTCTGGTCTATAATGGGTTAAATAGTAGAGATGAGGGCAACACCCTAGGAACAGCAGAGGAACCCTAAACCACCGGTGTATTTTGGGAGCCAATGGGGAGGGAAAAGGATGAGGGGAAGGGCACAAACCTTCTGTTGAAATGCAGGGCTTGCATGAAAGAGATCATTGCCTGACCCAGGGACTACCTCAAGGGCTTTTGGTGAGGACAAGTGACAGTAGGAAGATGCAAGAGCCTTTAGTACCAAGGTTCTCAACACTGACTACATGCTGGAATGACTTGTGAAGCTTTTAAAAAATGTTAGTGCCCACTCTTCCCCTCTCCCCTCGGCCAGTTAAATCAGAACCTCAGAGAGCAATGTGCCTTGAGATGCCTTGAACCACTGCTTGAGAAGGAAGGACAAACACATTATTACCTTGGAAGAATTGCATAAGGCTTATGACTTGAAAAAAAATTCTTTTTGGAAACACAAGCATTTCTTTCCTTTTTTTTTTTTTTTTTTTTTTTGAGACACAGTCTCACTCTGTCACCCAAGCTGGAGTGCAGTGGTGCGATCTCGGCTCACTGCAACCTCTGCCTCCCGGGTTCACGCCATTCTCCTGCCTCAGCCTCCCGAGTAGCTGGGACTACAGGCACCCGCCACCACGCCCAGCTAATTTTTTGTATTTTTAGTAGAGACGGGGTTTCACCGTGTTAGCCAGGATGGTCTCAATCTCCTGACCTCATGAGCCGCCCGCCTCAGCCTCCCAAAGTGCTGGGATTACAGGCGTGAGCCACTGCGCCCGGCCTTGGAAACACAAGCATTTCTTTAAGAATGACCAGGTGTTGCCATATGTATTTACGGCGCAAGCAAGTGTTGTCTAAGCAGTTTCTCTGTTTGCTTGTCATAGCAACATTTAGAAACTCGAACATGCTTTCATTTATGTAAATAGTTTATGAAGCTTTGACAACAAATGTAAACAGACCTGAAATTATAAATCTGCTAAATTTGTATTAAGGGTATTAATTATTGAGAGAAAGTCCCCTTCCTCCACACTCAACTCCTATGGCAATTATGAACTCCATTTTACCCAGAACACTTAAGTGCCTCAGCATCTGTATGATACAGTGGAGCAGGTGCTGGCATAGGTACCAGCTGACCTGATGTATCACTAGCTCTGCAGGATGATTGCCACATACATGGAACACCTGGGAGTGCTGGAAATGTACCGGGATCGAAGCTACAAAGTGTGTTTTCATTCGCAGTGGAGGCCATGTCAAGCAACGGAAGGTCCAGCCCTCTTGCGGGTGTGGTGAGAGGCTCTACTAGCAAAGACATGGGTGCCGGAGTGGGTCCTATGTAGCATGCGAGTGCTGTAGAGAAAATTCAGTGATGTACATGGCTCTGATCCTGGACACAAAATCTATACTGGAGAGGAAATGACTGCTGAAATAAGGAAATTGTATGAATATTTAAAATGCCTGGAACACTAAAGTAATGATATTTCAAAAAGAAAGAAAAAGAAAGAAAGAAAGAAAAGAAAAGAAAAAGAAAGAAAGAAAAAAATGCAAGGCTTGGAAGGTGCACACATGACTGCCACTAACATTCATTGACTGGCTCGGCCATAAGCCACAGCCAGCTTCAAGGGTGGCTAGGTAATATTAGGTCCTCATTGTGAGTGGCCATATGTGCCTGGCTAATATTCAGGGGGTTCTGTTACTCAGAGGGAGAAATGGAGAATAAATGCTGAGGGACACATGCCCTTGCCACAGATATCCAGGACTGGTGCTCAGGAGAGAGGGCTGGAGATAAACATTTGGGAATAATTAAGTCAATGGATAGCCAAAGTGTGAAATGTAAGTAAGAACACCTCAAGAAGAGCCTAGGGTGGAACCTTGAGGAATATCAATGGAAGGGACCCACCTAGGAGACTCATAGGAGTAGCTATGAAAGGAGGAAGGACACTAGGCAGGGAGGGTTCCAGAATGTGCCTCAGCCTGGTTCCTTGGAAAGCAGAGGCTGAGGCAAGAGCTCATGCATCCCATCTTTAGCAGGGTGTGTGATCCCAGGGCAGGAGAGCCAGTATGAGGGCGTATTACCTTGCTGGCCACCACTTGGTACCGAGTGCAACTGGTTACTCTATCTCGAAGGTGGTCTTCTGAGAGGTTCTATGAACTGCTATGAATCAGGACAGTCCTCAGGCAGTGACAGACTGTGGGTGGGGAAGGGGAGAGGAGGAGATGAGAATTTATCCACCAACTCCTGTATCCCATCGATTGAAGCTTCACTGCACAGGGTGGTAATTCCTTCACACTTTCAGGTTTGTCGTGATTGTCCCCAGGAGCCCCAGTGAAGCCCCAGTGAAGCCACTGGGCGTGTGAAGTGGGTGTGAGGCGAGGCACAGGTGGGGTGTGCCTACATGAAGTTAGTCAAAGTGCACACACAGTTGGACAGCCACTGAGTCAGCGAGGCAGAAGACGGGGTCAAGGGCCCAGACACAATAGAGAGGATCTGTGGTGTCCCATAAGAGGTGTGTGACAGAGAGTCTAAGAGTGATTCCAGAAGGTGGTTGTGGTGAACAGTGCCCAGTTCTGCAGAGGTAAAGTTAGGCAATGACTGAGAAGTGCCTTTTGGATTTAGGATGAAGGCAGGTATCTGTGGATATAGCTATGTCAATGGAATGGTGGTGACAGGATGCAGGTATCCTGGGATGAGGAAAGTGTAGCTGAGGAAGCCATGGCGGTGACTTTAGAACAACTTGCTCAAAAAGTTTGACTCTGAGGAGAGGGGAGAGACATAGAAAGGTAAGACTGAGGGAAGGCTTCTTTTGAGGATGGTATGGATGAGCACTTGTGTGTTGGCAGGAAGAAGTCAGGCTAGAGGGAGAGTTGGAAGATGCAGTTATCCTGAGTAAACCAATGTCCCTAAGAAGGCAAGACTGTGGGACCCAGAGCACAGGTGGTGGAATTGGCCTTAGGTAGGAGGAAGGACACACCTTCCATTGTAAGGGGAGAGGAGGCGGAGAGAACCATGCAGACCCAAATGGGTAGTTATACTTGAGAGCAAGAATTCTCAGCTGATGGCCTCTATTTTATTCATGGGAATCAAAGCCATTTACTGAGATTGAGAAGGGAGTAGAGGGGCTAGAGGTTTCGGGAGAGGGGAGAATATTTTAAATGCCCATTTTAGAGAATGAGAGAGAGAGAACTGGCCAGAGAAACATAGCAGGATTGGAGATCCTATTGAGGGTCTGGTGGGGGGTGGCAACCACAAGTTTATGGTGTCACTGCCATGCACAGTCCTGTAGTCTTTGTTCCCATGTCTCTAGCAGCCCAGGCTTTCAGTTGTCTCCATCCAGGGATGACGGTCTTTGCCAGGTACCTGATGCAAAAAGTCAAAGGATCAAGGGAACCAGAGATTCCAGCAAGAGTGTGGTTGATGTGTTGGGCAGGGCATTTGTGATAGGGAATGAAGGATGAGGGCAGGAGGGAGTGAAAGGCAAGCTAAGCTCAATCAATATTAGCTCCAGTTTCCTAATCACAACTCTGAATGGAGTTCTGGCCCCTCATTTGAGGGCATAGCTCACATTTAATTTTTTTCTTTTCCTTCATCTAGCAAGGGACTTTGTTCATGGTAGGAGTTCAGGATATTCTCTTAAATGGGTAAATGAATAAATCCATTTTAAAATACACCACTTTATTTATTTATTTATTTATTTATTTATTTATTTATTTATTTTTGAGATGGAGTCTTGCTCTGTTGCCCAGGCTGGAGTGCAGTGGCACAATCTTGGCTCACTGCAACCTCCGCCTCCCAGGTTCAAGCGATGCTCCTGCCTCAGCCTCCCAAGTAGCTGGGATTACAGGCGTGTGCCACCATACCCAGCTAATTTTTGTATTTTTAGTAGAGACAGGTTTCACCATATTGGCCAGGCTGGTCTTGAACTCCTGACCTCGTGATCCACCCGCTTTGGCCTCCCAAAGTGCTGGGATTACAGGCGTGAGCCACCGCGCCTGGCACCACTTTAATTTTAAAAACTCAATAAATGATCAATTGGCATCGATGAGAACAGTACCCCCAGATCCATATGGAGTACTCACATGTAGTACTTACAGATTCAGGCACTTACACTTGTTTTGTAGCAAATGTGATGATATATTTCATTTTCTAGGTTTGGCTGAGTTAAATTGCAAAATTATTAAAGAAGATAAAATAGCCTTGGTATAGCATATGACAGTATAGTGTTTTTAAAACATAGTTTTTTTGCTTTCTTAGGATACAATACAATGATAAGCATAATTATTTATAAATTTGACATTAAGGTCATTGATTATATAAATTGTATCATAAATTATATCCCAATTTATGTAAATTAAAAAATAGATAAATGTTCTAAATACATGAAATTCAAATGAACTTTTTTTCATCAAATGCTATTTTTCTCTAAGGAACTGGGAATCGAGTATCATTTTGTGTAAGAAATCACAGCCTGGAATGGATGTGAACCAAATGTCTTTTAACCCCATGAACTGGCGCCAGCTGTGCTTATCAAGTCCAAGTACAGTGAGCGTGTGGACCATTGAAAGAAGTAACCAGGAGCATTGTTTCAGAGCAAGGTAGGAGCCTTTGTTACAACAGTAGCAACATGGTGGTCTTTGTTTGCATTCGTGTAATGTGATTGGGTCAATTTGATGAATTAAGTGGCTTTATACATACATATATATGCATACACACACATACACACACATACGTTCAGCTTATCTTGTTATAACATCTTTCTACATGCGTGATTACCTTGGAGTGGTTGTTTGCATTTCAAAAGAATTCTCTATGACTTGTTTCCCAATTAATTTATTTAAAATATTAAGTTCTCTGAGAGCTTTTTCCAACATGATCTAATTTTCTAAAATTTTATTTGTCCTTACTATTTTAAAACATGCCTGTTGTATAAAAAGGAGAGTTAAGACTTTTGCTATTACTCAGATGCCCTACTGGAATTTCAAAAATAAGAAATGGTTAGATATAGAAAGTATGCAGATTGGCCGAGTGCAGTGGCTCACGCCTGTAGTCCCAGCAATCTGGGAGGCCGAGGCAGGCGGATCACGAGGTCAGGAGATCGAGACCATCCTGGCTAACACGGCGAAACCCCGTCTCTACTAAAAATACAAAAAATTAGCCGGGCATGGTGGCGCATGCTTGTAGTCCCAGCTACTCGGGAGGCTGAGACAGGAGAATCACTTGAACCCAAGAGGTGGAGGTTGCAGTGAGCCGAGATCGTGCCACTACACTCCAGCCTAGGGACAGAGCAAGATTCCATCTAAAAAAAAAAATATGCAGATTATACATTCAGACACATTATCCGCAAGCAAAAGGGTAGTTGTGTATAGTGGAGCCATGGGAGTTACCTGTTTAAATAGAACTGGGTCAAAGAGAAATTCTGTGACAAATGCCGTGGTGATAATGGGTGCTTTTGTTGAGAAAGAGCTCGGAGACTCAAGGTGCTACTGAGCTGACCATTTTCAGTGTACTCCATGAAGTCAAAGTTGAAGAGATGTTGGATCTCTTGATTTTTAAGAGATCTCAAAAGTATTCCCTTGAAATTGCAATTTTGATAAATCGCCTTAAGAGAATCTAAAGCTAGTAAATAAAGCTTTTGAAATGGAGAGCCTTAAGAGAAGCCTTTCTGCTCAGTGCTCTTTATGTCTCAACTTCTTTTTCACAGTAACCCATTGAATAGCCAAATCTGTCTCTAGTGAGAGTTGACAACACTGCACCTTTTAATAAAAGTGGGTGATATCTCTATCAGATCCTTGTGAGGGCAGGCAAGTAATTTATCACACCCTTTTCTCCCTTTGCCTCCCTCAAACGTTCTACTCAAGTTCTGAATACTGAGTTGTGACTTTTCTGTAAGCAAATAAAATGGGAGATAAAACGAGTGGATTGTCCTAGTTCACAAAGCAAGCAGGATTCAAACACACTTCAGCCTTACATTTGAGTAGTAGGTGCTGTTTTTATGTGATTGTTTTTCAAAATTGTTTATCATTTATAAAATCTAGGCAAGGAAGTTTTGAATTTAATGCATGAAACCACAAATTCTCTAAATTAACCTTTATAACCATATTATAAATTAAAAGTAGATATATGATAAATTTGAAAATGAACTCAATATCAGAGATTATAAAAGTAGCTGAATACAGCCTGAATATATGTTTAAATATATATTTATTTTAGTCTACAGTGTTTTTCATTTGAATTAGTTGCCAACATTTAAAGTTTAAGAGATTTCTCATAAATATCCAGGTTATAGTATTCTCTTGAAATTTTGGAATCAAAATTCTCACATGTCAACAACCCTCTTGGCTTGAACTGAGTGGTCCCTGCCACCTTGAGGAGGGACAAATATTTTCCCATTTTCCACTGTCCTCACCAGTCACATATCACCTGCCCGACCCTCATCCAGTATTCAAATTTACAACTCCTGCTTTAGATATTAACTTTCAAAAATTTTTATAATCCCTCAGTACTTAATTTAAAACTGTGTAACTTGTCTTTTTACAACCTGTTATATATTTTTAAATCTATCATTTGGCTTTTATCTTCTTATTTGATTTTTGCAAGTTATAATACCTCCCCACCTCACTTAAACTGATATGCAGTGGTTGCATCAATAAGAAGTTTCTGTTCATCTCATTGTTCTGATGCCTCTTTTGTCTACAGGTCGGTGAAATTACCTCTAGAAGATGGGTCATTTTTTAATGAAACGGATGTCGTTTTCCCCCAGTCGTTGCCGAAAGATCTCATCTATGGTCCCGTGCTGCCACTGTCAGCCATTGCCGGGCTGGTAGGCAAAGAGGCAGAGACTTTCCGGGTAATTACCTGGCACCTCTTCCTGTTTGCCTAATGGGTTGAGGTCTAGGAAGCCTGATCTCATTTGATTGGCATAACCATCCCTTGAGAAATGCAGGATACAGAGGATCATCTTGGTTTTTAATATAGATTAGCCACAGAGACTGTGAGAGATGAAGACTCTGGAGTTTTGAGTTTGGATGACTGGGATGATGACGGCATTGCTAACAGAGACAGGGGGCCCAGGTGTGATTTCCATTTTGGGCATACTCAATTTGGGGTGCAGGGAAGACACCTAGGTGGAGATGCTGGGCAGAAGTTGGGAAAGTGGACCTAGTGTTAGGGAGGAGAGGTGGGACTGTCAGTGTCATTCTCACAGATAGGACGGTGGGAGCACTGAGGGGATGTGATGAGCAAAGAGAGAAAGGGTGCAAGGGAAGAAAAGAGAGCCAGAGCCAGCTGACTGCTGAACTCAGGGGCGAAAGGAATTCTGAGAAGGCGCAGTCACAGAAGTAGGAGCAAACCCGGGAGGGAGGAACAAGGCCGTAGGAAACAGCAGAAGAAAGTTTCAAAAGGGAGTTTGCCAGGTGTTACACACCCATTCATTCATTCATTCATTCAACAGAGATTTATCAAGTTTCTTCTATGGAGCAGACACTGTTTTAAGCAATGGGATTCGCATGGTGGCCAAGCAGGCTCCATGTAATTCTCATGGAGCTTACATTCTTGTCAGGGAGACAGAACTACAACAACAAAAGTAAAGAGTATTGTTCTTTTGTAATAATTATCACATTTTGCAATGATATATTGAATCATTACAAAATGTGGTAATTATTACAACAGAATAAATGGAGACAGGGCAGCAAGGATGGGATGGGCTGGTTAAGGAAGGCCTCTGGGGAGATGACACTTAAGCTAAGATTTGAAGGACAAGGAGGCATTACTCATGTTACAAGCAGGATAAAGAGTGTTTCCTTTGGGAGGCCGAGACGGGTGGATCACGAGGTCAGGAGATCGAGATCATCCTGGTTAACACAGTGAAACCCCGTCTCTACTAAAAATACAAAAAAATTAGCCGGGCATGGTGGCGGACGCCTGTAATCCCAGCTACTTGGGAGGCTGAGGCAGGAGAATGGTGAGAACCCGGGAGGCAGAACTTGCAGTGAGTCGAGATCACGCCACTGCACTCCAGCCTGGGCGACAGAGCGAGACTCCGTCTCAAAAAAAAAAAAAAAAAAAAAAAAAGAGTGTTTCACGTGGAAGGACCTGCATGTGCAAGGCCCTAAGGGAAAAAGAGAACTTGGTATGTGTAAGGAACTGAGAAAAGATGCATATGGCTGGAGCATGATAAATGAAGTGGAAGTGAGGTGTGGGGTGCTATTCAAGAGACAGGCAGGGAACAGAGGGCAGCACCTGCAAGACCTTTGGGATGAAGGGAGAAGCTCCACTTTTTTGGCCCTCTTGAACCTGCTATGCTTTACCCTTGTGTTAAAAATTAGCTGGGCATGATGGCAGATGCCTGCAATCCCAGCTACTCGGGAGGCTGAGGTGGGAGAATCACTTGAAGCCGGGAGGCGGAGGTTGCAGTGAGCCAAGATTGCACCATTGCACTCCAGCCTGGGTGACAGCGAGACTCCGTCTCAAAAACTAAACTAAGCTAAACTAAAATAAAAATAATTCAGTGTGAAGATTAGTTCATTCAAAAATCTCTGTGGCAAGCAAGAGAAAGGGTTACATGCCCTTAATATTTCCTCTAATGAATGTCAATGATTCACCTTTTTAAATTATGGAAAGAGATTATAGTCAATCTCCTGCATTCGTGGGTTCCACTTCTGTGTATTCAACCCACTGCAGATCAAAAATATTCAGAAAAAAGTTGTATGGTTGCATCTGTACTGAATATATACACACTTTTATTTCTTCTCGTTATTTCCTAAACAATATAGTATAACAACTATTTATAAAACATTTACATTGTATTAGGTATTATAAGTAACCTAGAGATGACTTAAAAGTATATGGGAGAAAAAATAAAATAAAATAATTAAAAATAAAGAAAAAATTTACAGGGGGATGTATGTAGGTTATATGGAAATACTATGCCATTTTATGTAAGGAACTGGAGCATCCACAGATTTTGGTATCAGTGGGGGGTCCTGGAACCCATCCCCTGTGGATACTGTAGTTCCTTTTATAGCACAGGTCTCAGCCTTGGAGATATAACTGCATTCAGCCACAGTGGGGCAGCAAAGGAAGAACAAAGAGATCAGCCATCAAGGTTTGCAACTCAAATTTTTCTATGTTTAGTATTTGGTGCCAGAGCCCCTAAATTTCTACTCTCTCAAATTGGGTTTTTCTGGGCAGAAAATATGTGTAGGAGCCCTTATATTTCACATTTTGTACAAACATAACGAACTCTGCATAAAACATTTAAAATTCAGGCAATTGTCCTTGTCATTTGAGAAATGCTATGAAATGCCTTCTTTAAATACTCAAATGTGGAGTTATTATTTTAAAATGCTCATAATAGACATCTTTATTTTAAAACCTTTTTTATTTGTATAAATTTAAGGGGTACGCCTGCAGTTTTGCTATGTGGATATATTGTCTGGGCAGACATCTTTATTTCCTAGGACTTGTGCACTCAGTGTATTTTAAATTTTTCTGAAAGCAGAAATGTAATATTATAGTTTGACAACCCTAAATCATTCATGGATTATTAATAAAGCCATATATTTTGTATTTAAGTTAGACATTTTCCCAGTAGTTTACTTTTTCATTTTGTAGCAAAATAAAGTGAGGAAAATGTTTAAAACATTAATTAATGTCTGTACAATGAGTGAAAGCATAACCAAAAATAGATCTCAAATGTCTTGATTCTATTCCCTCCTTCAATGTCATTTCTTGTGACCTGGGTACCAATGGCAAGGGAATCAATAATGACTCGATCTGTATAAGGTCTTAAAAATGGATAAGTTGTGGACTTTTAAAAAATTACAAACATCAAATAATCCCATTATCTATTCATAGCTAATGCCAGAAGGGTACATTACAGGACTTTAAATAGCCCTGAGTCACATTACACAACTTATTTAGGGCGTTAGAAATGTATCCAGTTTTAAGTCGTAGCATGGGGGAAATCAAAGGCAGATGTTATCTGGGCAGAAATTGGATCCAAGATCATGAACTTAATCTCAAGTGTCTAATTTCTATTTTCCATCTACCTTTTTAATTTTTTCAAACAGATGTTGCTAAATAGGAATCTCTTTTAGAGACTCAAATATTTTGAAATATATATGGATTTTTACATTTTCTAAAGCAGGATTAAATTGGACTGCAATTTTTCATGTTTTGTCATCATGTGATCAAAATGATTTCTGATTCTAGAGGACTGAAAAAGGAGATGATATTATCAACAAACATTTCTAAACACTACTGGTACCCTTTATTTTTAAATATCTCAGAATTATAAACTATTGTTTCTGCTTACATAATCCATATACTCACATTCATTTTTAAATGTCATCAAATATATTTATTGATGAAAAAGTAATAGGAAGACAAGCCCAGGTTTGTCTTAAAGAAAAAAAAGCCACATACAATACTAGTTTAACATACCAAGGCCAGAAAATTTCAAATTTTAATCTTCACATTTTGTTTTATACACACAGATTCACTGGTATTGTGCAAATGAGAGACATGGTGTTTTGTTGTTGTTTTGTTTAAGATTTTGATCCTATTGTCATTTCAGTTAAGTCTGTCTTTGTGATTTATAGTTTAAGGTTAGATGTCATAAAAAAAACTCAGGAAACTTTTCAATAATGGTGATAACGGTGAATAACTCTCTTCCTTATGAGTCAAATCTCAATCAGACACCACAGAAGTGTCACTATTCAGCAGCAGTTTAATTTTTTGGAGTGGGAAAGGTGGTTTGCCTTTTTCTTGATCCACTGGGTGACCAGATTGTTACCCAACTATTTATTTTCTAACTATCTAAGGCTATGAGGGCATGAAAGGTACAAATAATAAATTAAAGTCAGTCTGTCCTTAAAAAAAATTATTATGATGAATGCTCAATGTTCCTATGTTTTCTGCGTCTATGGGGTTAAGTATGGTTCCTTTTTGTCAGTTGTTCTGGTGAGTATTTCTCAGGCTTTTAGCCGTGATTGTTTTCTTAACACAAGGTTTTATTCTCTCCCTGAAGCCGAAAGATGATCTATATCCTTTGCTTCACCCGACTATGCATTGCTGGACTCCAACAAGTGACTTGTACATTGGCTGTGAAGAGGGTCATCTTTTAATGATTAATGGAGACACCTTGCAAGTGACTGTACTTAATAAGATAGAAGAGGAATCGCCATTGGGTAAGAAACTGTCCTACTTCATATTCCTGTATAGCCATGGGTGTTGGTTTTTTTGGTTTTCCCTATTTTTCTCTTTCTTGGAGACATCTTTGAATCCTCCTTCTTCTTAATCCTCTGGCTGTTACTGTGCTGTTGGCATTCTACCATCACTTTATATGCATATTTCATGTAATCCTCAGAACAACATTATGAGGAGAGACACCTTAATCTCCACGATACAGAAGAGATATGTTAGGAAACATGGCCCAGTCCACGTAAACTGTGGAGCTGACACCTGAACCCAGGCAATAATACCTCAGAGTCCAAGTTCTTGGCTACTGTGCTGTATCCTTTTCTATACATATGCCCATTCTGCTTAGTCTGCTAATCATACCCTTTCCTGCCCCCACCCCAACCCTTTTCTCCAGGCTGATCATCTGTTAAGCCCAAAAGCCATCTTGAAAATTACCTTTCTATTGCTCGGTTAGAGGTGTTGTTTTTTTGGTTTTTTTTTAGACAGAGTCTCATTCTGTCACCCAGGCTAGGATGCAGTGGTGCAATCTTGGCTCACTGCAACCTCCGCCTCCTGGGTTCAAGCGATCTCGTGTCTCAGCCTCCCAGGTACCTGGAATTATAGGCACACACTACCACGCCTGGCTAATTTTTGTATTTTTAGTAGAGATGGGGTTTCGTCATGTTGGCCCGGCTGATCTTGAACTCCTGACCTCAAGTGATCTGCCTGCCTTGGCCTCCCAAAGTGCTGGGATTACAGGCAGGAGCCACCACACCCTGCCATATTGCTCAGCTAGAATTTGAAAGATAACCTGATCTATTCTGCCCTAGATATAGTGTCTATTCCTGACCCTATCAGCTGTGGCCATGGTTGGGCCTGGGCCACAGGAGCCACTGTCCACTCATTGAGCAGTAGATGTAGACCCTGGGAGGAGGGGGCCTTGCCAAGACAAGCTCCTCAAACCTGTCCAAAGCACTCTCTATTTCAATTGCTCTTACTATTTCACACCTTGATTTCTGTAACAACTTTAGGATGGACTTCACTGACCTTAATCTACATCTGACCCAATCTATGCAGTTTATCTCTGTCAAATTGCCTCTTTGAAGGCCACTTTTAACACCCAGCTCAAGAACTGCTCTGCCTTGATTTCACGCTCTCCCTAATCTGATCCTACCTACTCCATTAATATTATTTCCAACTATGCCCTGGTATGAGTTTTCTGAGCCAGTCATTTATTTTCACCATTTCACAGACATGCCTCTAGCCCATTCCCTTGGCACTTACTGTCTCTGAATCTGCCAATGCCCAGCTCAAATACCACCCCCTCCAGCAAGTTTTCCCCATTGCATTGTCCCTCATCTGCCTTTTTTCCTATTCTCTGACTCACTTTCCCTGTAAAACTGAGGCCATGAGGTTTCACTTCCCTCCCAACTCCCTTTCTCTCTTCCCTTTACTCCTACTATACCCTCCAGCCTTGCTCCTCTCTCTAATCTAGCATCTATGTTAGTTACATAGATCTGATGATAGAGAATTCAAAAACAACTTATAAGATTTACATCAGTAAAAGTAGCTTTTATTATTCATTGTTACATTGTACTTTTAATTACGTCACCTGCTTTACCTTGTTTTTCTTTTCCAGAAGACAGAAGAAATTTTATCAGTCCAGTAACCTTGGTATATCAGAAGGAGGGCGTGCTGGCTTCTGGAATTGTAATGTATTCTTTTTTTCAAATTAATTGGTTTAAAGAAAATTCACAATTCCCATTTGTTGCCATTTACTATTATGAGCCATATTTTAGGATGTCAGATCTGTCACATTATTAATTAAAATGGTTTCCTCTTTGGGTACTATTAAAAAGGATTTATTATGAATAGCTTCAAATCTATACAAAATAGAGGGGACGATATAATGAACTACCATATATTACTGCAAACAAACACAAATAGAATTTAAAAATCCATTGCCCTTCCGCAATGAAAAAATACCTAATATCTGTAACCCAATTCCATGCTCATTTCTACACTTAATGTATTAGCTTATCAGACACGAATTTGGAATCCTTTGTCTAAGCTGCAGCTTAGACTCTTGTGAATGCCCATTTAACTTACATGTATCATAATGTTATTGTTGATATTCGAATCAGTATTAATAGCCTCCATTTACTTGGTGCTTGCTTTGTGCCAGGCACCAAGCTAAGTACTTTACTTGTATTATCTTATAGGTCCTTACAACAACCTTATCAAATAGAAACTATTGACATCCTCCTTTTACAGACAAGGAATCTAATCTCACAGAGTTCACCAGCAAGTAATTGGAAGAGTTAGGGCTTGAACATAGGTGTATCAAACTCCAAAGTCTTTGCTGTCATTTATTAGAACTCAGCCTCAGTAAGTAATAAAAGGGGTCAGACCATATTTTTCTTTTTCTTTTCTTTTCTTTTTTTTTTTTTTTTTTTTTTTGAGACGGAGTCTCGCTCTGTCTCCCAGGCTGGAGTACAGTGGCGCGATCTCGGCTCACTGCAAGCTCCAACTCCTGGGTTCACGCCATTCTCCTGCCTCAGCCTCCCGAGTAGCTGGGACTACAGGTGCACACCACCACGCCCTGCTAATTATTGTATTTTTAGTAGAGACGGGGTTTCACCGTGTTATGCAGGATGGTCTTGATCTCCTGACCTCATGATCCGCCCGCCTGGGCCTCCCAAAATGCTGGGATTACAGGCGTGAGCCACTGCGCCCGGCCCAGACCATGTTTTTCCATGCCATTGTAATCAATGTAAACAATGCTAAGGTGTGGAACTGACCTACACTAAAACATAGGTCTAGTTGTAACTATCCCAGATGTTAGCATAGTCCATTTCACTGCCACAGATGACATCTCCAGGACCTTGAGGGTAGCTAGGCAGTGACATCAGGGTGAGAGACATTTTACCCTCAGGAAGCCATCTGGAGCACATACACCTACACTTAGCTCCCCCAACCTTGCAGTGGACTATCCCCTCCTCCTCCTCCATTTAGTCAGCATTTGTGCCTTTTATGACTCTTGTCCTCTTCAAGACCACCCTTGATGTTTGTTTAACCCCCTTTAAAGTAACTATTATAGCATTTGCTCTGGTGAGTGATGGAGAATGGAGATGAGCTCAAAAAAAGCACCTTGCCTGCTTTCCCTTCCAGGGCCCAAGCATTTGAAACCAGCCATCTAAAGTCCCCATGCTTAGTTATAACAGATCTAATCTAGAAAATGATAAATAAATTTCCTCAGAGTGTTTTCACTATTGTAAAAATAACTCAAATTCCTCTTGAGAATAATAAAATTAACCTAAATCTATTCACAACCAGCCAACCAACCAACCCGTTTCTATTGGATACTTGCCATGTTCTACTACTGTGTGAGGAACAGAAAAAGAGGATCCGAAGGGAATAAAAGGCACACTGCCTACCCTTGGGTCATTTAGGGAGATAAGAAATGCACATAATAATGATTAAAGAGCATACAGGAGGGCTAGTGTCCTTTGAAGGAAAGAAACTGCTATACACAAGCCACACAAACTCTACTTCATTTTTCCTACCTCCTGTGCAGTGAAGAATGTAGTAAGAAGAGGGATACTAGAGAAACTCAAAAAAAGGGGAGGTCAGTAAAATTTTAGGTAATTGAAAAATGCATCACAAAAGAGATCAGACTGAAGCTTGACCAGGGAACATAGTTAAAAGTTGTCTAAATAAAGATGAGAGGACAGTGCATCTATGCAAACATAGATGATGATTCCAAATAAGCAGTAGAAGTAATCAATAAGCCTTAGCTTGTCTGATGAGGCAAGTATACTATGCATTGACTAAGACTGATTTTCTATGTTTATCTCACTCATCTCTAGGATGGCTTTGTGTATTCTTTTATTATTAAAGATAGAAGTTACATGATCGAGGATTTTCTTGAGATTGAAAGACCTGTAGAACATATGACATTTTCTCCCAATTATACAGTGTTGCTGATTCAAACAGACAAGGTATGTTGGATGGTAATTTCTTGATATGTGATTTTCAGATAGTATTATTATCATCATTACATGACAGGAATGAGGAGCAGAGTATGCTGCACAGTGGTACTCTACTTGTCAAGACTCTAGGTTGTAAATGAAAAAATACCCAATTTAAAAGGCCTAAATTACAAAGAGCTATTGGTTTATTTTTGTGCATGTAACTGAAAGGGCAAGGAGTGAATCTGAATAAAAGAGCTACCATGATGCCACCAAGCCTTGTTTTTTTCCATCTCTTGGCTCTGTTTCCTCTCTGCTGCCTCCATTTCCATGCAGACTCTCCGCTTATGGTGTTAACAGTTATATGTAGCTCTAGATTATATTTCTGCCTGCTTGATGTCCCTGGTGGAAAGATACCAGCTAGAAAAAAAATCTTGGAATCTAGACTCATTGGACTGACTGAATCACGTGTCTACCCCGGGTCAATCACTTGCACCATAGGAATCCTAAACTCTGATTGGCCAGGCCTAAGTCAAATGCATAGCCTTGGATGCTGGGTAGAGTCAACCCACTTAAATGAGAACTGAGATTGGGGCATAGGTTGTTCTCCAAAGAAAATGTGTGTTCTATAAGAGAAGAAGAAAAATGAATTATTGCAAGATTAAAACAAACATTTACTTCAATTATACTGCTAGGAAGATTCCTAATTAATGGAATGATCTTCAGACATCAAGATTAGCAGATATTTATATTGTTAGACAATCATTTTAGATGAATTGCAAACAAAATTCAATGACTTTCTGCCTGAAAGAAACTTAAATTTAAGTATGGAAAGACTTTTGTTTCTGATAATTACCAGAAGTTTTTTTTAAAAAAAAAAAAACTATGCTAACTTATGTTTTAATAAATAAATGACTAACTTAAAATATCTATGGAGAATAGGAAACTAGGAAAAAGATATCATAAAAGAAGGAGGAAAGACCCAAATAGAACTTCTAAAGAAGAAAAATACACTAGCAAAGTAAAAATTAAATGAACATGTCTGACAAAAGGTTGGACATAGCCAAAGAGAGAATAAATGAATTCGAAGATAGATCAGAAGTTATTCAGAATGATACTAGAAAAGCAAAAGGGTAGGAAATACAGAAGGGAACATAAGAGATAAGAACAATACAGTGAAAAGATCTAACATATGTTTGATTAGAGTCCAGAGAGGAGAAAGTGGGACAGAGGCAATAATTAAAGAGATATTGACTGGGGATTTCCCAGAATTGCTTAAAGACATGAATTTACAGATTTAAGAGGTCCAGTGAATCCCAAACAGAATACATAAAATGATATCCACACTTAGACTTACCAGAGTGAAACTGTTGAAAACCAAAGACAGAGAAAATTTTAAAAGCAGTCGGAGAAAAGACAGATTACTTCTAAGGAATTTCAGTTAGACTAATAGCTGACTTCTCTGTGGCAATAATGTAAGAAATAGTGGAATAATATCTTCAGTGTAGTGCAGGGTTCAGCAAATTGTGGCTCCATGGGGCAAAACTAGCCTGCTGCATGTTTTTCAAATAAGATTTTATTGGAACATAGCCACACCCACTAACGTATTGTTTATGGCTTCTTTCACACCACTATGGCAGCATTAAATAGTTGTGGCAGAGACTACATGGTTTGCAAAGCCTAACATATTTACTGTCAGCCTATTTATAGAAAAAGTTTGATGACCCCTGATGTAATGAAAGAAAATAATTACCACCTAGAATTCTATACCCAATGAAAACATCTTTTCAGTATGCGGGTGAAAAAAGACATTTTAGACACTCCAAAGCTAAGAGTGTGTCAGCAGCTGACTATCACTAGAGAAAATTCTAAAGAATTTACTTCAGGCAGAGGAAAATGATCCCAGGTGGGAAGGTCTATGATGCAACAAAAATAAAGAGCAGTAGTAATAGGTGGAGAATGACACATTGTAGAAGATGTACAGTAAATGAACACTGCATACAACAGCAAAAAAAAAAAAATGTGAAAGTAGTTTTAAAAATAATATTGAACTAAAATCCCAAATAACAATAATATAAGTTGGGGGGGGCAGAGCAGGGTATATAGAATAAAGTGTTCCAAGGATCTCATATAACCCAGGAGGAGAATAAAGCTTAAAGTAACTTTTGATGTTGATAAATTAGGTACACATGTTACAACTTCTAAGGTAACCACTAAAAGAATAGGAACAGTAGATGAAATTTCCAAACTAGAGAAAGTGAAATGTAAAAAAAAAGTTTAACCCAAAACAAGGTAAAAAAGAGAAAGAAAATGAAATGCAAAACAATTGAGATAAACAAAAAGCATAAATTAAAATCTATGTTTAAACCCAAATATAAAAAGATGGAAAAAGATATGTAAACATTAACCAAAAGAAAACCAGTGGAAATATATTAACATTAGACAAATTAGGCTTTAAGGTAAAAATCATTACTAAAGATAAATGGGCTTATTTCAGAATAATAAAATATTAAATTTACCAGGAATATATGAATACTTAAAATATGTATGTACCTAATAGCATAGCCTTAGAGATTTAAAACAAAGCATGACAGAGTGACAAGGAGAAACAAAGCATTGATATTAATGGAACATTTTAATACACTTCTTTCATTACATGATAGAATAAACAATGTATTCTCAACATAGCAGCCAAGGTGAGCAAAGCATTTTTCTCTACTAGGCAAAGCCCTCCAGTGATTTCCTGTCATTCTGAGAAAAAGCCAAAATCCTTACTATGTTTTTAAAGGCCCTTCATGACGTGGACTCCAATCCCCACCTCTGGCCTTATCTGCTACTACTGTGAACTCTTGTCCATCCTGCTCCAGCCACACTGGCCATCATGCTGTTTCCTTGAATCTGCCAGACATGCTTCTCCCTCAGAGTCTTTGTACTGGCTTTTCCCTCTGTCTGGAATGCTCTTCCCACAGAATCTACATGGGTAGTTTCCTCATTTCCTTTGGGTCTTTTTTTTTTTTTTTTTTTTTTTTTTGAGACAGAGTCTTGCTCTGTCACCCAGGCTGGAGTACAGTGGTGCGATCTGGGCTCACTGCAACCTCCACCTCCCAGGTTCAAGTGATTCTTATGCCTCAGCCTTCTGAGTAGCTGGGACTACAGGTGTGCGCCACCATGCCCAGCTGAATTTTTGTATTCTTAGTAAAGATGGGGTTTCACCACATTGGCCAGGCTGGTCTCAAACTCCTGGCCTCAAGTGATCTGCCCACCTCAGCCTCCCAAAGTGCCGGGATTACAAGCATGAACCTTCAAGTCTTTTCTCTAAAGTTACCTTTGTTCCCGGACCGAACTGAGGGTTGGGCTGTTTGTTCTCCTGGCCCAATAACGAGATGCAGATGAACTGGGAAAGAAGGGAGTTTATTTCTGTAACCGGGTGCAGGGAGAAGGCTGGGAAAATATCACTGGACCAACTCAATATTACAAAGCTTTCCAGAGCTTATATACCTTCTAAGCTATATGTCTATGTGCAAGTGTGCATTCATCTAAAGACGTAAGTGATTAACTTCTAATATATAACTAAGGCCTGAGTCCTGAAGACCTTCCTCTGGAGCCTCAGTAAATTTACTTAATCTAGATGGGTTCAAGTGCCAGGTATGATTACCCTTATTTTGTCTCCTGCTAAATCATGGAGGTTTGGGGAGTTCCTTAGACCCCCAATAAAGCTTGTTTGTGGAGGTCTGGGGATTTTCTTCAGACCCCCCAATAAAACTTATTTAATTCTAAGTGGGTCCTGTTGAGAATTCCTTCGTTATCTTGTCATGCTTCAAGGCCCAGGAAAGGCCTAGGCAAAACTCTTGGTGGGGTTTTGTTACATTCAAGCGTTTGTGTAAGGGCACTGGCTCTATTAGCTTTTAATATTTAACTTAACCACTCAGTCATTGCTGAAACAGTTGTCATGGAGGCCTGCCTGTTCAGCTGTTAGTGAGACCTGGCCTGCCACACCTTCTCACTGAAGTCTTTCTTAAACATGCACTTTAAAATTTCACCCTCTTATTTTGCTATATAATGTTCTCCTTCTCTGTTATATTTTCTTTTTCTTCTTACAATTATCACTGTTTAACTTACAGTATATTTTATTTGGTTATATTATTTATTGTCTGAATCTCCCAGCAGAAGGTAAGTTCCGTGAGGGCAGGGGATTTTGTCTGTTTTATCCTCTGCTGTAACCCCAGCATCTAAAGCAGTGACTGGCGCTGTGTATCCACTTAATATTTATTGAAGAAATGAAAGAAAGATAACATTAGTAAATATCTACCAAATTTTGAACTCCTATAAAGTCATTTTTTTTAGATAAATAACACCAGAAATATTTATGTTTAACTCAAGTAAGCGTGAAGAACTTGTGATTAGCTGAAAGCAGACTTCTTATTGCTGGTTAAGTGACCATATTATATTACCAGCTACTTGGTAGAGATGCATTCATTACAGAACAGATTTTTTTTTAGAGGTGAGTTTGGGAGCTGAAAATAATAAGCATAAAGTGACAGCTTCAGCCATACCTCAACTATTTCTACAAAGGCTTGTTTAAATGTTTAGTGTTCCTTCCATTATATTTAGCATGTGGTAGGATTTAGTACATCTTAACAACTTTTTGGGTTTTACACATTTTCCAAATTTTCTACATAAATAGATATTATTTTTGAAACAGGAAAAAATGTTTTGTTATGTTTTGTAAATTAAAAAATAAATGTCTGGGAGACCAGGCGTGGTGGCTCATGCCTATAATCCCAGCACTTTGGGAGGTCGAGGAGGGGGGATTACTTGAGGTCAGGAGTTTGAGACCGGCCTGGCCAACATGGTGAAACCCCATCTCTAGTAAAAATACAAAAATTAGCCGAGCACAGTGGCGGGCACCTGTAATCCCAGCTACTCAGGAGGCTGAGGCAGGAGAATCTCTTGAACCCAGGAGGCAGACGTTGCAGTGAGCCAAGATTCCGCCATCGCACTCCAGCCTGGGCGACAGAGGGAGACTCAGTCACACACACACAAAATAATGAAATTTTAAAAAATTAAAAATAAAAAACGAATGTCTGGAATTGAAGAAGAAAGTCTTATGGTTATTTATGAGGCCAGGCGCAGTGGCTTACACCTGTCATACCAGCACTTTGGGAGGCCGAGGTGGGCGGATCACCTGAGGTCAGGAGTTTGAAACCAGCCTGACCAACATGTTGAAACCCTGTCTCTAGTAAGAATACAAAATTAGCCGGGCGTGGTGGCGCATGCCTGTAATCCCAGCTACTCAGGAGGCTGAGGCAGGAGAATGCTTGAACCTGGGAGGTGGAAGTTGCAGTGAGCTGAGATTGTGCCATTGCACTCCAACCTGGGCAACAATAGCAAGACTTTGTCTCAAAAATTAATTAATTAAAATAAAATAAAATGATGAATAAGTGAATGAATGAATGAATCAACCGATCAATCAATAAACAAACAAACAAATCAAGTGTCTGGATTTTAAGCCCTTCAGGGTCAAGGTCTTACTGAGTTGATCTGTGATTTCCCATATTCTGTTTCCACATAGAGCCTTGGTTACAGTAGGCATTTAATAAATATTTGTTGAACTATATACACAACAATTACAATGTGTTTCTTTTCTTTTGTATGTTTATCAGGGATCTGTTTATATCTACACTTTTGGTAAGGAGCCAACCTTAAATAAAGTCCTAGATGCTTGTGATGGGAAATTTCAGGCAATTGACTTTATCACACCTGGAACCCAATACTTCATGGTAAAGAATATTTTACTGTGTCACAGTAGGACTAAAGATACGATGATGTTGCAAGATTTAAATCCCCATTTATATGTTATTGGGTAACTTTGAAAGTTCATGGGCAAAGCAATGCGAACAGGAGGCAGAGGCTGTCCTTGAAGACTGTGGTGGAGATGCCAGACACTTCCATCTTCAAATCTACCCCCCGGTTAGAATGATACCCTCATATTGTGACTTCATAATATCATCTTCTGAAAACAGCCAACACAATTGAGATCTTAGGAGCCATCTTTTGGTTTTCACCACCCAAGCTCTGCAAGCCAGGCTTTAACACGTTTTTAAAACACATTCATTGCTAATGAGTCATCAGCACTAAGTAAACTGTTAGTATTTATTTAGTATCTTTTTTTCCAGGTAATGCAGCAGCACCACCTGAGGTTGAAAATGAAATAGTTGCCATGTATAATACATTAATTCAGTCTAAGGAGTCAATAATAATATGTCAATATTGGCTCTTCAGTTGTAACAAATGTACCACACTAATGCAAGATGTTAATAGTAGGGTAGTAGGTGTGTGGAGGGGAAGGTGAAGGAGAACTCTACTTTCTGCTCAATTTTTCTGTAATCCTAAAACTGCTCTAAAAAAATAAGTTCTAGTAATTTAAAAAAGAACAATGTATAGTTTCCTATTTCTACATTTGTTCATTAGGCAATAGTTTTACTGATTTTTATAAGCAACTTTTATCTTTAATATGTTACATGAAAAATCTTTATTTTACTTTTCTAATACTAATTAGTTATGTATTAAATTGCATTAAAGATAATAGTTAATATTTGCTCAGAAACAAAGCATTGGCGTTGAAATGATAAAATAAGTATTTATAATCCACGTAAGTAAAATGAAATTTTATACTAAATCATTGGCACACTGGAAAGGGAGGTAGAACATGCTTCCATAGGAAAGTCTTATTTTCCATGTAGAGTTTTTGTTTTTCTTTTTTTACAGACACTTACATATTCAGGGGAAATTTGTGTTTGGTGGCTGGAGGATTGTGCTTGTGTAAGCAAGATTTATCTGAATACCCTAGTAAGTATACTTGATAAATGGATTTTAAAAAAATACTGAATTCTAATCCAATCTACTTTTTCATATTCACATGTCAATAGTCTGTAGAAATACTTGTTACCGAAGCCTCACTGCATTTTTGCCTTCTAGATTTACAGTAATCCTTGTGTGTAAAGTATATGCCACAGCCCCAAGAGTGGAACCATAGCATACAATATTGGTTATAGAAAACAATAAGTTTTTCTGTGGTGGCAGTTGTTTTTGAAACCCCAGTAGTTTATATCTTACTCATGCCATAAGTTCATTGTGGATTGGCAGGGGTCCCTCTTGCACAGTCTCTCAGGGAGCCAGGCTGATGGGGGTTCCACCAAAGAATACTTCCTCTGTGCTGTGTGGCAGGAGAGGAAGAGAGTGCTGAAAGGTCTTTTGGAGGGAGAGGGGGTGCTGTTGAATCAGCAAGTAAGTGCTTTTTCTCAGAAATGAAATATCCCTTTGGCCATAATTGGTTAAATGGTCCCATTTAATGGAAATCAATTAGAAATGAAAGAAAGTTGCCACTCTAACCAGCTTAAGCCAAAAATTAAAAAGTAAGTGTTATTGGCACAATCAACTATAAAGTACAGAACTTGTCTGGCCTCATGTGTGCCTCAATCCAGCAGTTTAAATGATATACCAAGGACCTTGTCTTTCTGTCTCCACACTATGCCTTTAGTTTCATCTTAGGCTTCATTGAGGTACACCCAGATACCACAGGTGCCAACCTCACATCATACTGTCAGAGAGGGAAGAAAAATTCCTGCTGTAGGAGGAGGAAGAACAAAGATGCTTCTTCTTTCCAGAAGGTTCAGTAAATGTCTTGCAATGTCTTAATAACATCTGTGAACTAATCATATGCACAGGGGATGAGAAATGCAATTAAGTGCATAATTAATGCACAAACTCAGCCCTGGAAATGGGAGTTAGATTCATTCCACTCATCCCTGAAGATAGGGGAGGGATAGTTTCTCAGTGAATATTCAAGAGATTTTCCAGGAGGGCGTATGGATGCTGAGTTGCAAACCACACTGCCCAAAACACCTACCACAATGTGATACCATTATTTCTGCCATGTTCACAGTGCATTTTGCATAAAATAACATTTTAAAAGGACCAAGAAACAACGGTAATGCTTTCTTTTTTTAAAAATAATATTATTTGCTGCATTACACAGTTCTAGTTGAGAAATGGATCTTGGTATTAGGTAGGGAAGTTTCAGTCCTTCCCTTTTATAAAACTAAAATCTTAATTATAAAAGACTAAGCATCATATTTTACATAAGATGCCAAAGATACATAATTCAATGTGATAAATAAAACTTTCCCACAAAAGTAAAGATAAAAATTCTTACTGAGAAAACTTGAAATATGAAAAGACTCCATAGTCTATGTGACCAAGGGTTATATGTATTCATTTCTATTAGAAATAGTAAACTAGGAGAGATCTTACAAGTGCATTTAATCACATGTCCTTTCACACATTAGAGACACAGAAACGTTTAACAACCCACCCAGGGGCCCATATAATCAGGATATACCTTGTTCCTCTTGGGCAAGGAGGGATACAGGTACCATTACCCTATAGAGAATTGATCCAGACACAGTAATGCTGATGCCAGGTCTCTCTGCCTGCGTCCGGGACTGTGTTGCCTTCCTTCAGGCAGTGGTCCTGGGGGATCCCAGTCCAGCAGCACAGTGTCAAGATACCTGGACACTAGCAGCATCCGCTGATGGTACCTGCAAGGGTACATAAGACTCCTCTGGCCCTTGCTGTACATTTTCAGACTAGCACACCATCGCCCTGGAATGAAGGAGAATTTCAGCTGATTATTTTTATTTTGGGAACACATACACATATACACACACTTCCCACAGAGGTTTTCAATTTTACAAAAAGCCCACTCAATTGGGAGACTGTGTGCATTCTAATAAGGCAGGACACCTGGCTGCTTCATCTGAAGTTTGTCACCACATATGGGATCCTTGGGCAAGCTGCTGGACTTCCTTGGCCTGTGTTTTCTATTTTGCAAAATGATCTCTTATGTTCTTTTTCAGTCCTGAGTTCCATGATTTTATTCAAAACAATCTACAAAGTGTTGATAGAGAAAGAATACTGATTTCTCTAGTATTATGAAAGTCAATTTATTCTCTTAGACATCATATTCTGTATAAATCATTGTGAGATAAATGGGAATCTGTTACGCATTTCTTTGGTGACTGAATACATCTTCCGGTGATACAGTTATTTTCTTAAGTCTTCCTTAGTCATACCAGCATCTCAGGATCTATAAAAATGTTTTAAAAAGCCAGGTGTGGTGGTTTGAACCTGTAATCCCAGCGACTCGGCAGGCTGACACAGTAGGATCACTTGAGCCCAGTAGTTCAAGACAGAGGAAGACCCCATCGCTAATAAATAAATAAAAATTTAAAAATGTTTAAAAGATGCTAAGAATTTCTTTTAAATTCCTTATTTTTCACTATTATTGGTCTAATTGTTTCACAATCACTTAAATAGATTATTGGCATAATCATTTCATCATCATTTAGGGATAAAAATGAAGCCATGATTTCAATTTCAAGAAATCTCTCTCTAATTTTTATTACTCTAATTTTAGGATAAAAGAATAAGATGTACAGATTCCTGTGCCATCTTATGCAGTTGATCAGCTCAGGAACGTTGAGGGTATAATTTGAAAGACCCCACCACACAACACTTGCCACTTTTCTCATCCTGCAGGCTTTTCAAGTACACTGTATAATAGCATTCTTACGTGTAGGAGAGCAGGCACAATAGAGATACGCATCTGGGGTTTATTTTAAACAGGCAACGGTTCTGGCTTGCTGTCCATCCTCCCTCTCTGCAGCCGTGGGCACGGAGGATGGCTCGGTCTACTTCATCAGCGTATATGATAAGGAATCCCCTCAGGTCGTGCACAAGGCCTTTCTCTCGGAATCGTCCGTGCAGCACGTCGTGTAAGTCCTTTCTGCCTCCAGGAGCGGCTCCGTGTCACACCCGTCTGTTGAAAATTCTAGTGAAGCCATCCTTTCTTTTAATTTTAAGTTTTACGTGTTTCATTTGTTTTGAATGTTAATATATTCACACAGTTCAACACTCAAAAGGTACAGAGGGCTGTGTAGTAAAGTACCCCCCATACCCAGGTCTGTCCTTGCAGGCAGCCTGGTACCAATTTCTCATGTCTCTCCTGAGATGTTTTATCCATGAACAAGCAAAACATAATAAGCACTTCTTTTTACTTGTATCAATGGCCATCATGTGTGTATAGTGTGCCAGGCACTTCTGCTGTATTAACTCCATGAGGTAAACACTCTTGTTGTCTCTATTTGACAGGTGAGGAAGATAAGGCACAAGGATTTTAAATAACTTGCTCAATAGTACACAGATAGTGAATGGCAAATGTTGGGATTTGAACCCAGGTAGTTGGGCTGCAGAGTCACTGCCTTTGCTCTTAAAAGGAGAAAACTATGTACAATGCCTCATTTCTTTTTTCACTTAATCGTATATCTTGGAGAATGTTTTATATCCACACATAAAGACCAGCCTGATTATTTGTATAGCCACATAGTATTCCATTATATGAATATACTATCATTTTTTAAAAACGGTATATTAATGAACATTTAGAGTATTTCAAAACTTTTGAAGCAATACTTTTAAGATGATAATATAGAGACATTAGATTTGGACTTGTAGGTGCTATCATTATTACTGTTTCTTTTTAATTTATTATATTATTAGGTATTAATAAGAACAGACATTTGTATTCTGCTTTACAGCTTGAGATCACTGTAGCTTGTGGCATGTGATCCTCAAAACACCAGTCAGAAAGGTGTTATTCTTATCCCTATTAGACAAATTAGGGAATTCAGGGTTAGAGAGGTGAGGAAAAGCATTGTCCAAGATTACACATTACACAGCTAGCACACTGAGGAGCTGGCCCTGCCACTGTGGACTGCCCAGCTCCACCACCCTAGCTCAGTGGGGAAGGATGGATAACCTCCTTCCATTTACCCCCTGCCTTTCTGCACTGTCATTTTTTTGTGCCTTTCCTTTCTCAGATCCTCTTATTCTAATTTACATCTTCCCACTTTTTCTAATTTGATAAAGTTGTAGACATGTTTCACTACATTCTTCCTCCCACTGCCAGGTACCAGACACAGGGTAATGAAATGTCACACCCACCACTAATTTGAGAATTGCTTATTTGCGCTTGAAACATCAAGAAAGCTCTACCGACAGACATGTTTCATTCACTTATGATGAACCAACTGCCCATCTTTACTGAATCTTCTTGACTGTATTTATTAAAGTTGCAATTTGGAAATATCATTGGCCTAAAGTACAATGATTATATCCACATGTAATCACTCCACTTTAATAAGGTCAGAGAATATTAAAAATTGCAAACCGTAAAAATGACTGGCTTTGAACATATCTCTGTGGCCATTCAATAAACTTGTTCACCATCTAGCTGGTGAAACAATTGGGATTTGATCATCAGATTTCTTCTTTTCTAGTTATGATCAGCAAGGAATATTTCTGTTAGTTGGAACAGCAGAAGGAAAAGTCTTTATTATCAATGCCAACTCCTCAAGCTCATTTCAGATTATTGGATTCACAGGTACAACATAGAATGCTGATTAATTTAAAATATTGATTATTTCAAAGAATTTAAGGTTATGAAAATGGACTTTTCATATTGAATATTGAAACAATTATTTGTGGCATATTTTCTGAAAGAGAAACCTTTAAATAACTAAAGTTACTTAGGAGAATTCTCACATTATATTTTGATGTATTTGGAATATTAGAGTTATCTGCTTGGTACATAGTTGGTGCTAAATAAATTTTCTTGAATCAATTATTAAATACATTAATGAAATGGCTGAACATTTCTAATATTAACATACAGAGAAGTTGGGTTGATTTCTCTTGAAAATATTTTTTAATATTTTATCTCTAATGAAGAATTTTCTCTTTATTTTCTCTCTGGCTTTACATGCCAACTGTATATGTGTTTCCCCCCCCCCACACACACAATTTTTTTTAAAATTCTCCTTAAAAAAAATTTTTTTTTTGCTCCTCACACTTTGCCAAGTCCCACTCCTAAGTTTTTAAATTTGTTTATCATTGACTTATAAAAATTAGTGAGTGCCTACAAGGTGCAAAATGCCAAACCTAGGCCTTGTAGGGGGATGAAAATATTAAGGAGACAATTTAGTAGAGGAGGAAAATGCAGAATGGTGTGTAGGCTCAGATACTGTGTAGGCTCAGATACAGCAGCAATTCATTCTGCCAAGTGTGAGGAGAGGAGTGGAGGTGAAGGTGGGCACTGGTCAGGGGGTGCGGAGGATTGGAGGAGTTTTCCAAGGGCTTAAAGTAGTGGGTTTGAAGGATTTTCATAGGTGTGGGATAGGACATATTAGTATTCCTGCTCAAAATAATAACCCAAACAAAGGTACTTGGAATGGTAAAAAAGTCTGGTATAACAGGTAAATGGAAGAGTTTACTAGAAGATGACTATGGCAATGAAGTCTGAAAGAGGAAGGACCTTGAATATCATTCCAAAGAGTCTGGAATTGTTCTGTGGTTAATGAGCCATCATCAGTGGTTTCAAGATGGAGCTGGCATGATTTGACTTCGTTTTTAGAGACTGACTCTGATACCAGTGTGAAGGATGGAGTAGAAAGGCAAAAGAATGAAATTAAAAAGATGAGATTGGAAGCTATAATACTAGCCAAGGCAAGAGATGATCATAGTCATAATCATAGCAACAGCCAACACTTATTGAGGAATGCCTGACTATGTGGTAGCCAGTATTCTAAGCCCTCAGCATGTCTCCACCCATTGAATTCTTAGACAACTTTCATGAAATTGATACTACTATTATCTCTCCACATGAGGCAATTGAGGCGAAGCGAGGCTAAGTACTTGTTCAAGGCCATGCATCTAGTTAGTGGCAGAGCCCAGTTAAGGAAGTCCAGTTTCAGGGCGTGTGCTCTTATCCACAATGCACAAACTCATGCTGCAGTTACAGAAAGAGAAAAGAGGGCACAACCACGAGTGATGGAATTGGTAGGACTTGGTATTTGATGCGAAAGGAAGGGATAAGTGATGACTCCAAAATTTCTAGCCTGAATGGTGGAAGTTTGCAATGCCATTAGTTGAAAGTTCTAGAGGTTGAGGAATAGGTTGAGCTGATGAGTTCCATAGGTTTAAAGCCAATAAACTCTTCATTTGGGCATATTTAGCTTAAGTTTGGAAATCGGGATATGTAGTTCAAGGCTTAATGATAGAATTCTGATCTTGAAATCATGGTAGCTGATGAGATGGCTCAACAGAGTGGAAGTAAACCTGGATGCTTAATAAGGCAAAAGAGGTAACTAAATATGCAAATTAGATGGCACTGAGTGTGGTACAGCCTGTGGCTGACCTCAGAGTGGATGTATATCCTGCCTAAATATTCCATTTCATTTATTTTATTTTATTTTCCAGAGTCTTGCTCTGTCACCCAGGCTGGAGTGCAGTGGTGCAATCATAGCTCACTATAGCCTTGAATTCCTAGGCTCAGGCAATACTGCTGCTTCAGCCTCCTGAGTAGCTGGGACTACAGGTTTATGCCCCAAAGCCTGGCTTGTTCTCTGTTTTGTTTTTGTTTCCTTTTTTTTTTTTTTTTTTTTTTTTGAGATGGAGTCTCGCTCTGTCGCCCAGGCTGGAGTGCAGTGGCGTGATCTTGGCTCACTGCAAGCTCTGCCTCCTGAGTAGCTGGGCCTACAGGCGCCCGCCACCGCGCCAGGCTAATTTTTTGTATTTGTTAGTAGAAACGGGGTTTCACCATGTTAGCCAGGATGGTCTCGATCTCCTGACCTCATGATCCGCCCGCCTTGGCCTCCCAAAGTGCTGGGATTACAGGCGTGAGCCACCACGCCTGGCCTTTTTTTGTTTGTTTGTTTGTTTGTTTTGTTTTGTTTTGTTTTTTAGTAGAGAAAATGTCTCTCTATGTTGCTCAGGCTGGTCTTGATCTCCTGGAGTCAAGCAATCCTCCCACCTCAGCCTCCCAAAGTATTGGGATTACAGACATGAGCCACTGTTCCCTGCCCCATTTTTAATGTATCTGTTTGGCCAGAGGGTGGGATGGAAGAAGCTGGGAATAGAACCCTGGTCCACATTTTATATTGAAGCTGTGGACAGAGGAAGATGAGGCAGTGAAGAAAACTGAGGCTGGGCCAGAGTAATAAGAGAACTGGGAGTCATTCTCTCCAGAAACAGCCTAAAGAAGGAAGGCAGATGAAAGTACAGGCTGACACAGAAGTGTGGGTAGGGAGAGGGCTGAGATAGGCTCTCATATATTTGCCAGTCAGCAGGTGATCCCTGAGAGAGCTACTTCTTTGGAATGAAGAAGGTTAGGGAGGGAATAGAGGTAAGAAAATTAAGTCAGAAAGTGCCAAAACTATTTTAGGAAGTTTGCAGTGGAGAAAAGAGAGTCAGATGTTAACTGTTGTGGGACAGCAGAGTTGGAGGAAGGTTCTTATTTGAAGACAGGGGAGTCATGAGGGCTGAATAAAAGGAACCATAAGGGACACAAGAAGCTAAAAAGAGGTGATTGATAATGTATGGTCTAATAGGAGATTGGAGGAATGGGCTCAAAAATCACAGACAGGGAGGGGTTACATTTTGTTCCTACATCAATGTCAGGAAATGAATGGAGAAAATGGAAACAGACAAGGGGAAAGTGTGAGTCTCAGGATAAGAAAGTTGAGATTGAGTTTATGTAGATGTCCTTGGTCTTCCTTGTTAAGGAAGAGGGAAGGTCATCTGCTGACCGCCTGGGGAAGGGCCTGAGAAAGTGGGCACCTGCAGCACAGTCCCATGAAGAATGGGAGAGTGAATCTGGAACAAATCCAAGGTGGGCTCCAGGCCTGGCACACCTTGTAGAGGTTAGATCAGCTGGCTTTCTAGTGGAGCAAGCTCATAAAGTCACGTTTCCACCACACCCACAGTCCTTGACCACAGATGCAAAGAAGGCCGATGCCTAAGTTTACCCAATCTTAGGATTAGGTAACCTGGCTGGAGTGGACTTGTGGGGACCAGCTCATGCAGATGCTGGTTTGGAGGGATAGGGGGTGGAGATGGTGCACTCTGGGGCCACCCTGGCTGGGAAGGAAACCCAGACAGACTGGGCTGGTTTAAATCTGCCAGTCTAGACATCTAATCAGGAGAATCCCTCATCCATTCATCAAAAATGTCCCTGTAACTTATGTTTAAAGGTCACTTTAAATGTCCAGCAAATAATTTGATTCTAAAGATATAGTGAAGGCAAGTCCATGGATGATATCTTAATTGGAAAGGTAAAAGATCATTTAAACTTATCAATGACCACTTGTGGTGTTGATCTCTGTTTGCTTTCAGAGGTGGCCAAAGACATTTTACAGATATCCACAGTGTCTCTTTTAGAAACAGACATAGTGGAAGTGATGGTGCTTTCCTCGCTTCCAGAAGCAGGGAGAAGCAGGTTGGAGATGTTCACACTGCCTACATTACTGCCACAAGGTAAGGAAAACATAAGCAGCCAGTTCTGCTCCTGAGCCCAGATACATTGTTGTTATTGTTTTTTGGGTTTGTTTTGTTTTTATCTTGGCATGTGAAGAGGTAAAATGGCCACCTTTTGTCTATCTTTACAAAGTAAAACCAACATGCTAAACAGTTTGAAGTGTGGACTTTTCCTCTGGGCTTCCTGACTCATGAGTCTGCTTTATTACCATAGGAAAAGAGATAGGATCAACGGACACATCAAATTGATTTGTTATTTTTGTGATGTCTCTTGTTTTGTAGCTTTGAATAGACAAGGTTAAATTCAGATAGATTACAGTGTAGTTCCCTTCACTGACAAAATTATAAAGACAGTTTTCTGGATAAAAAGGTATGAGAAAATAGATACTCTTTCCTTGTTTTAATGACAAATATATCAGGTTAGCAGTTTTGCAAATATATAATTATAGAGCAGAAGAGAGCCGACAACCTCCAAGTACTTTTATGTTTTTATAAGAATCTCTATACTACCATGGGTTTCTTTTAATATGTCTCTAAGTTAATTGATTAAAAATTAATCAAGGCATTACAGAAATATTTTACCCACTATCAGTCATTTAATACTCAAGTATTTCTAGGGAGACAAGTGTTTTTAAATCATTTTTATCACCTACTAGCTTCCGCAATATTAGTTGAGCATTTAAATTTTATTTTGCTTTTCATAATTGTTCATAATTTTAAAAAAACAAAATTAATTTATGGTACAAGTGATTTCTCTTCTTTTTCCAAATCTAATAGTTTCCACAACCTTTGCTGATGAAAGAGGAAGGCTGAAAGATGAAATCATTCATAAGTACCTGTATGAGTTGGAGCACGCTCTGTCCTCTGCAGTCTTGGGCTTTCAAAGTAACCAAATATATGGCTTCTGTAGTCAAGTGCCATACATCTGTAGCTACCTTCTTCCTGAAGAAGTATGTCAACACTTAAGTGTGCTCTCATTTATCTTAGCAATCAAGATTGATACATTATACTGATTAGATGTGATCCTCTTGACCACTTTAACAGAATAGTTCAGTTAACAAATGCCTTCATTTTATTAATATAATTCCCTTGAGCTAGATATATAGTGTTATTTGTTAATCCATCATACAATATATTTGAGCAACCTGATACTTGTGCCACATACATCATCTTTGTCAGATAAACATGCAGATGACACAATATTAGTTTAGTGCCTTAAAAAACAACCTAGCATTAGGAAATCTATTCTACATATGCCAAGGGCTACAAGGTAGATGATTTGATTTGCAGTGGAACTTTGCATCTAAGCCATAACCAAAATTACAAAAAATAATTAAACTGTGTTTCTGACATTTTTTCATTACACTCTCTTCAGACTTCTCATGCATTGTGTCACCTCCTGCTGCACATAATGGCCCAGTACCCTCCTGCTTGCTGCCCCTTGACCTGTCACTTTCCCTTGATGTCTGTCTACCCACTTTGATAAGGTCTGCCTTCCTTCCTCTAAATTCTTCAGTCAAAGCTCTTCTTTGACAGAGTAGCCAGGACTAGACACAGAGAAGGAATAAATGATTAGTGGCAAGAGAGATTCAAGAAAAGTTTCATGAAGGAAGCAATATTTGATCTGGACTTTGAAAAGTAAGTCAGATTTAGACATGGAGAGATATTGCATACAATTTTGGTGGGCAGCGCTCATATAGGGAGGTAGGGCAGGACTGGTGGGGATGGAGTAGAGTAGGGCATTCCAGACAAAAGGAAGGACACGTGCAGAGGCTTGGAGGTAGGAATGCATGAAACATACGGGGAATATTGACTACATTATTTTGACTTAAGCATGAAGATATGTGAAAATGATTAGTAAAAGCAAAGATTATCAGTGTAGGCTAGGATTTTTAATGGCAAGTAAATAAAGAAGACTTTACTTAGTTGGCAGAAACAAACTTTTATTTGCAAAAGTGGGAAACATGATGCAAACGCAGGTGTCCACTTTATCCTATATCCATTTATTTACAATGACAATGTTTGCACTTTATGCCATATCATTTTATTTACAATGACAATATACAACAGGCATGTATATCTGCAAACCCAAAGGTGCTGTTTACCTGATCTTTTCTATAATGTGGTTATTTTCTTTGATTGGCAGGAACATACCGGTATCTACATTCTTAAACCATACAAAAAAGTACAAAGCAGACAGTATGGACCTGGACTGCTCTATCTGTCTTCACATGGATTGTGGCTCATAACAATAGCTAAATGTGGAATTCTGTGTATCCGAGACGTTTATACTTTGGTAAGCTGCTTTCTTAAAAAAAAATATTGTGGGTGTATATATTGATCTCATATAGGAAACATTTTATATGTATATAAAAATTTGCTTATATATGCATAAAAACTCTGAAAAGATATTGAAGGTACTAATTACCTTGCTTGCCATTGGAAGTATTAGGTCATGGGAACAGGAAGGAGATTTCACAGAATACTCTTTTATAATTTTTGAATTTTGAACCATTTGAATGTATTGCCTATTTAAAAACCTAAATGAGAAAAGGCATCATGGTTGAGAACCAGTATGACTCAGAAATCTCAGTTTTTAAATTGTTGCCCTATATACCAAATTGATGATGCATTTTGTTTAAGTTCTAATCAAACTGGCTTAGTTAGCATCCTTCAGAGCATGTTATCTTCCATTCTTCACAGTGCCCGTCACCCTCTCTCATTATACTCAGCTACTTCACACATAAATAGAACCTCCCTGACTCTTGAAGCCATCGGAACTCACCATCTCTGCTTGCTGAAGGCCCCTTCCCTAGCTTTATAGACTTCTGCAATCCATTCACTTCTCTGTGTCTGATTTCCTATTATAAATTGGTGATAATAATCCCTGTCCTTCCATACTACACAAAGGTAGTGGAAGAACAAATTAGTATTGGTGAATGTGGTTTGAACTGGGGATTTTAAATACTATGTATTGCCAATTGCCTACTTCCATACCAATTAAAATGCTGTTAGCAAATAGAAAATGATTTATCCACAAAAAAGGGGCATATAACCCCATTAGAAAAGCCGTGTGGTAGAATTGCATTTGTAATTTTTCTGGTTTATTTCTTAACTATTGAGGAAACATTTGCTTGGTGTCGGAGTCATTCTCACCAGGGTCATGGGATTCAGTCAATGAGAATTTCAATGGATGGACAAAACATTCTGGTGAATGGGAGAGATGATGGCACCCTTGTCTACCTAAAGTGGAAGTACGTACAGTATTCAGTAAGTAACCCCATGTAGTATAGTGTGTTAAAATAGAGATTTTATTATTATTTAAGTACAGCAAGGCCAACGTGCTGGGAGACCACTGCCAGTGCAAAGAAAGTTTGTTATACTCACAGATCCCAAGAGAAGCGTACACTGCATTCTCGGGTACCACATGGGGCAGACCTGGGGTGGGTCAGGAGGCTGAGAGAGGGAGGAAAACGTGGATGAGATCCTCTAGTATGGTTTTCACAGGGAGGATTGGGCAGGTTTAGGATTGGCTAGTTTGAATATTATCAGTGGGTTCTGAGGCATAGGAGCTGGCTGTAGTTGTCTCATACTTGGCCCTGGGGTGATTAGGGTGGGGAAATGGTGGCCCCGATTGTGAAAGCCCACTAGAGGAGGTGGTTGGGGGTATGGTCTCTGGATTGATCGGTTTGCTTTTGAAAAGCGTGTTCCAGAGCAAATTGTTTACTATCTTCAGAGACTGGCTAGCCTCCAGAAGTCAGCAAGGCCCCAGATATCAGAGCATCAAAATACAAAAAAAAAAAAAAAGACATAGTTAATATTTATCTGAGAGTGATCAGTCCTATCTCTCATAACATAAGAAATGTGGACAATTCTGACCCTCAGATAACTTTAAAAACTCCTGTTTATCCCTGACATATACATGTATGTATATATACACACACTTTCCTAATTAGATTTTGCTTAGATTATATCAAAGACAGTTTCAGTCCCCAAACAAGGAGGGGATCCGTTTTAGGGAGGTACTATTATCATCCTTGCTTCCAAGTTAAACTATAAACGAAATTCCTCCCATGGTTAGGAGGAATGAACAAGAACATCCAGCCTGTGAGACTAGAAACAAGATGGAGTCAGCCATGCTAGACTTCTTTCACTGCCGTAATCTTTGCAAAGGTGGTTTCAATCATGCAATTCATTTTAGAAAAAATAATATTTCGTGATACCTCCTGTGATCAAAGCAGTAATAAAATACGGCCCTTCTCTGCAACATTGTGAAAATGTTAAATGTTGTGGAGATTTTGTATCATAACAATTTTGCTAGCCACTTACCTCAAAAACTCATTTGAGGATTGCATCATCATGCCCATTTTATACATGGGATTCTGAATAGAATATTAGCTTTTATCTCACTATGTAAGTCCTAACATATTGTTTATAACCAGCGAACAAATACTATCTCAGGCAACAACAAACAAGTGCTGGAGCCTTATTTATGCAGCTCAAAAAGAAGGACATTTTGATCCATTGGTAATCACCCAAACTTCTGACTCAAAACAAAGCTGGGTTTAAAACGATGGTCTAGGCCAGGCGCAGTGGCTCACGCCTGTAATCCCAGCACTTTGGGAGGCTGAGGCGGGTGGATCATGAGGTCAGGAGATCGAGACCATCCTGGCTAACAAGGTGAAACCCCGTCTCTACTAAAAATACAAAAAATTAGCCGGGCGCGGTGGCGGGCGCCTGTAGTCCCAGCTACTCGGGAGGCTGAGGCAGGAGAATGGCGTGAACCCGGGAAGCGGAGCTTGCAGTGAGCCGAGATTGCACCACTGCAGTCCGCAGTCCGGCCTGGGCGACAGAGCGAGACTCCGTCTCAAAAAAAAAAAAAAAAACGATGGTCTAGGACTTTTGACTTTGTGACCTTGGCAAATGACAACCCCTCTAAATCATCTGTTACAATGTTACTTAAGGTAGGGGGTCTGTAGCATCTGTGAGCTTGTTAGAAATGCATATTCTTGGATCCCATCTGGACTTTCTGAGTCAGAATGTCTGCAAGTGGGGCCCAGGAATCTGTTTTTAAACCCTCCCAGTGATGCTGATGCGTCCAAAGTTTGCAATGCCCTGGTGAATTAAGTGGAAGTAATAATACCACTCTCAATGCAGGGTGGGGTGATGAGGGGGCCACATGTGATTATGTGTGTGAAGTAGCACACTGCCTGGTGCATTCCGAGAGCTCAGCCAGTGCACTGGCTCTTCTGTGCAATGACCAGGGCAGGTACAGAGGGCATGTTGAGTAAGGGTATGAGGACAGTGTGAGGAGAGGGTACCCTAGAAAGGTCAAGAAGCTTGTCATGGCCTGGAACCCATGAAAGGGTCTCCTGTAAGAAGCAGAGTCCTTTAGCCATGCATGGTGGTGTACCCCTGTAGTCCCAGCTACTCTAGAGGCTGAGGTGAAAGGATCATTTGAGCCCAGGAGTTCGAGGCTGCAGTAAGCTGTGATTACATCACTGTACTCCAGCCTAGGTGACAGAGCAAGACCCTTTCTCTTTAAAAAATAAAAATTAAAAAAAAAAGAAGAAATTCTGCAAAAGAAGTAGGCACTGAAGAAGTTTCCACAAGGCACTGTGAAGAATTGTCCACATATTTCCTTGGTTAGTTACCTATAAACTGAAATGGTTAGTTACCTGAAAATAATACAGCTAAATGTGATTTTTTAAATTATGATTTTTATAGCCTCTGTGTTTTCTTTTTTATTAATATAGGCGATTTGGAGGACACCTAGCCAGTGAAATTCTGGACTATTACCAGAAACTATTAATTTCCCTGAGCAGCGCCATGGACAAGGAGAATCATTATTTAAGCACAACACCAAAAGTTTCCGTAGATTTGGGATCCGATTCTGAACACACAGTTGAGTTCCTATATGACTAGCTTGCTTGCTTACATTTCTTTCTTTGTAAATCAGAAGTTTTCGGTTTGTGGTTTTCTTTAAGCAGATATTTAGTAATATTTCTCTTTATCCAGGTATCCCATGATTTTCAAAAAGGGAATAAGCTACGTCTGAGAGAAAATATTCAGCCTTTCTCAAAGCAATTGCAAATAGTACATTTCAGATCTCATTTAAACCATAGTACAAGATCCAGGCTTGCCTGGAAAAAAAAATCTTCTACCCACACTTGTGCTTGGTCAAAATGGTCTCTCTATACTTTCATATTACAGATATTATTTAGGAAGTGTCTAGCTAAAGAACAGTATTCACTCATTCAATTAACAAATATTTATAGAGTGCCTACAGAGTGCTAGGCTGTGGGGGATATAGCCATGAACAAGAAAGAAAAATTTCTGCTTCCATGGAGTTTACATCCTAATTGGGGGTTGGAGATGGGCAGGGAGAAACAGATAAACAAGCAAATGCAGAAGAAACAATGAGATAGTAACAAGTTCTATTCAGTGAATAAAAATAGGTTGATGTGATAGTATTGGGCTGGATAGCCTCTCCAAGCAGACATTTAAGCTGAGATCTGAATTAAAAGAGAACACCACCATGCAAAGACAATGGGAGGGTAGCAAGAGTATTCAGGGCAAAGGGGGAAAGAGCTTGGCGTGTGGTATGTTAGGACCTAAAAAAGACCTGTGCAGTTGAAGCGAGCTAGGGAGAAAGTGGTGGGAGGTGAGGTCTTCAAAGTGGGAGGAGACCAGGTAACGAAGGGCTTTGTAAACTAGGTAAAGAGTTTGAATTTTATTTTACATGTAATGAGAACTGAGTCAGGTGTTCTGAACACAGGATTAACAAGGTATAGTTGACATTATTGAAATGACTATTTGATGCTATGAGGAGAATGTTTCCTGTAGGTGATAAGAAGGATCAGAAGCAGGGACATTGCTCAGGAGGCTAAGGCAGAGGTTCAGGTAGCAATGATGGAGGTGGAGGAGTCTTGTGCCAAGGAGAGAAGTGGTGGATTCCAGGTGGGTTTCAGAGGTAGGGTTGATAGAACTCACTGATGAATTGGACATAGAGAGAGAGGAAAAGAAAGGGCCCAAGAACTCCTAGATTGTTTTACTTGAACATTTATGTAGAAGATGGTGTCATTCATGGAGATGGGGCAGACTCTGGGGGAAGGGGGCAGCTATGAAGAGAAAGAAGGGAATTCAAAATCAGTTTTACCCACATTAAGCTCGAGAAGCCTGTTAGACATCCACGTGAAGATGCCAGTTCAGCCATTGGATAGATGAACCTTGGGTTCTGGGGAGAGGTCAGGACTGGATATGTTGATTTGAGTCAAGGGCATGCGGATGGGATTTAAAGCCATAACACTAGGTAAGGACATCATGGAAGCATGAATGGCAAGAAGCAGAAGAGGACCAGGACAGAGCAACTTCTGGAGAGGCAGGAGAAGAGTTCAGGGATGCAGAGGACCCTGAGGAGGGGTAGCCAGTGAGGTTACAGGAGAACCAGGAGAACATGGCATCCCAAACTCTTTCAAGACATTTTGCTGCAAAGGGGAGCATAGAAACAGGGTGGTGGGCCGGCGGGGACGGTGGTTGGCACACACCTGTAATCCCAGCACTTTGGGAGGCCGAGGTGGGCATATCACGAGGTTAGGAGATCAAGACCATCCTGGCTAACATGGTGAAACCCTGTCTCTACTAAAAATACAAAAGATTAGCCAGGTGTGGTGGCACGCACCTGTAGTCCCAGCTACTCAGGAGGCTGAGGCAGGAGAATGGCATGAACCCAGGAGGCGGAGGTTGCAGTGAGCCAAGATCATACCACTGCACTCCAGCCTGGGTGACAGAGCAAGACTCCGTCTCAAAAAAAAAAAAAAAAAAGAAATAGGGTGGTGTCTGAAGAAGAATGTGATGGTCAAGTGAGAGTAGTTTTCCTAAGACAGGAGATAGTAGAGCATGTTTGGATGCTGTTGGGAAAGATCCTGTAAAAGGGAGAAATTGATGATACAGAAGGAGATGGCATTGAAAAAAAATTGTGTTAAGTATTAAGACTTCAAAAAGAAGAAAAAAGATCCTAAGCATAGATGGTGGCACAGGCCCTGATGGGCAGGAACATTTGGGTCACAGTAACAAAGAAGGCAAAGAGTGGTGACAGTGTGACTGGTCTGATCATCTCTGCTTCCTCAGTGGAAGCTGTGGCTACTATAAGGGCAGACTGGTGGGACTTACCTGAATAAAATGTTACATCTTGGGCAGACAAAATGTTGGAGATTATTTTCAAAAATGCAACAAATACAAAGGAATTCAAAGCAGTTACATGTGGTAGGGTGGGAGGGGAAAAACTTGATGAATTTTAACTTTAAGACATGTCTGTCTTTTTCTACCATGTATCAGAAACAGAAGGCAAGCACTGACTTATCACAAGATGAATTAGTTCTAACCGATGTTAAGAAGGAAATTCCTTGGATACAACAAAAAAGCCAAGAGGTATTTGTGAAACATGGGGTAGGTTTGAAATAGTGCTCTGTAGATGCACCAAATAGATTAGTTTCCTATGGAAACCTACTGGAAAGTTAGAAGATGGAATGAGACACCACTTGGCAGAGCATTACAACATACAGGTGTAACTTTTCGGAAAGCAAATAAACACCCTAAACACAGCCCAATCATTTAGATCAAGTTATATGAGCTTTAAGAACTGTACGTAGGCTGACATGCAACCCAACAATGGTGTCCAGGTAAGCCACAGCAAAGGATGAACTGCAGTACTCCACCGTGGAGTGAGTTTTAGGGGATGCTTGTCTTCCTCTGTCCTGTGGACCAGGAACAGGGGAAGGGATGCTGTGGCTGCAGCTATTCAGGAAGGTGACTGACTGATTACAGCTCGTGTCTGGATTTAGCCTATTGATCTAGTCTCAAGTTCCCGATAAAAGTGCATACTGGTTTTCCTTAATCAACTGTTCACTAATTTTTCACTGCTTCATTATTTTCTTTCCATTGGCCATATAATTGACATCAGTTTCATGTTGCTTTAATGTCACTTACATAGTAGCAGTTAGATTTAAGCAAGGTACTGCAGTGGTATTACTTCATGTACACTTTATATTAGTCTTTACAAATTTTAGTTTCTGTTTCTAGAGAATTGCTCTCTCTCTCTCTCTCTCTCTCTCTGTCTGATATTTCTCTTGCTTTGTTAAGTGATATACTTGTTCTGTTTCAGGCCATCAAAAAGGAGGTTAATCTGTTTTCCAAGAAAAGGAAAGAGATAAAACAAGGAATCAAATCACTTTCCAAAACTGTAAGTGTTGTAATTTCATATTCTAATACCTTTGGCCCTCATTCTAAAATTACTTTTTGAACTTAATTTTGTTCTACCCTGAGGAACTATACCTCCCTTTTCTCTGCTTGTAAGCTCAGTTTTCTGAGGTTCTTTAACAAGATAAAATTTCTCCAATTCACACTCCATATCAACAGCGGTTTTCCCCATCTTCCCCCAAATTACCATCTTATTTGTCTTTATAATACTGATTTTTATCAAAGTTATGCATTTATATTTTTACAGATTAAATAATACTGAGTTGTGTAGTTAAAAATAATATTTTTTAAGCAGCAACTGCCCTACTTCTCTTGACTGATTCCTGTACTCCTGAGGTAACTGTTTTCTCTTCTTTCTACTTTTTCATTTGGGCTGTTTACCTCTGTCTAAATAGTCTTCTTAATACTGTTGTTATTTCTTGATATTTCTGTTTTGATGCTAACTATGGGTGTCCTGGTATGGAACATGAGTAGTTATGCTTGTTACTGCTCCCCATCCCCACTATAGCACACATATAAATCCGTGCTTGGAATACACACTATGATAGTTATTTGAATATTCTTCAATGCTGAGCCACATGGTATATTATTATTACATTTCTGCTTTTACAACTTGATTTTTCTTAGAATTAATAGTTGCCTTTGTTTTGGGTAAGCCCTTCTATGACCTATTCAAACTCAAAATGCTAACAAATTCTTCTCAATACAATCAAATACCTGAAGTGATCAATCTGTGAGTGCATTTTTTGGGCAACCTCCCTTCTAGAGCTTTCCATCCTCCAGCTCCAGTCAAAGCACCTTGCTCTTGCTCTGTAGACCAGGTGTATGGCTGCCGTCCTAGAGATCTGCCTTCTAAGTCAGAGCTCCTGTTTCCTGAGTCCCACGTGATTTTCTTTGTTTTCTTGGTGTGTATTCTTCAGTAGCTTCCTATGCAGGACTGCTGTGTTGTGCCATGCTTGGGAACATCCTTTATAAAATCTGTGCTTCTGGGGTGCCATCCAAGTGGAATCCACTGTGAATGATGCCCTGCTGCTAGACCTGTCAGATGCTTTGGCTCTGTTCTTGAGAAAGGGTACATGAGAGGTACATTTTGTGAGATGTGGTTTTTCTTAAAATGTGATTATCCTACATTCATAACCATTTGATGGTTTGCCTTCAGAATGTTGAAGGCTTTCTCCATTGTCTCCTGGCTTCCAGTGTTTCCTTTAGAGAATCCAGTGCCTGACTCCCAATTCTTTGTAGGTAACCAGATTTTTATCTTTGGAGACTTATAGAATCCTCTCTTTATCCATAGTGTTTGGAAATTTACAGTTATGCACCTTGATATGTTCGATGAGTATTCTAGGTTTGCTGGTACAAACCAAGACTCTCTTCCCTTTTCCACTCTTCTTTGAGCCCCAAGAGGCTGGCCTTTATGGACAGTAGCAATGCACTCTCTTGCCTTCTGGCTTTCTCTTGGGTTTAGGCAATAAGTAGCATCAGCAGGAGAACCCCATTGTTGCTATTCATGAAGGCCAGCCTCTTGGGGCTCAGATTGCAGGGCAGAAGACTAAGACCAGGGTCCTCATTCTCCCAGTTTCCTCCCTGTAGGGTTATGAGTTGGCAATGACCGCCATCCTTCTCCTACATTTATGGGTCTCTCCAGGTTCATTAACCACTCCCAGCCTTTGCCCTTCAGACCTACGAGCAGAGATGGCTTCCCGAGCCCGCAGTTGGTAGCCTAATGCTTTATCATGTGTTGCTGGCTCTCCTTACTCTGCCAAATCTTTTTTTTTTAAGTTTCTCTCTTCAGTTTTCCCATTTGAATGTGTTACTTTTTCCTACCAGGACCCTAGGTGTTTTCTTCTTCCATGTGCTAGACTTCGATGGGCATTTTAATAGGAAACCTTTGTCTCTTGGTTTTAGAAAAAGTTCTTAAATCATTTCCTTGGCCTTTGTTTTTATTTTCCTGATTACTAATAAAGCTGAGCACCTTTTCATAACTCTAAACACTATTTGTATTTCTTCTCTTGTGAATTTCCTGTTTATATTCTTTGCCTATTTCCTTATTGGATAATTGGTCATTTTCTTGTTGATTATAGGAGTTCTTTATTTTTATTTTTTATTTATATGTATTTATGATAATTAGAGTTAGCTAGCCTATGGTAACAAACTCAGAAAAACATAGTGGCACAGTGATGAGAAGGTTATTTCATTCCCATGTAACCATCCTGGGTGGGTATTTAGCTCAGCAGCTGCTCTGTTCCATGCAGTCATTCAGAGACCCAGACTGTTGGAGACCCTGCTATCTTCAACTCAGGGCTTCGAAGATTGCCTTGCTTGATCTCATTTGAGTCAGTTGGAAAGGAGAAGAGCGTGGAAGTGTGAATGCGACATATCTAAAGGTAGCCCTTATTATTAGGTGGAACTTCATGCAATTGCTGTTTTATGTGGCTCAACCTACAAATATTTTCTAGAAAAGTATATGGCTCATCCTACTCTAAATACTTTCTTTTAACTTTTATAATGTGCCAAATTTTAAATAATTTTATTATAAAGCAGAATTTTAAAACTATGGCATGATCCAAGTTATTGATCATTTTCTTTATAACTTTTGGGTTTTACCTCTGATTTTAAATGACCTTTCAAAGTCACACATATTTTCTTCTAATGCTCTTTGATTTCATCTATAATTTATTTTTGTGAATGGTATGACATATAGTTCTAATTTTATTTTTTCAAATAAATAGCCCATTTCCCCAGTCTGTTTTATTTAATATACTATCCTTTCTCTGCTGATTTGCAATGTCTTCTCTATCAATCCCTGGATATAGGATTGTTGCTGGACTCTGTTCTAAGATTGAATATTGATTTTTCTTGAGCCAATACCAAGCTATTTTAATTACTATCACTTTATAATAGTTCTTGTACCTTGAGAATAATTCTCCTTTTGCCCTTCTTTAAAAAAAATTGGCCTTTTTATGTGTACTTAATTTTCCATTGGAATTTTAAATTCAGCTTGTCAATCTCCATGAAAAACTCTGATTTGATTTTGATTGAGAATATATTGCTTATAGTTTGATTTGGAGAAGAATTTATCTGCCAGCTCTGAACTTTAGTATATATATAAGTATGTATGATAAAACTTTACTGAAGAATATTTTTTAAATTGAATTAAGATATATACAGACAGTCCCCAACTCACAGTGGTTCAACTTATAATTTTTCAACCTTATGATGGTGCAAAAGCAACGCACATTCAGTAGAAACTTGGGCGTGGTGGCACATGTCTGCAGGCTTATTTTGATCTTTTCCCAGAGTAGCAATATGCGGTACCATACTCTCTCACAATGTTGGGCAGCAGCAGTAAGCCACAGCTCCTAGTCAGCCATGCAATCACGAAGGTAAACAATGAATATTCTGAAGTGTACTGTGTTGCCAGCATTTTTTGGATATCGTGTTTTATGTTTTCACAGCCCATCATGTCTACAAATGCCCCTTTTGACATGATATTTTCATCTTACCATGGGTTTGTTGGGCCATAACCCCATCATAAGTTGAGGAGCATCTGTATATTTATATATTTACATCTTTCATTTATTTATTTAGAGACAGGATCTTGCTTAGTAACCCAGGCTAGAGTGCAGTGGCATAAGCGTAGCTCACTGCAGGCTTGAACTCCTGGGCTCAAGCATTCCTCTCACCTCATCCTTCCAAGTAGCTAGGCCTGCAGACATGCACCACCACGCCCAAGTAATTTTTGTATTTTTTTGAAGAGACAGGGTCTCCCTATGATGCCCAGGCTGGTCTTGAATTCCTAGCCTTCTGCCTTGGCCTCCCAAAGTGCTGGGATTACAGGCATGAGCCACTGCACCAGGCCTGTATATTTATTTCTTTTAAAATATATAACTTTTAAAGTTATATTTTCTTTTTGGTTTTTTTTTGTTTGTTTGTTTGTTTGTTTGTTTGTTTTAGATGGAGTCTCGCTCTCGCTCTGTCGCCCAGGCTGGAGTGCATTGGCATGATCTCGGCTCACTGCAAGCTCTGCCTCCCAGGTTCACGCCATTCTCCTGCCTCAGCCTCCCGAGTAGCTGGGACTACAGGTGCCCGCCACCTCGCCCAGCTGATTTTTTGTATTTTTAGTAGAGATGGTGTTTCACGGTGTTAGCCAGGATGGTCTCAATCTCCTGACCTCATGATGCGCCCACCTCGGCCTCCCAAAGTGCTGGGATTACAGGCGTGGGCCACCACGCCCGGCCAGTTATATTTTCATTAAATATATAATACTTACATATGTGTATATTATATATTTATTTATCTTTATTCAATTTTAAAAAGGTAATCTCCAGTGAAAGTTTATAGTTTCTCTGAAAGTGACTTTAAATTTCTTATTAGGTTTATTTTAGGTATCTTATAGTTTATACCGTTTTTGTGAATGGAATATTTTTCTATTGCATTGGTGATATGGTTTGGCTGTGTCCCCACCCAAATCTCATCTTGAATTGTAGCTCCCATAATTCCCATGTGTTGTGGAAGGGACCTGGTGGGAGATAATTGAATCATGGGGGCGGGTCTTTCTTATGCTATTCTTGCAGTAGTGAATAAGTCTCAGGAAATCAGATAGTTTTAAAAAGGGGAGTTTCCCTGCACAAGCTCTCTTCTCTTGTCTGCTGCCATGTGAGACATGCCTTTCCTTTCACTTTCTGCCATGATTGTGAGGCTTCACCAACCATGTGGAACTGTAAGCCCATTAAATCTCTTTCTTTTGTAAATTGCCCAGTCTCAGGTATGTCTTTTTCAGCTGCATGAAAACAGACTAATACAATTGGTATATGTTATATATTGGTATATATTATTGGTATATGTGAATGTTACTGATTTTTTTCTGACCACCTTGTTGAATTCTTTTTAGTTCTACTATTTTGTCACTTGATTGTCTTAGATTATCTAGGTAGACTATCATATCTTTTGAAAATAACATATTTCTCTCATCAGTCTTTATACTTCATTTATTTTTCTAGTCTTATGATTCTTTTTATGAAATACAATATTTTGCATCCCTAGTTACTGTAAAATTATACCCTTCTCACTCAATTAACTTTTCTTTTGGGCAACAAGTCTTCTATTTGTTGAATTTATTGTCTCTCTCCAGTGGTCTTGTTGTTCCCCAAATATTTAGTGATTTATTGTTATTATTTCATGGTTGTCTTTATAATTGAAACTCCCTGTTATAGTTCCATGACACCAGGTCAGTCTGCTTTGGAAGAAGTGTAGGAGATCTGACTTTAGCAGGTATTCTGTCTGCTCTCAGTAAAAAGTGAAGGGGTGGGTGGTGTTGGGAAGTGTCTTGGCATCCCATTGTGTGGTGGGGGTGGTTCTCTATTCTTTCTAGCCACTAACAGATTCCTTGGGCCTTGCCCTGTTTCTCCCATCCAAATATTCATTCCAGTTTCTTCTACCTGGAGACAAACACTCCAGTTACTACTGCTGGACCCTAGGGAACTTCACCAGGTAGGGTTACAGGCAGGTTCTACTGTCTGTTTCTGATGCAGCACCCCCAGCTAATCAACCTGCCAGCACTCTTAGGTAAACCCTTGTTCCTGTATCTGGTGTAGCTTCCACTCGTTGTTGAGTGCTGTGCTGAGGGCATTCAGGGCTGTGATGCATCCTGCTGATCCATCTGATTTCCGTCTTTCAGTTGTTATAGTTTTCATGCTCCTGAAGGATTCTATTCCTTTTTTCCTCTTCATTGTAGTAATGGGTTTATCTATGCTATATACTTCTTTTCTCTTAACTTTATATTTTGGGGCAAAAAAGAAAAATTGTTAAACTCATTCTCAGTCTACCATTTTGAAACTGAAGTCCCATTTTTTTCTATCATTTGTCTGCCTTGTTTTTATTTGTAAGTGCTTTTTATATATTAAAGACATTAATATTTTGTCATATGTGTTGTAGTGTGTATCCTTTGCTCCTGAATTTTTTTAAGTTATGAACTTTTAAAGATAATTTTTATTGTATAGAAGTTCAAATTTATACAAAATTGGAGAGAATAATATAATACATCCAATGGCCAATATCATTTCACCAATGCTTCCATCCATTACCCCTCCCCTGATTATTTTGAAGTAAATCCCAAACATCATATCATCTTTAATTATTTCAGTATGTATCTCTAAATGATAAAGACTCTTAAAACACATAACCACAATGCTGTTAGTGTACCTCAAACTAGCAACAGTGCTTTAATATCATTGAATGAAATGATGAGCTTATATATTTTTGTAGTTTTCCTTATTAAATGAAAGAGTTTTTAAGGATGAAACCTTAAAACTTCAATAACCACAATAAGCCCATAATCTAATTATTTACTTAGTAGTACATTTTGATAAATAGAACATCTATTTTTTATTGATTGCTGCCTAAAAGAAACTAAGAAAATTATCTTATTACAGTTTAATTCTTTACTTGTCAGCACTCTTTTTTATTTCAACATTCAGATTCTGAATATGATGGAAGAAAATGACAAACTAGAAAATATTGCAAAATTAGACCAACAGGAATTTGGTCTGGATCTTGAGGAACTAGAAAGGCTTCATGATGAAAGTCAGGAAGAAGTGGCAAAGGTATGAAAAAGTATAATTTAAGCACCATAAAGTTATGATGAAAGAAGTAAAAAGATAATAGGAATGGGAACTTTTTCATAATAATGTGAATATGACAAAACCTTTTTCAGTATAATGTGAATAAAGCAAACATAGTGCATATAAGTATAATGAATCAGAGGATCATCGAATTTGGGGGTTAGGAGCAGGGAGAACATCTAGGCCAGCCAGACATCTGACATTTGCTTCCCCTCCATGACATTCGTGCCAGCCATACGTTTGAACATTGTTGGAAGTCTTCTCAGCCACCTCATGCCAACTTTGGACGCTTCTGGTTTAGTAAGCCCTTTCTTAATTAGAGTTGAAATCTTTCTTCCTGTACTCACTGATCCTTCTACTCTTTGAGCACTTCCTACTCTATGGCCCCTCTGAGAGTGGTAGAGGATTAGAAATTTCCATGTTCCCTGTGGATCTTCTCCTGTCTGGGCTAATTATCCCAGCTCCTATGACCATCATATATTATAGTTTCAATAGCCTCGTCATCATCATGCCGTTTTCCTCTGGATTAATTATATTTGCATATGGTACCCACAGAAGAATTCAAATTATTTTCTGTCCAGTGTAGAGAAAAGCATAAACTGAAACCTCCATTCATACTATACTTCTATTAATTCAGCCTTTGTATTATTTTCTGGCAGTCACATCAAATTGTTTGCTCATATGGATTTTATTTTAAATAAAAGCCCTAAGTGTGTTTTACACAGGATATTCTGAAGCTACCTCTTTCTCAACCTGCTAGTACAGGTTAATTTTTTGAATGTGCAAATATAAAAACACAGGAGAATGCAAGATAGCTGGATTCAAGGACAGTTAAGGTGGATTATAATAGATTAAACAACTACACCAAGAGGAGGTTGATTATTTGACTGATGCCTCTAGGAGGGAGGTTTCCACCATGTACCCCAGGACTTGGTCCTGATAAACATGTTTATTAATGACTGGGGTGAAGATATAGAAATGAGGAGATTTGTCAAATTAGTGAATGACATGAGACTGAGAAGGTGAGGAAATGTAGTGGATAACAATTAGGACAAGAGTATCTCAACAGACTGACTTAGTACAATAAAATTTACCTGAGATAATCATTCCTTCATTCATTCTGCAACATTTATTAATGTGCTGGGCATATTAATCTAGGTGCTGGGAATAGAATAAAGAAGACAGACACATTTCTGCTGTCATGGGGCTAATGTATTGAAGAAGACAGGCCGTAAACAAATCTCTACATAGTATATGATGGAAACAAACTGGATGCTGTGATAGATGTGGGAGATCTACTTCTGTGGTCAAAGAAAACCACTTCAAGGGCTGACATTTCAGTTGAGAACTAAAGGGAGAGAGAGATCTGGCTGTGCAAAGATCTGAGGGAAGAGAATGTCAAGCACAGGGAGCAGCAAGAGCAAAGGCCCACAGGCAGAAATGGCTTGGAGTATTCCAGGAACAGCACACCAGAAAGGCTGAAGCATCGTGGATGGGAGAGAGCCTAATGGAATGAGGTTGGGGAGGTAGGCAGAGGCTAGCCCTGACGAGCTTGTATATTGCGGTAAAGAATTTGGCTTTTTTATTAACTGTGCAACAGGAAGCTATGAAAAAAAATCCCATTTTCTTATCACAAGAGGTAGGCACCAATCTAGGAGCTTTTTAAATGTTATTTATTTTGATCATCACAATCAAAAGAGGCAGGTGATAGTTTGCCGCACTTGAAAAAACTGAGGCTTAGATAGAGGCTTAGAGAATTAGAGTCACTTGGCTAAGATCAGAGCCAGGAAGATCCTGACTCTTCCTCCTTGGCTCTGGTTTGGCTCAGGCTCGGAATGCCCCCTGCTATTCTGCACCAAGTTCTCCCAGCCCACTCATCTTGACCACTCAGCAATGTGTGTGGGTTCAGTGCCTGCCCGCTTCCTCACTGTATCTTTGCTTCTCTCTCCAAGCTGTATACAACTACTTGACACAGTGAACCTGCTCCCCTGGCCCACTGAACTATTTACCATTGCCAAACTCATCCTACCTACCCCACCGCCACCCTGTGCCTCTGCCCCAGATGCCCCTCCTTGCCACTTACCAAATTCATGCTCATCCCTCAAGAGTTCTCCTTGATCCTCTGAGGCAGGATTTGGTGCAGAGAAAGGCCTTCCATATGCTAGTTTCCCTCATATTGTTTATTTTTTTTTCTTGAGCTCTGTGCCTTTGAAGAGATAGTAACACCAGATTAGGTACAACAGTGGCCCAGGAGAGAACAGTGTTAGCAGATGGCACCATAAACTCAGCTGTTTAGGAGCTTTCAGCATGTTTAGGATCAGAATACTAGTCCTTGGGAGGAGTTAGTGGCACCTGCCAGTCAAGGATGTGAATGAGAGACTAGGCTACTACCCTACCCCGGCCAGGATCCCAATGATAGGAAGAAGACCAAAGCCCGATAATGACAATCTGGACACATTATTAGGGACTGAGTTTGGAGGAGTTGATCAAACAGCCTCAGCAGTGGAGAGAGGAGGGCCGAGTGGGCTAGGAATCAGGCAGGCTCTGACAACTGATATGCCAAGCCAGCTGTCTATTTAGAAAGAAATAATTTAAAACTATATTAGCTATTAACTCACTGGATCAGAATCAAAAAGAAATGAATTGCAAATTAAAGTCATTTAATCAGACAATAAAATAAATAGAAATTCACAAGAAGTACTAAAAAAGACATTTTAAATCTGCGAGATATTAGTCTTATCTAGTTTGCTAATAATTCTGCCAACAAAATGAAGTGCACAAAGGTCCTGAAGAGGATCCTAAGGACTAAAGATTGTTAGATCTCACTTTCACACCAGGCCTTTCAGAAAACTCTATTAAAATAAGAATACTTAATTATTTAAATAATAAGCAATAGGATTATGTAAGCAAGTAAAACTAATTGAAGTAACATGTTTTTAAGTGGAAAAAAACACAGATTGTATGATCCCCAAGAGTAGTAGAGGGTTCTTTTTATTGTGGATGTAAATAATAGAAGAATTAAGTACAGTAAAGACTCCCAGACAGAGGTCACAAACTGGCACTTCAAATGTGTGTTGGCGAGATTTCAACCAACATTTAGATATCTGGCAGTTTCACTTAAAAATATGAATTCCAGACCTCTCTAATAAAACAGGAAGACTTCGCTCAGTGGTTTTGCTTCCCTGCTGTTCCAACCAGCAGGCTTTGTGCACATTAGCTACGCAGCTCACCACCACAGTGCATCCATCCTCACACCCCACTTCACTCGTGTATGCAACCCGACCATCCTTAGAGGTAGAGGTACTGTGTGTCCTCAAGGAAGAGAATCCAAGCCTACAGACAAACTTCAGGAGACGTTCTCAAAGGCAGAGATGTGTTTCCCGAAAGTGCATCTCAGTGCAAGGTGGCTCAAAGTGTTGGAGAAAGACAAACTCTACCACTGAAGGTGCAGTTAATGGCTACTTAGTGAGTTTACAATGGAGATTATTATTTCTGAGTCCACACTTTCATTTTTATCTTTTCCCTTTGTCTGTGTTCTTCAAGATGATAAAGGATGTAGAGATGCATAACTTAGCCAAGAGCTATTTGGCTGAACTTATCAAAGAAGAATGTTGGAATTCGATGGCTGTGAAAGGTCGAGCTCTTAAGGTAACAGATAGAACCCTAGGTACAAAACCTGATGAGAATTGTCATCAAAAGCTCAGGAAAGTTTTAAAAATAAATTTAAGAAAATTCAGGCATAGCAAAGCACTGAGAGCATGGCTTGCCCCTTCCTATACTGAATTTCACCTGGATGTGTCCCTGTCTCTTGGTTCCTTCCCTCTGTGCTCAGTCCCCGTGTGCTTCCCAGCCAGCATTTCTGAAGATCTGTCTTAGCATTCTTTTCCTCCTTTCCTCTCAGGCACCCACTGCATCTGGGTCTTAATAGCTGTCTGCTCACTCACATTTCACACAGATTGAAAGGTAGACGAAATCTGGTTCATGTTTCTGCCTGTGCCTGCCTTCCCATTTTCTAAGGAGCTGTTTCTCATTGAGATTCCCTCCAATGTAATTTCCCTCTTTGTGTAGGGTGACCAAAAGTCTCAGGTCTTGTCTGCAATCCCAGAGTAACTATTATCAGCATCCTTTTCACTTTCAAATATGCTCCCAATGTGGACAATGAAGTATACGGCCACCCTACATTTTATGTGATGGATATTGCTCTAAAACAGGGTCCTCATGAGCCATACATTTTGGGCTGGATCATTTCTTGTTGTGGGGGCTGTTCTATGCCCTGTAGGGTGTGTAGCAACATCTCTGGCCTCTATTTGGAGACAGTAGCATTGTTCGCCTCCAGTAATTACAATAAAAAAAAGTTGCCAAATGTCTTGGGGGCAAAGGATAGGGAGAGAAGGGAGGAGAAAAATTGCTCCTAGTTGAGAACTACTGACCTAAAAATCAGCCCTTCACAAAAGCACAGTATTTTATATAAAGTTTATACCAATACTCATGGAATACATTGTTTTATTTTTAAAAAGGTTTCCATTGTCAATTTTACTAACACATGATAACCTATGGGTTAATTTTAATCACAGAAAACATCCCCTACTCAACCCCAGATACACACAATTATACTACAAATGGATTTATTTTGTCTTGCGTTTTTTTCCCCAAGTGTTTTCATATCCCCTGTGTGGTTGAAAACTTCCCGATGAAAGCGCGCACGGTTGAAGAGCTGAAAGAATTGGAAAGAGTTTTACAGCAAAAGAAGATTGAAGCAGAGTGTCTTAAAGTACTATTTTAAATATACATGTGTTTATATAAGTGATGTGCTTTATTTTAGAGTCTCCTTTGTTCAGGTTTGAGTTGGGATGTAATTTAAGTTTAGGTATTGTATGTATTTATATTTTTATTTCTTGTTAATTTGTAGAATATATTCTAATAACTATAGGAGCCTATATCCACACAATAAATCAAGGAGCCTGTATCCTATACAACACTGGCTAGCCCTCAAATATGAGGATATACCTTAAAAAGTGAGATTTGGTGTTCTGCTCTTATCCTGCACAGAGGTTGTCTTCATCCACACATATCCTTTTCATCCTCCCTTGTCACTAGGGATTGTATTTTAAGATAATTGATCAAGGATGAAGTAGAATTTGTTTTGATGGAATTATGGTTTTCCTAAATCCCAACTTTTTAAGCAATAATCTCTGTCAAACCACTAAAAAAACACTGCCCTTCAGTGTAGTTTTGTTTTGGTCAGAACTTTGCACCCACTCTTTTTCTGAAACAAAAAGAAGGCATGCTTAATTCGTGTTAACCTTCACCCACTGATCCTTTGTTAACAGGTTTCTTTGTAAAATATAAAGAGAATATATATTTCTTAATACTTAAGTACCAAAAAAGACTCAAAATATTTACAAGCAGATGTCATACTGACAGAAAGATATAAATATTACACACCATCCAGGACAATTTTTATTCCTTTGATTTATCTATCATTTATCAGTTTCTGAAGCCTTAATCTCTTCTGCAGCAGTTCTGGGATCTATTCATCACTTCGAATTCAGTTGTTGGCAAGACAATTCAACAAATTAAAATGATTGTTGAAATAATTAAGTTGTCACAAAATTTCCCTTTAGAGGATTCTTATTATTGCATAACTTCTGTGTCATCTTTTTCTACATGTAGCTACGGAAGGAAATTGTAGAGGCTCAGTCTGGAGTTAAGTTGATTAAACAGCGTCATGAAGAGGATGATGAAGAAGAGGAAGAGGAAGACAAGACAGTAAAATATAGCAATTTGCCCAATTACCTGCTTGGTAGTCTGAGTACTGATTTTGGGGTAGATACCTCTTTATTGTCAAGCCAATTGGAGCTTCATTCCAGAGAAGAGAAAATCAACCAAATTATATTATTGAAAGTGGGTCAATTTTCTTTTTATCCTGAAAAATCTCTAGACTCCCCATTAGGTGGCTTTCAAGGCCTCACATTGAAAACAAATGCCAATCAAATGATGATTTAAAAATACATAGAGGAGGCTGGGCACAGTGGCTCACACCTGTAATCCCAGTACTTTGGGAGGACGAGGCAGTCAGATCGTGAGGTCAAGAGATCGAGACCATCCTAGCTAACATGGTGAAACCCCATCTCTACTAAAAATTAAAAAATTAGCTGAGCATGGTGGTGCGTGCCTGTAATCCCAGCTACTCGGGAGGCTGAGGCAGGAAAATCGCTTGAACTGGGGAGGTGGAGGTTGCAGTGAGCCGAGATCATGCCAGTGAGCTGGATCTGCACTCCAGCCTGGCAACAGAGCGAGACACTGTCTCAAAATAAATAAATAAATAACAATACATAGAGGAATATACAGATACTGTCCATGTCCTTTAGACAGATCTTGTGTACAAGAGTTGCGTTCGACCATTTGGACTAGGTTACTGTGATACCAAGTTTTCTAAAGAACATTCCACAACAGCTGACACCACAAACCATTCTGTTTTGGACTTCAGTAAGCTCAAAGAGAAAAGAAAACACTAGAATTCCGTTTTCTCGGTATACCCAAATGTCAATTAGGATTTCCCTGTAAGATCAAGATGTTATTGTTTATCTATCTGCTTAACCTGGGGAAAGACAATTTCCTCTAAATTTCTGTAAATTCTGGGGTTCGAGGACAAGGTGTTGGGGTCCCTCTGGCTCTAAGCTCCTACTCCTTAACTTTCCACCAAACAGTCTTAGAATACGTCTATACATGTAGAAACCCTGACTGAAGGTTTTTGAAAAGGCAGTGACTGAGATTGTGCCAATGAAGATAGTTTGAAATTGAATGCTGGCAATCCCTGTTCCTGAAAACCCTCCAGCCACGTCTGCAATTTGAATTCTAGTCTCCTGCCATGTTCTTAGCTCTCTCTTCCTATCCTCTTCTTTTTATGCTCTAGCCCCTGAAATTTCTGTTCATTTACACTCAGAGCTATTTAGTTACCTCATTTGTTGCTCAGCTTCTGCCTTCAGGGTCTCACCTTCTTGCTGCTTTTAATTAAGGTGTTTTCCTACAAGGAGGTAATTTCAGCCCAAGAGAAATTTTTGTGCTAGCTGTTCAGATCATTTTTTTCACCTTGCTTTAATGGTTTCATCTTCAGTAGGATAGACATAGACTAAACTCCTATGGCAACATAAAGGCCACTTTGGATTGACCCATCACCAGGAGTGGGGGCAATCCAGTTGGTCCCACTGGCACCTTAGGAATTGGTTACTCCAGCTGGCTAGCACAGGTTTCTTTCCTACCTGAGAATGGTGTGTTCATATAGAAGAAGAGTATTGTGTGTGGTGGTGATTCTCTGGCAGATTCTCCAAATACTTTCTACAAACTATCTCTTCTTTTCCACATCTACCCCAACCCAGGTTCCAAAGAAAAGACATGTGCCAACTTAAATCCTGTATATTGCTTTTTAAATATTTTATAGTGGATTTTGTACAAAAGTAGAGAGAATAGCCCAATGAGCCTCTAACTACCCATCACCCACTTCAGCATTTGTCAACCTGCACATGGAGTTACAATTTACATTTCAGGAAGTAGGTTATAGTCTAACAATTATGTGGTAGCCTTAATCCTACCCATACCTGGATGCCACTGTAGATTATTGAGCCAAGAAATGACTTAATATTAAGTAGTATTCTAGAAAGATTCATTTTACCTTCTTAAAAGATAATTTGTGGGGCCAGGCGCGGTGGCTCACGCCTGTAATCCCAGCACTTTGGGAGGCCGAGGCAGGTGGATCACAAGGTCAGGAGATCAAGACCATCCTGGCTAACATAGTGAAACCCCGTCTCTATTAAAAATACAAAAAAATTAGCCGGGCGTGGTAGCGGGCACCTGTAGTCCCAGCTACTCAGGAGGCTGAGGCAGGAGAATGGCGTGAACCCGGGAGGCGGAGCTTGCGGTGAGCAGAGATCATGCCACTGCACTCCAGCCTGGACAACAAAGCGAGACTGCATCTCAAAAAAAAAAAAAAAATTTGTGGAATGATTTTAGAGGGAAAGTATAATTGTGGGATCATGTTACCAGTAAAGATATAATATGTGATGTGTTTTCAGTAACATGTTAATATTTCAGGATATCATTTACAAGGTAAAAACTGTTTTCAATAATGAGTTTGACGCTGCATATAAACAAAAAGAGTTTGAAATTGCACGCGTGAAGGAAAGAAATGTTCGAATTCGAGAAATTATTTTAGATCTGGAATTGGAAGAAGCAGTCTGGCAACCAGAATTTGAAGACTGTGAGAAGCCAGAGAGAACGCTTGTTGTGCAAGATGAGGAGGTACTGGCTAGCTGTGTTCTCCTTTCCCTTCTTTCTCAGGAGACTTTCCCCAGCTCCTATTTGTTCAACTTGGTTACTCTGTGGGAAGTGATTGTACTGGGTAGCACTCTCAGTTGCAGGTAACAGAAAGACATGATGTAGCCTCAGCAATGATGAGAATTTCTTTTACGAATCCTGTGGAGTCCAGGGAAGATTTGGACACTGAGCCCAGGAAGAAGCAGAAACCAAAGACTAGAGCCTCATGGGAGGCCCAGAAGCCTTCTATCTTCATCTCTTAGTTCACATCACTCTGCATTTCTACTTCCTCTAGCAATTTCTACTTTGTATCTCCTCCACATGAGAAAGTAGCTGGTCTGAATTAGAATCTCTTAGTCCCAATTCCCAGTTCATTTGGGAAGGGGCTCCTTGGCCCAGCTGGGGTCCAGTGCCTGTACCCAGAGTGGTTGGGTCACATTGCGGGAACGAGGCCAGTGGAGCTCCAGTAGTGATCTAGGTCATTCAGGCGGTGTGGATCCCAGAGAAAGGGGCTCTCCGGACAGCTTTCTTTAAAGGTTTTGGCACAGAGGCAGTTGGAAATAAATGCCTAAAGAAAACAATTAAAATCTGACAATATTTCATTTTTTAAAAGTAAAAAAAAATGCTAAAGAATACTCAAAGAAAGACCTTTTCTCACATAAAACCAACTTGACTCCTGGGGACAAAAGATAATAGTGGTGTTTAGAAGTAATAGAAAATATTTTAACAGTCTCTGCTGGATATTGGCTGGGCACCATTCGTGGTGCCCTAGATGGATTGAAATGAATTTATCATTGTAAGTCATCATAAGGTAGGTACTGATATTAGTTCCATTTTACAGATGAGGAAAGTGAGACACAGAGAGTTTGAGTAGTTTGACCACAGTTACAAAGCTAGTAAGTGTCATTGTTGGGGCTTTGGACCCAAACCATCATGCCTTAGAGTTCATCCTCTTAACCTGTGCACTCTGCTGTACTTGTTTAAGCAAGTCATTTTTCCTAAACCAGACTTTCACTATGTGACCTAAAACTCTGGAGCAAGGTGACAGCAAGGACCTCACTCTGCTGCTCTCTGGAGGGCCCTGCTTGGGGCAGTCACTTTGTACCTACTTCTCCTTGGGCTCTAGTCCATCCTACATTTAGGAGAGTGCTCTTGCTGCAAGCCAAACTTACTATGTCCCTTCTCTGCCTCACCCCTTGCAGTGGCTGCTCACTTCACTTGGGATAAAGCCCACGAGCCTCCTCCTAAATGCCCACCCCACCCCCTTTCTTGCCCAACTTCTCTCCCACCTGGCTCCATTCTGGTCACAATTTCATTCACACAGTCCCTTGAATGCCCCAAGCTCTCGACCTCTTAGGACCCCCATCCTTCAGAATTTGGCTTAGATGGCACTTCTTTGAGCCCCCCTCCCTCCCCTCCTTAATCTATCAGGTTCCCTGTTATAATCTTTTTAGTGGTGGACACAAGCTTTGAGAGTTAATAGAGAAGTAAAGATCTATTTTTCCAACTCTCTCATTTTAGACCTCATCTTATTCCAAAACAGAAAATTGGGTGCAAAGTCTGCAGAGTCCCTTTAATCCCCTTAGTATCTTCCAGCCTCCTCCCAGTATGTGGAAGGAAAGTTTAGTTTGAATTTTGTAAGAATAATAGCAGGAAATGACATTTTCTCTTTCAGATTACAGCCCACAAACACATTAAGCCGTGGCACAAAGCCAAAGAATTGATCGTGAATCATGAAAAGGAGCACTGGCTTCTGATACAGGCATGTAGCTTTGCTTAACACAGGTCCTAAGACCCTCTTTGCTTTAGGGATACTGCTTCCTAGTTTGGTTTAATAACCCATCAACACATTTGTCGTGGTCAGAGGTCACTTGAATCTCAGTTGGCCTCCTTTCCCCTTCTCTCCTCCAGGCACTACCTACCTTCCCCAATCCCAAATGCAGTCATTCTAATGTTGGGTGGGAAGCTGCCTCTGGAGCCACCTGGAATGTCAGGTCTCTGTCTCAGTATTCCTCTCTGATTCTGGCTCTTTCCCAGGATGCCAGTACAAGACTCCGAGCTCTGATGGACATGATGGGAGGAGTTCTGGAAGTCAAGAAGGAAGATATTTTGAGAATGGTGATATTTCTGTTCATCCTTATAGAAGGTGGAATGGGGTGGAAAGAGCTACTTAAGTTTTACCATTTTTGTCCTATATAAACCTGGGTTTTAGAAGTTCTACAGCAACAACTATTATACAACCTCCGTAGTACCTTATAAACCTACCACATTAGGGCCTGGCGTGGTGGCTTATGCTTGTAATCCCAGCACTTGAGGAGGCTAAGTGAGGAGGCCAGGAATTCAAGGCAGGAGGCTAGGAGTTCAAGGCTACAGTGAGCTGTGATCACACCACTGCACTCCAGCCTGAGAGACAGAGCAAGACCCTGTCTCAGAAAACCAAAAACATACCACGTTAGACAGATAATAAATTTGAAAATGCAGGTTTGCCTTCCAATCTGACAAGACACAAACAAATCAATAAAAATAAGTAACTACAGTGGTTTTGGTCTCTATTGAAGGCAGGAATACTGTTTCATCAGTAATTATCCAGATATACCAGGAAACATTTTCTTTGATACCTGACATAGGTTTTCCTGGGGCTCAGGGGTAGTTCTCACTATAAAGATACCAACACACCCCTCTGAGTCTATCACCTAAGAGTCCAGGTATATCCCACCCTGCTCACCTTCACCTAAGTCACAGAAGAACTGTTGTAAAATTTTAAAATATCTTTTGCCCAAGATGTCAGGTCGTTTTCCTTGCCAATGTGAAGGACTGTATCCTTTTAAAGGGCTTTTTAAAAAAAACTCTGAGCTTTTACTGTACTACTGCATTTAACGTTTGAGCTGAAATATATGCTTTTCTTCATATCTTCAGGTGATTCCTCAACCTGCTTTCATGGCAAAACCTGATGCTGTGTGGACTGAAGAAGAAAGAAAACAATTCAAAGATTATGAGAAAAAAGTAAAGGAGTTAAATGAAGAAAGAGATAAGTATAGAAAGGTCAGAAGAGCAAATAATTAATATAACCTACCATATCCAGAGTGCTGTTTAAATATCTTTTCAAATGTTTTCTACTTTGTCGATATCTTTAATAGCTTAAGGACAGTGTTTCAGCTTAAATTCTCAAGAGAATTTGGAGAAGTAAGTGGAGATAAATTTAAGGAATTAAACCAATTTTAAAGCAAAGAAACATACAGCAATAGTTTTTTTAAAGCTGTTATTGATTTCAGCATTTCCCGTGTCATTACAATTCATTTGGCCCTTCATTCATTCTTCAGGTGTTCAATGAACCCCTAATACAACATGTTCAAGTCACGGCAAGGTATTGCTCTGTGTTGTGTACATTTATTTGAATTCAGTAATACTTTTGCTTGATTTGTTCTCCATCTCAGGAAAAAGGTTTGAATAACAAATGGCATAATCAATGCAGTACATTATTTACAACTCAAATTCAAGGTTTTTACAGTGCAGTTCTGCTACTTTTATCCCCATCCATCAGAAGGAAACACTGTCACATTAAAATTGCTCACAATTACAGTAGAGATATAAAAGACGGTGATGTGCAGTCAAGTAAATAATATTTATTCTTCTAAGAAGGAAGTAAAGTCATACCATCATTCAAGGTAGGCCAGCTTTCCAGCTTGCTAGTGGCTGTATCTCATGAAGAGCTTCTTTGAATCTGTTGTGAACCTGTCCACATTTTTATTCACTGTGGCCCTGTAGGGTCCCTTGTATTTTAACCTAAAATGGTTCTTACTCAAAGCCAAAATCAGTAATACTGAAAGAAGTAAAGATTTCAAAGAGTTATGGAGTATAGATGCCTAAGGAATAAAGGCTGATGACCTATCAACTACATTTACTCCACAGTTTTGTGTTGTAAGATAGTCCACTGCCTGCACCCTCATGTCCCTGCACCTTCTTTGTACTCACCTGCTGAAACCCCAGCCTTGATTAAATCTGATACTCTGCCTTCTCTGCACCTGCACCCATGAAGTGGCTAAAGAAAAACTATTGACTGGGTTTACTCAAAATTATGACCTTAATCTCAACTGGGTCCTTAGAGCTGGTCCGCAATGCTACTCCATTTTTCCCCTAGCCAAGTGCTCTCACACTTGAATGCGAATCTGCATCACCTGGGGGATTTGTTAAAAATGCAGGTTCTGATTTCATTGTTTCTCTGTGAAAATGGAAGGACGCTGAGATTTTGCACTCCAAATAGGCTATTGCTGTCCAGTGGACCCTACTTTAAGTAGCAGGATCCTAGAGTACCATTTCACACCCGTTGCGCATCTCCCAAACTTTCAACACCTGACGCCCTCAACTCACTCTCACCTTATTTTCTATTTTACTAAGAGAAGAGAGACAACTAAAAGTTATTTCCCTTACTCCTCTACTGCTGCATCCACCCGCCAGCTCCACTGAATCCATGGCGTCTGCCTTTCTGCTTCTTATGGGTGAAATGGCCTTGCATCCACCTAAGCCTGGTCCTCTCCTGGTGCACTAGTCACCATCCCATCTCACCTACTCAATGTCATTACTCATCAGTTTACCCTCTTCTTTCCTGCATCATCAATTTTTCCCACCCTGTGGATTTTCCCCATCAGTGTAGACACATGCTATAATTGTATACATCTCTCATCTTATTAAAAAAATACTTCCTGGAAGGAAATGCTTGAGTTCTTTCTACTGTTCTTGTGATATTTGGGTCAGTATAAATTTATTTCAAAACAAAAAGTAAAAGGAAAAAACCCAACTCCTTTGGCCTCTCTTTCCCCCTGGATCACTCAATGTCTCTGCTCTCCTTTACTGCAAAACTCAAAAAAATCTATGTTGATGGTTTTCAATTTCTCTCTCAAGTAAAAAAAAAATCTTGTATCGTGGAAAATGTCAAACATGTATAAAAATAGAGAGAACAGTATAATGACCCCTTTATCCAGCTTCCGCAATTATCTACTCACGGCCAATCTTAATTCATTTTATACCTCCACTTACTTCCCTAACATTGGATTATTTTTTTCACCAATTTTTATTTTAGAATTATTCAAATGTACATAAATGTTACATGAATAGTACCATCTATATACCATATATTTGTACCAATGGCATATATATTACGTATATGTTATATATATATTGTATATGTATACCTGTGCACATCAGTTTTTTATATTGCCACATTTGTTCTCTTTTTCTCCTGAATAGTTGGAGACAAATCACAGATATCATGATATTCCTAAATATTACAGCTTAAACCTCCTAAGAACAAAAATATTCTTCTACATAACCACAGTAAAATTATCATACAAAAGAAGCTTAATATTAATATGATTATCTAATTAAGTCTATATTCAGATTACCCTGTTGTCCAAGTAGTGTCCTTCATAACTTTTTTTATTGGTGTTTATCAAAAAATCTAATCAATTTCACTTAGTTTGTAATGTTCTTTTAGTCTCCTTTAATCCACAACAGTTCTACAACTTTGTGTTCCATGACATTGACATTTTTTAAAAATCGAGGCTTATTTTTTTGTGGCATGTCCCCCAAGTTGAATTTGATTGGTTTCTCATGATTAGATTTAGGTGCAGTATTTCTGACAATCATACTAAGTAGATGATGCTGTGTCTTCAGTGCATCGTATCAGGAGGTTCCAGATTTCAGTCAGTCCCACTGTTGGTAACATTAAGTATGATCACTGGAAAGAAGGTTTCTCCAGATTTCTTTGTTATAGAAGTTCTCTTTCTCCTTCGTGTGTAATAACTAACCTGTGGGGGTGACATTTTGAATCTGACTCTCTGTTCATTCTGTCTTTTGGCATCCATTGATGATCCTTGCCTGAATCAATTATTACTGTAGTGATTGCAAAACGGTGCCTTTCTAGCTTTTATCATTTATATTTATTAGTTAGTATTCTTCTGCAAAGAAGAGCTTTTCCTCTGCCCTACCAGAGGCATACTCTAACTTAATGTGTTTTAATCCATGACTATCATTATTATTTCTGTTGTTCAAAGTGTTCGGAGCTTCTTCAAGTTGTCATCTGTGTCCTTTTCATGTGTCCTCATCAGTTTTTGAGCACTTTCTCCGTTTCTAACACAGCAAGATGTTTTAGGCACCAAGAATAAGCTATTTTTCTTTTTAGAGAATCCTGGATTCCTTTTGCTGGCAATTGGTATTTAGAGACCAAGATCTGGATACCAGATGTGTTCTTTGCTATAGGGGTTAGGAGTCATTCTCTCTCTCTCTCTCTCTCTCTCTCTCTCTCTCACACACACACACACACACACACACACACACACACACACATCCAGTTAGCTCCAATTCCAACTCAATTCCAATTCGACAGCACAGGGTTCTTTTCTCTTTCCTTCATTTAATATTTAGGTCTCCCTTTTTCAGTGAAAACTCTAGTTCCCAAAATACACATATACTTACTGATTTGCTCAGTCCTACAATGTACATAAAATACCTCTATCAAAAATGCTGTCCCATCTACCCCCTATGTTTTTTTCACCAAACTATCTCTGCCTCTTCCCAGAGATTCCAGCTGGGCTAGACGCTGAGCCCCTTTGGTAACAACATTTAAGGGAACATGAGCACAACGCATAATGTCCTTAAAAGCATGTTGTGATGTGCACATTTTGTAATTACCTTTTTTGTTGTTTTATAGCAACCATATGTAAAACATTCCAAATACTTCTACAGCTCTGCAGTCTAATCCCTTTGTCACTTTTGGAAGGTGACTTTTCAGCTTAATGCACATTGCCCTCTCTGTAGAGGAAGGAAAAAGGTATGGGCCTGCCTTACTGAGAACTAAACAGAGTCCAGGGAAAGACTCCCCTGTGGGAAACCACTTTGTTCTCTACAAAGTATCAGCTAAACCAGAAAGGTGATTCCAGGAGGGGTTAGCCAAACAGCAGCAACAACAAAAATGTGCAGTTCAGGTTTTCAGCTTTAAGATATCTTTAGACAATGTTATTTTTACTTGTTTTATTTTTTTCATTAGAAGTGACCAAAATTAAGATGGTGAGACCTCTGAGACCAAATTTTTGTCCCATCCCTATCCCCTTGCCAGTTGCTTACAGAATGGATCATGTGCCCCTTATGTTGAGGGGACCACTTAATTGCTCTCCTGCGTCCTTGAAAGAAAGAAGTAAGATTGTGTTTTTGCCACCGATTTAGCCATATAAACCCCATCTCCTTGCCGTTTTCTGGGTTTCGAGCTGCTGTCTCTAAAAGTACCATATCATTGTGCTTGGTATCAGTTGGTGCTGGACAAATTTTGAACAAGTTATGTACAAAACCTTTTAAATTTTATATTATTTTGGAACTTTGCTTCTTTGGGTTTGTGGCATCCGAGCCACCCTGTTTGACTGTGAGAGCTCTCTAGTCTGTGGGCTGGCAGTTTGCTGATCGTTTAAAGATTCTTTCCCACTCAATCCCCACTTTTTGGTAAGGTTTTTGTGTAAGGTCTGTTAGGTTTACATCCTGAAGCTTATTGGCTTAAAATGTACTCTTCTTTGATGTAGTCTCTTTGGGGCCAATTGGGAGAAAGAGAAACCAATAGTGCAACCATTGTGATACTGAATATTAACAGGTATCTTTTTGGAAATAAAGAAACAGTCCCTCCAAACAAACAAAACAAATACTATAGCTATTTTCGGATTTCCTAGTAGCTTTTTTTTTGTTCTTAGACTATATCCCGCTAAGAATACACCAACATATTATGTTTAGAATTACTTTGACTAATTCTTTTTTTCCCCTTTCTGTGAGGATAACATTACCAGTTTGATATACAGTTGACTTCTTTAAGCAATGGGGAAGAGGCTGGTGTGTCTTCCGATTTTATGATTTTTCTTTTGTTTCTATATGACCCCCTAATTTCCACCTCTTCCTTCTTTCCCTTTACTCCCAAGTCTCCACAGGGCACTTTCCTCTTTCGAGTTGCCCTTTTCTCCCCAAAGCAGTACCCTGAGACCACACCTCTGCCCTTTTAAGTCCCTTCTTTTTTATTTCAAAGTAGCTGCTTTTCTGACACCTCTACAGCTACCACTCTAATGCAAACTACTGTCTGTCACCTTTCCCAGGCTTTATTGCCTTAGTTCCTCTGCCCCCTGCCTCCTCCCCCAATCCCTATATCCCATCTCATTTCATCTCCTGTCATTCTTTCCCTCATTAACTGTTCCAGTTCCACTGATTTCCTTACTGTTCCTCAGATACCCAGCAAACTCTTGACTTGAACACCTGTAGGTCATTCTCGCTGCAGGTCCTTGACACACTGTATCCTTGGCCTGGAGCGCTCTTCCCCCTTTTAGCTACATGACTCACATTCTCACCACTTTGAGATCTCTACTCAATTGTCACCTCATCTTCCTATTATGGTGGAGATTCCTGCTTCTCCTCAATCCTGCCCCATGTCCCTTTTTCCCTGCCTTGTGGTTCTCCATAGTACTTATCACCTCCTGGCTGAGTTCATTTTTACCTGTGCCTCTCCTCCCCTACCCCCTTCAAGATGACCATTATGTGGAGTGAAGACGGTTATATAGTAACTGTGCATTCGCAAGATAATTATTTAACTGCAATGTGATAAATTAGAAGGGCAAGTTCAGGGTGCCATCTATGATGGTGAACACAGACATTGACTTAGATCAGCCACTGGTACCCACCAGATCCCCTTTGCCAGCTGCTGTGCCCATCCCCTCACTGCTATGAGTGCTCCTGATAGAGGCTTTTACACCTGAGACCTTCTCTGGAATGTTGTTGCCCTTGGATGATCAAGGGAGCCTCCATGTCCAGAGACATCGCCAAGTTTACACCACTACCCTCACCCAGGGCAGCCAGTGACCGGCTGATGGAGCCCAAGGTGAAGGGGGTACAAAAGCCCAGCCTCCTCACCCCAAGATGAGACAATTCAGCAGAGTCCCTCTCATTTCTCCCAACCCTGGGAATCAGGGTTTTTCCTCTGCCCTTCCCCAGCCAAGGCTGGGCCACCTGAGATGGCTTCATTGCTCAGCTCCTGCCCCTTGCCTGCACTGCTTCCCTCACCCCCTTACAGGTGTCTCCTAAAGAGCGCCCCCTCCAGAAATCATGTGCCCTGGAATCTTGTTTCAGGCCTTGCTTCTGAGACTTAAGACAGGGCCCAAGGAACTCTTCCTTGAGAACATGGCATTTATGCTTGCATTGGAAAAGTGAGAAAGACTGAAGAGGCCGAAGAGTGGGAAATGAAGCATAGGCAGATGGAAGAGCATGTGAGAAGGACCTGCAGTGGGAAGAATTTGGGGCATTTGAAGAAGAAATGGCAAAGGGCCATTTTACACTACAAAAAGATTCTTTCAGGACCAGAGACCCTCAAAAGGCCCAGAATCTCAGTGTTTTTAAAGAAGGGTGGATCTAAGACATGTAGACAATCTGGCCTCAGCCAGCTGGGTCTGTGGCCATTTGCCATATGCTGATGTTTTCATTATCTAGGAACAGGTGAACTTGATAAAGGGCCACCAGAAGGACACAATCTGTGGGACTTTTCCGTGGCTATGAGATAGCAATATAAATTATTACAAGCAAATGACCCTGAGATGTGTTTTTTTCATATTTGTTTGTTTTATTTTCATATCTCCTCACTGTTAGGTAGCTTAATTTGGATGGTCTTTGTCCTGGCATCATATGCCTCTATTATTTTTGCTAAACCTCTTTCTCCATTATCCTCCCGGAATCAGTCTCTTTCCTTATTAATCTGGCATAGAGAGAACTTGGCTTTTCAACTTTTTAAACTGGTGTATATTTAAACTATTTATTACCATCATAGTAATAATTAATTTAAATAAGAATTATCAATGGATGCTAAAGCTGTTAGATAAAAGTGTGATGAGAAACAAGATATTTACATAGTCTCAAAGTATCTTTCCACAAATTAATAAATTACAAATGGAAAAACTAACTTTACAATAGAGAAAGTGGCAGACACTACTTAACCAAGTGATCCAAGTTAACATCACCAATAATGAAGCAAACCAACATCATGTATCTCCTGATGGGGTAGTCACAGAAGGACATAACATAACTTACATAGTGTTCCTGCTAAAAATGTGTAACCTGGGTGTACAATTGAGAAAACATCAGACAAACCTAAACTGAATGACATTCTACAAAATAAGTGGCCTGTCCTCAAGTGTCTGCAAATTATTCTCAAATGGTTCAGAAAAGTGTAGGAAAGAAAGTAGATAGGTAGGGGGCAGAGGGGCAGGGGGTGGGAGAGAGAGAGAAGAGAGAGAGAGAGAGAGAGAAAAGTGATAAAGCAAATAGGGTAGAATGTCTACAGTTGGTGACTTTGAAAAAGGTATATGGAAATTCTTTGTACTATTCTTGCAACTTTTCTATAAGTTTGAAGTTATATCAAAATTAACAGTTGCAAACAAATTTAAAGATAAAAATGATTTATAGCAATATACCTCATTTTTTACATGTTTTTTACTTTGTATGTTTTAATTTTAATTTTTGTGGGTACAAAGTAGGTGTGTATATTTGTGGGCTACATGAGATGTTTTGATACAGGCATGCAATGTGAAATAATCACAACATGGAGAATGGGATATTCATCCTCACAAGCATTTATCCTTTGGGTTATAAACAATACAGTTACACTCTTTTAGTTATTTTTTAATGTACAGTTAAGTGATTGTTGACTATAGTCACCCTGTTGTGCAATGAAAATTTTACCTCATATTTTGATGTTGTTCTCTTTAAAAATATAAATTTATATTTCACTTATGTCCTGGTGGAATTTTTTAAAAAGAGAGGACAAGGGAACATTTTCCTTTTGATATAGAACTGTTTGGAGAGACAAAACATACAGAAAACAAGAGAGTACAAATATATAAATATACATATATGTGCATTCACTTCTTATTTCCTTAAAATAGAAATAATTCCATGAAAATGACCAGTGCTTGAGAAAAATAAAAAATTTTTTAGGGCTAAATCATGTGTCTGGAGATTGCTGTCCTATATAAAGAGTGAGGATTTTCTGGAAAGATTTGCTGCAATTTGCTTTCCTAGGCCTACTTCTGCCTGTATCATTAGCCATGATCAGTAATTTTAAGTTTTTTTCCCCAATGTAATCTTTTCTAAGCAAAAATCTCAACACACAGTATATTAAACAGATCCAAGTGGGAGCATCTCTGGTTTAAGAGAGTACAGAGCCCAGAACACCTTGCAAGGGCTGCCCTCCATCTGCCCCTCCCTTGTGGTGAAATGTAAACATCACTTCCTAGGAGCCTTTAATACTCTTAAACGTTAACTTTACTATTGTTTTCCTTTTAGTCATTAGAAGCAGAACTGAAGAAACTTCAAAACTCTATTCAAGAAAGCACACAGGCCTTTGATGAACATTTGAAAAGACTTTTTGAAAGGAGAGTGAAGGCAGAGATGGTTACCAACCAGGTAAATAAAAGCTTTACTTATGTGACTTTTAAGGAGCTTGCAGGGCCCTTCCATGGTTCTTAGGATGAAGATCAACATCCTTACCAGGTACTAAGATCTTGTATGCTCTGGGCCCTGCGTCCCTCTCCAGTCTCATCTTGTGCACCTTCCCCTTTACCTGCCACACTTCCTCTTTGAACATCTTGAACACACCCAATACCCTCCCTCCTCATGCCTCTGCCAACTCTGCCAGTAATACTGTCTACCAACACTTCTTTGCTTCCTGAACTATATTCATCCTTCAGATCCCAGCTCAAAAATCAGTTCCTCACACTAGGTAATATCTTTCTATTATATACTGTATTTTTTCCTTTCTACCATTCATTGCTACTGAATTGTAATTTATGTGAGATTATTTTCAATGCTTTCAAGACTAGATGCTCCATGAGGGTAGAGACTAAGTCTGTCTTGTTCATCCCTGTATCTCCAGCAAATAGCAAAGGGCTTTGTTCAAAGTGTATGTTGAATGAAAAAGTAATCCTCATGTCCCAAAAGATCAGGTGAAAAAAAATCTGTCTTAATTATCTTCAGCAGTAGGAATAAAAATGAAGTATGCAGTAACTAAAAGCAAGAAGATCAAAGAGTGATGCCCTTAAATTCTGAGGAAAAAATTATTTCTAGCTTTGAATTCTATACCCAGCCAAACTATCCATTGAGTTTAAGAATAGAATAATGATCTACTTAAATGTAAATGTAAACCCCCAAACTATAAAAATCCTGGGAGACAACCTATGCAATATCATTCTGGACATAGGAACTGGCAAAGATTTCATGATGAAGATACCAAAAGCAACCACAACAAAAGCAAAAATGGACAAATGGGATCTAATTAAACTAAAGAGTTTCTGCACAGCAAAAGAAACTATCCACAGAGTAAACAGACAACCTACAGAATGGGAGAAAATATTTGCAAACTCTGCATCTGACAAAGGTCCAGCATCTACAAGGAACTTAAATTTACAAGAAAAAAAACAACCCCATTAAAAAGTGGTCAAGGACATGAACAGACACTTTTCTAAAGAAGACATACATGTGGCCAACAAGCATATGAAAAAAAGCTCATCACTGATCATTAGATAAATGAAAATCAAAACCACAATGAAATACCAGATACCATCTCACACTAGTCAGAATGGCTACTACTAAAGAGTAAAAAAATTACAGATACTGGTGAGGCTGTGGAGAAAAGGGAATGCTTATACACTGTTGGTGGGAATATAAATTAGCTCAACAATTGTGGAAAGCGGTATGGCAATTCCTCAAAGAGCTAAAAACAGAACTACCATTCAACCCAGCAATCCCATTACTGGGTATATACCCAAAGGAATATAAATTGTTCTATTATAAAGACACATGCATGCATATGTTCACTGCAGTACTATTCACAATAGCAAAGACATGGAATCAACCTAAATGCCCATCAATGATAAACTGGATTGAGAAAATGTGGGACATATACACCATGGAATACTGTGCAGCCATCAAAAAGAATGAGATCATGTCCTTTGCTAGAACATGGGTAGAGATGGAGGCCATAATCCTTATTAAACCAACACAGGAACAGAAAACCAAATATGATATGCTCTCACTTATAAGTGGGAGCTAAATGATGAGAACACATGGGCACATAGAGGGGAACAACAGATACTGGGGTGTCTGGTTTCCTGAGGGTGGTGGGTGGGAGGAGGGAGAAGATCAGAAAAAATAACTATTGGGTACTAGGCTTAGTACCTGGTGACAAAATAATCTGTACAACAAACCCCCATGACACAAGTTTACCTAGATAACAAACATGCATATGTACCCCTGAACCTAAAATAAAAGTTAAAAAAAGAGAATAATGATATTTTGAGAAATGCCGGGTCTCCCAAATTTACATGCACTCATTTGATGAGAGCTTTTGAAAGATGTCTGACCAAAGCAGGGGGCTTAATGAGAAAAGATGGTGCAACACTGGAGAGATGTGAAGGGAATCTTCAGGAGGATGACTATATCCCCAGGATCCCAACAGGAATGGTACACTGAAAAGGTTACATTTAAATTCCCTCAGTGACTTTTTACAGAGGTATGAGCAGGGTTAAGGGAAACAGCAAGGAGTGGCAAATGTGTTGTAATTAGAAACAATGGGAGGCCAGTACCATCTCTAGAGCTAAAAAGGCAGGGAAAGAGAGCTGTTCCCAGAACCAGCAAGACCTGTAGCCTTGGGAAAGGGGCTGCTCTTGGGAGTTGTGGCCACAGATAGAAGAATGTAATCACTGGCCTGGCAGGGAGTGGATGTATGGATATACTGGGAGTGAGGGGGAAGATTGGGAATGAATGCTCCAGCCTAACAGCAGCATTAGTCATAGCCAAAAGGTGGAAACAATCTAAATATTCAACAGCTGAGAGCAGATGAGTAAAATATGGTGTATCCATACAAGGGAGTATTATCCCACAATAAAAAGGAATGTGCTAATATATGGTACAACATGGATGAACCTTGAAAACATGCTAAGTCAAAGAAGCCAGACAACAAAGGCCACATATTGTATGATTCCATTTTTGTGGAATCATATAGTTTCTAAAACGGCAAATTTATAAAGCCAGAAATTAGAAAGTCGTTGCTTTTGTGGGGAGGAGGAGGCCTCTAGGAGGTAACAGAGGGGCAGATGGGAAATGACGGCTAAAGAATTTTTGGGGAATGATGAAATGTTCTAAAATTGATTGTAGTGATTGTTACACAACTCTGCAAATATACTAAAATACACTGAATTTTACACTGTAAATGGTGAATTGTATGGTATGTGAATTATATCTCAACAAAGTTGTTATTTTTTTAAAGGTATGCTGAGATCCTCATGTCATATAAGATAATGAGGAAACTAACAGACTACTCAGTAATATCAAAATAATTCAGGAGCTGACTTAAAACATTTCCTTTAAATGAGACAATTTAAGATTCAAAGATGATAATAGTTGTAAAAAATTAAACCCGTCACATTTGTTTAAATTTATGAATTTATGATATTTTAAAAAGAGAAGTGCCAATCAGTCACTTTCAGAGGATGAAAACAAATTCATTATCTAAAAACTGATAAAGGGAAAGCATCAAGTATTTTGTCTGCCTTTCCTATATGAACTGAAGTGTACCACTTTGAAACCAAATAGTAGATGATGAGAAGCATCTCTTTATAAAAGTATTTCAATTAATAAGTGAAAAGGGAAACTAAAACCAGATTTTCACCATTTTGCATCTCTCAACGGATTAATGGACCCGGGCGTTGAGTATCTGCAGCTGCTGACATCACAGAAAGAAAGACAATCAGATGATATATGTCTCCTGATCAAAGAACACAATACCACCTATAGTCTTGTTAAAAGGATCAAATTTAGATTTAATCAGGCTTCTGGACCCAGCTGCCATTTTTCAAGAAATAAAAAGGATGAAGCCTTGATAAACTACACCATGAATATACAGGCATTAAAACCAGACTCTGCAATGCTACAGAGACTGCTGATAACTACAAATAAATTATGAGGAAAAGAAATGAAAGGGAACGTGAAGAGTATAAGAGATTTATTTTATTTTTAACCTTTAAGTTCAGAGGTACATGTATAGGTTTGTTACGTAGGTAAACTCATGTCACAGGAGTTTGTTGTACAGATTATTTCATCATCCAGGTAGTAAAAAGAGATTTAAAAGACATGAAAAAAAATTATGAATAAGTTATACTGAAGTGGCTAGGTTTCTGTCTTAGTCTGTTTTGTGTTGCTATAAATAATACCTGAGGCTGCATAATTTATAAAGAAAAGAGGTTTATCTGACTCATAATTCTGCTGTCTAGAAGGTTCAAGATTGGGCATCTGATGTGGGCCTCAGGCCGCTTCCATTTATGCCAGGTGAAGGGGAGCTGGGGTGTGCAGAAATCACATGGTCAGAGAGGAGGCAAGAGAGGGTGCAGGGGAGTGCCATCCTCTCTTTAACAATCAGCACTCAGGGGAACTAATAGAGTATAAACTCACTCACCCCTGAGGGAGGGAATTGATCTATTCATGAGGGACCCATACCCATGACCCAAACACCTCCCATGAGGCCCCACCTACAGCACCAGGGATCACGTTTCAACATGCAGTTTGGATGGGGCAAATATCCAAACTACAGCATTATACACCCCTGGGTAATAAAACTACAAAGAAACACAATATATAATAAAAAGTCAAGATAGTGTTTAGTACTGGGGTTGAGATTTTGATGAGGACTCCTGGAAGAAGCAACTGCAGTCGTAAAGTTCTGTTTCTTGCGATAAGTGGTGCTAACAAGAGTGTTTGCCTTTATAATAACCCATTAAATTATATATTCATGTTATGTATTTTTTGTATATGTGATTTACCTTACAATGAAATTATGAAAAAGGTAAAATAACTGAAGTTATTTCAATAAGCTGTATTCCCTTTTTCTTTAAAATGTTTCTCTTACATTTTAAAGTTTATGTGTATGTCATAAACTTGCTTGATTAGTGCCAAGTCTATAGAAAATATTGTCTCAGGTGGAAGTAATTCCACCAACCTTTTTCTTAAATATTTCTACAGGAGGAACTGAAAATAAGTAACCTTGCATTTTCTTTATTGTTGGATGAAGAATTAAGCTCTAGAGAAAAATTCCTGAACAACTACCTTACAAGGAAACAGCACGAGAAAGTAAGAATAGTGTCTGAAATCTGAATACAAGCATTTTCTGATAGACATGCCCCTCATTTAGCAAGAGCTCACGTGTCTAGACCCTTCCTTCCTTCCTTGCACCATTCCTACATAACCATGTGCATCCCTTGGCTCCCTGTCTGGAACTTTGCTCCAGGGCCAGGTGAAAGTAACCATTCCAATCTGTTAATAAAGTTAGGTGATTCTGCATCTGCAATCATTTAGCCAAAAGAACTGTGTAGCTTTCATATGACATGGTTTATAAAATGAGGCCATATAGCTTCATGGTTGAAAGCACTGGCTGTGGGACCTAGGACAAGGCATATAACCTTTTAAGCTATTTGCAAGCTCTTACCTAGGGAATGTTTTTCTCTCTGGACACGCTAAGATTTACTAAGATGTAAGCAATGGGCTTGCGTATAGAATGAAAAACTGCCGTATTATGAAAAACTCTAAATATGAGCTTGGATAGATATGGTTCATTAAAAAGACAATGAATACAAAATGTTTATCACATAATGTTTCTACAAATGTCAGCTTTTGTTAGTAGTATTAGTAAAGAGCATTTATGAATGTGTGACTTAAAAATGACATGAACTTTTTTCTAAGAGCCTATTAAACAGCATATGCAAAGCTTCTTCTAAATACAACTTTACATATAGCAACCCTGCAGCATACTAGATTTCTTTCACAGATGAGGATACCATCTCAGAGAGTCTGGGTAGCATGCCTAAGTCAGCCACTAGTGTGTAATAGAGCAGCAGCTGGAACTGTGGGAATAAGTGAAGAACATCCAAATGCAAATGAGCAGATGCTGTTTATTCAGAGCTTGGCACAGCAAGGGACTCATCCACCATCAGTTACTTTTGGCAGACTCAAAGGCAGGAAAGGAGTAGGAAAGCTTTATAGTGCAAAGAAGAGAGGGCTTCAGATGCAACATCATTGGAAGTTGTTGGCATGAGGAAGCTAGAGGCAAACCAATTAGAAGCGGGACAACTCATTTTACTGGTTTAGGGAACATATTTGGCTTTCTCTGGATGGTCCTAGGTTGGAAATGGGGACAAAATTATAGAAGCTGGTGGTAATGATCAAGCCCTGAAAGTTTGAGGCCAATCCTTAAAAAGGCTGTGGTTTAGTTTCCCAGCTGATGATTGTAGAGGTTGTGGGTCAGAATTCTGTTGTTACATATGGTCTGGCCCTTGTTTGCATGTATATCCAGTCTCTCAGAACCCAGGTCCATGTGATTCCGAAGCCTGTGCACTTTCATCCTCCACACTGACTTACCAAGAATGCAGTGTGCTCCATAGACACTCACACACTCATACACAGAGTTGGCTGTACTTAGAAACAGGTGATTGGGTGTTCTTTCAAAGTCCCCAATTGGTGTATTTTCTTCTATAAATCTTATCTTCATGAATAAATACTTCACAGACATATTTCTCTTGTACTAGGAAATTCCTTGCTCTTTTTAGTATCCCCAATATTTTTGTTTATGCTGGAAAGTCTCCAGTTTCAATCAACTATTCCTGATGCTGTTATAGAGCCAGACTTCAGAAGCTGTTCGGAAATCTAGAGAAGACCTGGATGTGTGCAAGGAGCACTATGACAACTTACTGGCAGAAGACAAAGTGAGAGTTGTTGTCTTACCCACTCAACAATGCAGTAGAGTTGTTGCTGCCTGGATTGGAGGAAGGTTAAAGGGGATATAATATAATTTTCTCACAGATTTTTCTCCCACTTAATTCTCAGCTATGGGTGAACTTCATTCTATGCCATTGTATATTTTTGAAAATCCATGTGTAAAATGAATTTTTATAAGCTTCTCTGGTTTAAGCTTTCTGTTATACAAAATACAGGGAAATCATCTAGCCTTTAAGGCTTTTCAAACTTTAGGTTGCAGACCCCATTACTTGGCCATGAAATCAATTTAGTAGGTTATGACCAGCAGTTTTATAATGGAAAAGAATAGGATAGAATAGCATAAAGAAGACAGATGGAACAGAATGGAATAGAAAAGAAAAGAATAGAGTAACATTCATGTTTTTTGGGTAAATATATTTTGGGACACTTCTTTGGGAAACTTCTGGATGATTTCTAAGACCTGTTATATGAAATAATATTTTTAATACACTTAGATGCTTCTTATCAAAACAAATCTTTGAGACATCATTGCACAGAGAATGGTTAATGTCTAACAACTTTGTAAATCAAGGTTTCATGCATTTTTAAAACCAAAGTGCTACCACCTGTATTTTGAAGAGTATTGTCAACAAATAAAAGGTTTCCAAACCAAGTTGCAGTCCTCAAATGTCATGTTTGTCCTTAGGTTATGGATCGCAGCTTTAAAAAGGAATTTTCTGAAATTCCTGGTCATCAAGTGGATATACTCTACAAACTTTTTAAACGCCGACCAAGGTTTGTTTCTCCTTCACTATTGTGTTTCTGAGAAAAAAGTTTGCAAATAAAGAGGAGTGTTACTAGATTTCAGCTTTTTTCTCCCAATTAAATGGAATTATTCAGTGTAATATCTTTTAGGTGGAGATGTTTAAGGGTTTTGATCCTAATTCAGTATTTTTTGAGATTATGTCTATATCTTAAGGTAGAGAATAATGATTTATTTTCATTATTTAAAAATAGTTAAGGATCTGTGTAAGCACGGTACTATTGTAGATTCTGCTTTGTACATTAAGGAAGTTCCTCTTACATCATAGATGGCACACAGATTTAAAAACAGTTTTTTCTAAAGTGCGTTCAAACAAACACAAGTTCCCTGATGTATAAATCGGAACTACTTGTAATAGGCTTCCAGGACTAACTAAGTTTGGGGAAAATACTGGGTTAAAAAAAGGAAGTTAAGCAGCTTTTCTTTTACTGCAGAATGTATTATTGGCCTTTGGATCTCCAAGTGTAAGAAACAGAGTAAGCAGCGTTTTCCAAACTTATTTGACCACAAATTGCTTTTCCTCAGAGTATCTCATGTGCTTGTGCCTAAAGTTTGAAAGATGCCAGTATAAATGGTAGAAAATAACCATTTGAAAAGAGTTCTAAGAAAGTATCACTGATTTCCACCATTATAAATGCAGATTTCCAGTTTTCAATCAAATGTAATCTAGAAATCAAGGAGTTTGTCACAAAGATGTAGTCAGCTAGTTTGTGTTTGAGATACAAACTCTGACAGGTTATAGGCAACCTAGGGAATTTAACCTAGAACATGCCTCTTGTTTTGGTTTTCCTTTTTTTTTGAGACGGAGTCTCTGTCTGTCACCCAGGCTGGAGTGCAGTGGCACGATCTCTGCTCACTGCAACCTCCGCCTCCCGGGTTCAAGCGTTTCTCCTGCCTCAGCCTGCCAAGTAGCTGGGACTACAGGCACATGCCACCACGCCCAGCTAATTTTTGTATTTTTAGTAGAGACGGAGTTTCACCATGTTGAGCAGGATGATCTCGATCTCCTGACCTCGTGATCCACCCATCTCAACCTCCCAAAGTGTTGGGATTATAGGTGTGAGCCATCTCGCCCGGCGGTTTTCCTATTTTTAAAAGAGTGAGTGATAATTAGCCCAATTACATACCTTCTCCTTGTGGAAAAAGAAGTGAGACCTCCCGCAGCAGTGGGAAAAGCACAAGCTTTCTTGTCAAACAGAATCAACTTTAAATCCTAACTTCAACACCTGTCAGACTGATAGCCTTGGGCCATGAGCTTCTCTCCCAGGCTGACTTTCCTCATCTAGAGAATGGGGATGATAATATAGTTTCAACCTCACAGTGTACTGTAAAGCATCTTGATAGTGAGTGCCTCGCCCAAATCTTTGTACCCTTCTTCCCTTTCCAGCTGAAGCACAGGGAAATGAAACTAATCTATTAATGTAGATAAAAACAGAATTGGCCAGGTGGTGGCTCACCACTGTACTCCCAACACTTTGGGAGGCTGAGGTGAAACGATGGGTTGATTTATTTGCCTGCTTACAGTATACAGAAAGGAAATGTGTCCTAGCACAGACACAATTGTCTGTCAGTGCTGACAATAGTTGGAGACATCTGTAGTCTAGCCAAGGTCACGTCTGAGAACCTGGAGAGTATGGAAGAAGGGCAAAGTGGATCCCTTTATCTGTGGAATAACCCACCTACCAGCCATCACATGGCAAAGGGAAGAGCCATACAATGTGTTATGCCTGTGCTAAGGGCCTAATTGTTTCACATTGATGTTTTTATGAGAATGTGAAATGTTGATGGGCTTTTCTTGGTAATACCAGGATTTCCAAACAGAAAACGCACTCAGAAACAACCAGCGTTGTCCCTTTCGGAGAACTACCAGGATCTGGCAAGTTGAATAAGGATGCCTTTGCCCAGTTAATGAAAGCTATGGATGAGTTGGACAATATTAGTAACATGCCAGAAGGCTTGGACCCTTTGGTCTGGAATCATTTCTGCATGACAAGACGAGCAAAAGTGGAAAATGAACAGAAAGTATATACTATTTTAACTTAATTTAATTTTTAGTGTACTAATATCAAATACATAGTTTACATTGGTCAGTGTAACCAAAAAAGCTAATTATTTAGGTTTCCCTGCTAGGGTAGTATTTGGTCATAGTAATAAGATAATGAAATACTATATTAACCCTGGTGCTATTGAAGGCTAAGTGTAGGCCTGTTGCTTTTAGACTGGTGCCGTTCAAAATAGTGTCCATTAGCCACAAGTGGTTATTATGCATTTGAAATAAATATTGCCAGTCCTAACTGAGATGTGCTGTAAGTGGAAAACATACACATTAGAAGGCTTAGTATGAACAAAAAGAAATATGTCTCATTAATATTTTTATATTGATTATAGGTTGAAGTGATAATATTCTGGATACATTTAATTAAAATATATTAGTAAAATTAAGTTCATTTCTTTGATTTCACTTTTTATAATGCGGCTACTACAGAATTTAAAATTACATATGTGACTCACATTTATGGCTCACGTTATATTTTTCTTGGACAGCACTGTTGTAGGTTATCTCATTTTGCATAGATTAGAATTATATTTGGCTCAGCAGAACCAACTTTATAGTTTTGCTAGAATGTGGCAACGAGTAAAAATTTAAGAGGGTCTTTATTTGGGAAGAGAATCCTTCCTCTTGTTGCTTCTTGACCACTACCCCAAATTCCCTAAATTTAATGCCCACATGCATCAGGCTGGCATATTTTTGTTAAAGTACCTAGGATTCTATAATTTCACTTAAAGTGATGAGAACAAATTTTAAAAATAAGATATAAAAGAATTTATAGTTGCCTGCATACTTGATTTTCACCAAGAAGCAAATTTGATACTTTCAAATCGTTCAAATTGTTACATACCATGTAAGTTTTAGACATTTAAATTTAAATGTTTTATTACTTTCTTCGAAAGATAGACCTGTTAAGGTTTTTAAATTTAAAAAGTTAAAAGATGTATGTTGTCTAAAATTGAAGCTCCATATGTTCTGACATGTTTCTGGCTTGGTTTCTTTAGGTAAAGCAGAAAGCAGCTGACTTATTGGAAATGGCAACTTTCCTCCAGAAGAGAGTTGAGGAGGAAGAGAAGGTGCAACAGGAGATTGAGAGAGTGTTCCATGAACTCATCCTGTAATTTGAAGCTTTCTTTCATGTTCACCTATTCAAAGTCTAATTAGGGCTAAATCAGGTTGTGTTATCACTGGGGAGAATGCCTACTGACTGCTTTACAGCCATCTCCCTTCCAGCACTGTGCTTTAAAATTTCTATTTTAAAAAGCCTGCTTTGTTACATAGACCTTGATTCAGGATGGAACTTTCCCACGTTTTGTTGCTCTTATTACAAATAAGCAAGTTTCAGAAAAATCTTAGTATTGTTTTAAGTCGGCCCCTTCCACATAAAAATACAAAGAACCTGTTTTTCAGTACTTTGGGGCTCAAGGCATATAAGCTAACCATGTGGAAAATTAAGCAGATGTCTAAGAACTTTCCATGTAGACACGCAGCCAACTGATATATTTTTCTTTAGGGGAACTTGTTGTTTACTAAGTGATTAAGATATTTAAGTCCTTGCTTCATTTTTTGGCTATATTTATAGCCTCATCGATAAATACTTCTCTGATGTTCCCAAATTCATTGAGAACACATCATTTTTAGATCTAGGCTATAGCGAGGATATGAATTACCCAGAAATAGATTTGTTAAGTAACTTACATATTAAATATTGTTAGTATAGTATCAGAAATCAATAAATAAGTTCAGAATTTTAATAGAGTTATTTTATTTATTTATTTATTTATTTTGAAATGGAGCCTCACTCTGTCACACAAGCTGGAGTGCAGTGGCACGATCTGGGCTCACTGCAGTCTCCACCTCCCAGGTTCAAGAGATCTCATGCCTCAGCCTCCCAAGCAGCTGGGATTACAGGTGCCTGTCACCACCCCTGGCTAATTTTTGTATTGTTAGTAGAGATGGGGTTTCGCCATGTTGGCCAGGCTAGTCTCGAACTCCTGACCTCAGATGATCCACCCACCTCGGCATCCCAAAATGCTGGGATTACAGGCATGAGCCACTGCGCCTGGCCAGATTTGTTATTTAAAAGTGTCTCTATTTTCTTCATTTTTACTTTACTTTTATTACCGTCAAAATTATACAATCTTTTCTTAATCCTAAAGTAAAAATCTATAAATGTATTTCTGTCCATACCATTTTTTGAGCAACCCAGGTATAATTCTGCATCAATAGGAAGAGGTTTCAGAGAGACCTCTAGGAAAGCTCATCATCAGGAAAATATTCTCCACACTAATCTCCAGCATGTTTTCCTTAAGCTGATTCGATTTTTATATTCTCAGATAATAGGTGAAATTTGAAATATATTACAACTACTTGCTTTGAAGTACTTTTCAATTCAGATTACAGGAAGAGAAAGTGAGATTCCAGTTGAATTTGACAATCCAAATTCTTCTTAAACAAGGACAAGTAGAACTGGAAAATTTCCAGCTAGTACTGGAGTATTCTGATGCAATTCTCATCAACAAGAACATAATTGAAGACTTGAATTCTGTGATTCGGGTAATTATACTTTTTATTTTTATTTTAATTCAAGGTCTTGCTTTGTTACTCAGGCTAGAGTCTTGTGGCACAATCATGGCTCACTGCAGCCTTAACCCTTAGCTAGGCTCAATAGATCCTCCCACCTTCACCTCCCAAGTAGCTGGGAGTACAGGTTCACACCACCACACCCAGCTAATTGTTTTAAAATTAGTTTTTTGTAAAAACAGAGTCTTAATATGTTGCCCAGGCTGTTCTCAAACTCCTGAGCTCAAGTGATCCTCCTGCTCTGGCCTCCCAGAGTGCTGGAATTAACAGGCAGGAGCCACTGCACCTGGCCAATTATACTTGTTTAAAGACAAAACATATTGCCTGCTGTACCAAATATTTTACATTATTCTCCCATTTTCATAAGTAATTTTAATTCAATTAAGTCAGTGGTTTCCTAACTGTGGTTGCACATTAGAATCATTTGAAGAACTTTATAAATGTGCTCAGACCCCACCCCCAGGATGAGTATTTTTTAAAAGCTCCCTCCATAATTCTAAGGTTCAAGAAGGATCACAGAGCTAAATGTCCATTCTAGTATGCCATCGTTTTTTTAGGCCCAGCCTACTCAGGCAAAGATAATCTTAGATAAGCTTAGTTAGTTGATTTCAGACCTTACTTCTTTTCTAATATGAACATTTAATGTTATTTCTGTATAAGCTTTAGGTATAATTGAGTCCTAAAAAAATATTCCCTATAAGCTTTATTTTATCTGTATTCTACAAATTTTAATATTTTGTGTTTTAATTTTCTTTTACATATTTTCTAATTTCTGTTGTGACTTCCTATTTGATTCATGGGTTATTTAAAAGCGTGTTATTTAATTTCTAAATATTTGCGGATTTTGTGCTATTTGGGAATTAGATGATAATGCTACTGTACATTTTATTTTTACAAATGCTATAAACACAAAACATATTGCTATTATTTTTTGCTTTAGACAATTATCTTTTAGAATAATAAAAATGTGAAAAGAGGTATTTTCTATTTACCTTAATTTTCACTATTTCAAAAGATCTTTATTTCATTGTGTAGATCCAAATTTCCATCTTGTATCATTTACCTTCTGCTTAAAGAACTTCCTTTAACTTAATTGAAGTACAAGCCTGCTAGTAATGAATTCTCTCCATTTTTCTTTATCTGAAAAAGTTTTTAATCACCTTCATTGTTGAAAGATACTTTGCTAGATTCACTGGATTGCCAGGTTCGTTCATTTGTTCTCTCTCTCTCTCTTTTCATTTTAAAGATGTTCATTTTCTTCTGAACATCTAGATAGTTTCTGACAAGGTTTCTGCTATATTTTTTATCTTTGTTCATCTGAATTTAATGTGTCTGGCTTTGAGATTTTTTATTTGTTTTTCAGCAGTTTGAACACAATGTGTCTAGGTGGGGATAGGGGGCGGTATGCACATGTGTGCGTGAGATTCTTGAGCTTCTCTGAGCTTCCTCAATCTGTGATTTGATATTTGTCATTATCTTTGGAAAATTCTTATTTATTATCTCTGAATATTTCTTCTGCCCCTTTCGCTCTCTCTTTTTCTACTGGGATTCCAATTACACACGTGTCAGATTGTCTGATACTGTTCCACATCTCTTAGATATTCCATACTCATTGTTTTTCACTCTTTGTTCTCTTTATGTTTCAGTTTGGGTAATTACTATTGCCCTATATTCAAGTTCATTCATTCTTATGCTGTGTCTAGTCTGATAATGAGCCCATCAAAGGCAAAATATCTGTTACCATATTATTGTAGATAGATAGATAGATAGACAGACAGATAGATAGACTTACATTTAGTATTTCTGTTTAACTTATACTTTCCATCCCTCTGCTGAAATTCCCCATTTGTTCATGCATGTTGTCTATCCTTTCCAAAAATTTTTGTTTTAGAAAAGTTGTAAAGATAGTACAGAGAATTCTCATATACCCCTTATCCAGTTTCTTATATTTTATTATTTTCCATCAGTATGGTACATTTGCCACAACTATTGAACTAATATTGACACATTATTATTAACTAAAGTACAAACTTTATTCACTTTTCCTTAGTTTTTACTTAAGGTCATTTTTCTGTTCCAGGATCTCATCAGGATGCATTTTATTTAGTTGTCATGTCTTTCTTTTTTTTTTTTTCTTTTTAGACTGAGCTTTGCTCTTATTGCCCAGGCTGGTGTGCAATGGCACTATCTCAGGTCACTGCAACCTCCACCTTCTGGGTTCAAGCGATTCTACTGCCTCAGCCTCCCGAGTAGCTGGGATTACAGGCATGCGCCACCACACCTGGCTAATTTTGTATTTTCAGTAGAGGCGGGGTTTCTCCATGTTGGTCAGGCTGGTCTCGAACTACCAACCTCAGGTGATCCGCCCACCTCAGCCTCCCAAAGTGTTGGGATTACAAGCCTGAGCCACCGTGCCACCGGCCAGTTGTCATTTCTTTCTAGATAGTGACAGTTTCTCAGTTTTGTCTTGTTTTTGATGACCTTGACAGTTTATTGTAGAGTAATAGTCAGTTATTTTGTGGAATGTCCCTCAACTGTGGTTTCTCTGATGTATTTATCACTATTCGCCTGGAGTATGGAGAAAGAGACCACAGAGGTAAAATGCCCTCTCAGCACATGATTTCAAGGATACATGCTATCAACATGTCATCACTGTTTATTGAATCTTGACCACCTGAATTGAGGTAGAGTTTTGTCAGGCTTCTTTACTATAAAGTTACTTTTTCTCCACTGTTCCATGCTATACTCTTTATAAGGAAATTAGTCATAATTATTTTAAATTTCCCATCTGATAGTTCTAACACCTGTCATCTCTGATCTAGGTGTGTTGATTGCTTTGTAACTTAGTTTTTTAGAGATATTTTTATTGTGGTATAATACACATAACATAAAATGTACTATTTTAACCATTTAAAGTGTGCAAGTCAGTGGCAATTAATACATCGCAAAGTTGTGCAGCTAGTACTGCTATCTAGTTCCAGAACATTTTTGTTTTGTTTTGTTTTTTGTTTTTTGAGACAGGGTCTGGCTCTGTCATCTGGGCTGGAGTGCCGGAGCATGATCTCAGCTCACTGCAGCCTCCGCCTCCCAGACTGAAGCCATTCTCCCACCTCAGTAGCTGGAATTACAGGCACGTGCCACCACACCTGGCTAATTTTTATATTTTTTTGGTAGAGATGGGGTTTCACCATGTTGCCCAGGCTGGTCTCAAACTCCTGGGCTCAAGCGATCCTCCTGCCTTAGCCTCCCAAAGTGCTGGAATTACAGGAGTGAGGCACCCCACCCGGCCTCAGAACATTTTTTATCATCCTAAAAGGAAACCCCACACCCATTAAGCAATTATTCCCCATCCACCTCTTCCCTTAGCCCCTGGACACCACTAATCTGCATTTTCTGTATGGATTTGCCTATTCTTAGTATTTTGTATGAATGGAATCATACAATATGTGGCCTTTGTTTTCTGGCTTCTTTCACTTAGCATGTTTTTAAGATTTAACCATGTTGTAGCATGTATCAGTCTTCATTCTTCTTTTGTGACCAAATCATATTTCATTTTATGGATATACATTTTGTTTATCCATTCATCAGCTGGTGAATATTTGGGCTATTTCCACCTTTTGGCTATTGTGGTGCCTATAACTGTTCATGCACAAGTTTTTGAAAACCTGTTTTCAGTTCTCTGGGGATATATACCTAGAAGTGGAATTGCTGGATCGTATGGTCATTGTATGTTTAACTGATTGAGGCACTAAAAACTGTTTTCCATAGTAGCTGCACCATTTCATATTCCCACCAGCAAAGTATGTGGGTTTCACTTTCTCTACGTCCCTATCAAAACTTGTTATTGTTTCTCTTTTTTGTTGTTTGCTTGCTTGCTTTTTAATTACAGCCATCTTAGTGGGTTTATTCTTGATGTAAATTTCTCTAATGACTAATGACATTGAGCATCTTTTCATATGCTTGTTGACCATTTGTATATCTTTGGACAAATGACTACTGAAGTCTTTTGCCCATTTTCAAATTAGGTTTTGTTGTTGAGTTATAGGAGTTTTTTATATGTTCTGGACATTAAACCCTTATATAATTTGCCAATATTTTATCCCCTTCTGTGGATTGTCTCATGTTTTTGGTGTTAAATCTAAGAATCAGGCCGTGTGCGGTGGCTCATGCCTGTAATCCCAGCACTTTGGGAAGCTGAGGTGGGATCACCTGAGGTCAGGAGTTTAAGACCAGCCTGGCCAAGATGTGAAACCCCGTCTCTACTAAAAATACAAAAATTAGCCGGGCATGGTGGCAGGCACCTGTAATCCCAGCCACTCAGGAGGCTGAGGCAGGAGACTCACTTGAACTCGGGAGGCGGAGGTTGCAGTGAGGCGAGATGGCGCCACTGCACTCCAGCCTGGGTGGCAGAGTAAGACTCTGTCTCAAAAAATAAAATAAAATAAAATAAAATAAAATAAAATAAGTAAATATCTAAGAATCAAATCTGAAGTCATGAAGATTTATCCCTGTTTTCTTTCTTCTTTTCTTTTCTTCTTTTTTTTTTTTTTTTTTTTGAAATGGAGAAATGGATTCTCGCTCTGTCTCCCAGGCTGGAGCACAGTGGTATGATCTTGGCTCACTGCAACCTCCATGTCCCGGATTCAAGCGATTCTCCTGCCTCAGCCTCCTGAGTAGCTGGGATTTACAGGCGCCCACCACCATGCCCAGCTAATTTTTGTATTTTTAGTAGAGACAGGGTTTCACCTTGTTGGCCAGGCTGGTCTCAAACTCCTGACCTCAGGTGATCTGCCTGCCTCAGCCTCCCAAAGTGCTGGGATTACAGGCGTGAGCCACTGTGCCTGGCCTCAGTCCCTGTTTTCTTCTTTGAAGTAGGGAAATGTTAGCCATCCAACTTTTTGTTTTCAATATTGTTTTGGCTATTCATGATCCTTTGCAGCTTCATATGAATTTGAGGATCAGGTTTTTCCATTTGAAAAAAAAAAGCCATTGAAATTTTGGCAGTGATTGCATTAAATCTATAGATTCCTTTGAGGAGTACTGTCTTAAGTCTTTTGATCCAAGAACATGGGATGACTTTCCATTTATTTAATCTTTATATTCTTTCAGTAATATTTTGTAGGTTTCTTTGTACACACACTTTTTAGATAAACTTTATTTCTAGGTTTTTTCTTTCTGATATTATTGTAAATGGAATTGATTTATTAATTCTTTTCCAGATTTTTCAGTGGTGATGTATAAAAATATAACTGATTTTTGCATATTAATCTTATACTCTGCAACTTTGCCAAATTTATGTATTATCTCTAGTAGGGTTTTTGTGGATTCTATATGACTTTCTCTATATATATAGACTCATTAATCTGTGAATAGAAATTGTTTTACATCTTTTCAGTTTGGGTGCCTTTTATTTCTTCTTCTTGCCTAATTGCCATGACTAGAATTTTTATTACAGTGTTGAATCAAAGTGACAAAAAGTGGGACATCCTTGTCTCGTTCCTGATCTTAGTTGGAAAGCTTTCAGTCTTTTATCATTGAGTATGAAGTTATGATGGGTTTTCTGTAAATTCCCATTATCATGTTGAGGAAGTTCCCTTTTATTCCAAGTCTGTTGCATATATTTTTTTTAATCATTGAAGTGTGCTGGATTTTGTCAATTTTTTTTTTCTACATCAATTGACATGATCATGTGAGTTTTTAAATTTGTTCTGTTAATGAGGTATATTATATTGTTTGATTGTGCGGACTACTCTTGCAATCTTAGGATAAATGACACTTGGTCATAGTTATAATCCTTTCAATGTGCTGCTGGAATCAGTTTGCTAGTATTTTATTGAACGTTTTTGTCTTTGTGTATGTATTCATAAGGGATATTGGTCTGTAATTTTCTTGTGATGTCTTTCTCTGGCTTTGGTATCAAGGTACTGCTGGCCTCATATAATATATTAGAAAGTGTTCCCTCCTCTTCTATTTTTTGGAAACATTTGAGTAGTATTGGTGTAATTTTTCTTTAAATGTTTGATAGAATTCATCAGTGAAGCCTTCTTGTCCTGGGCTTTTCTTTTTTGGGAGGTTTTTGATAACTGATTCAATTATTTACTTGTTTTAGGTCTATTAAAATTTTCTATTACTTTTTGAATTGGTTTTTATAGTTTGTGTGTTTCTAGGAATTTTCTATTTCATCTAAGTTACCTAATTTGTTGGTGTAGAATTTTCATAGTATTCTCTTATAATCCTTTTAATTTCTGTAATATTGGTAGTAATATTCTTGATTTCATTTCTTATTTTAGCAATTTGAGCCTTTTTTTTCTTAGTCAGTCTAGCTAAAGGTTTGTCAATTTTGCTGATTTTTTAAAAGAACCAACTTTTGGTTTCATCATTGACTATTGTTTTTCTGTTTTCTTTCTTTCTTTTTTTGAGACAGGGTCTTGCTCTGTCACCCAGGCTGGAGTGCAGTGGCATGAACACGGCTCACTGCAGCCTTGACTTCCTGGGCTCAAGTGATCCTCCTGCCTCAGCCTCCTGAGTAGCTGGGACCACAGGCGTGCACCACTATTCCAGGCTAATTTTTTGATTTTCCGTATAGTTGAGGTCTTGCTCTGTTGCCTAGGCTGGTCTCAAACTCCTGAGCTTAAGCATTCCTCCTGCCTCAACCTCCCAAGGTGGTGGGATTACAGGCATGAGACACCACACCCAGCATCAGGTGGGAGGACAATGAATAGGGATACAAATGCATACAGGTTGGTAGATTGGGTGATGGCAAAAAAAAGTTCCTGCCTAATTGTTGACATATAAAGTAAATTGGCTCTGCTATTTAAATGTATCTTATAATCCCTTCTGTTTAGTGACTATCATGCTTTATAGTGATCAGATTTTGCCCAAGAAGCCATTTTTAATGTCTGTTTCTTAAAAAGAAGACAGAATTATCTCTGTGACCCAAGTATTTTCTAAAAATAGCATTCAGCCTCAAATATTCTATGTTCTATATGCAGAATCATATTATATGGATATCTAATGTACTTTTTTAAAGACTCAAGGACAAAAGAAAGTTGCTAGCATGATGGAAAGTAAAGATGTACACAAAAGAATACTTCAGATTGAGTGGGAACATAAGAAAATGGAGATGGAAAGGGAAGATCTAAATCAGAAGGCTTGGGATATTCAGATGCTATTTTTTTCAAGAGATCGTCAAAAGGTAAATTCTCCCTACCCCCCTACATAGTTTTAATTTTATTCATTAATGTATTCATTCATTTAACCAGTATTTAATAAGAAGCCTCTGTGATATCAAGCATATTCTAAGCCAGGAGTGTTTCAAAATATATCTGTGAGTTATTTTTCTTCCAACAGTTTACATTTGCAGCCTCCAGTTCTTCATGACCCATTTAGTAGAATCATTCTACTCAGAGCTAAGGATTTCCTGTCAAACCCGGTGGTCCTTCAATTCTCTGTAGCATTTAACCATCTTAATTTCTCATTCCTTTGGCTTTCATCACCCCAAATTAATTTTGCTTCCAACATGTCATACCACTCTACCTCTTTTACTGGATTCTCTTTTGCCTCTAACACTTCAATATAGCCGTTCTTCAAGATTTTGCCCTTAGCTATGTTTGTGTTTCTTTCCATACCTCTCCCTGGGTGATGTCCTCTGTTTTTCTAACTTCAACGATCACTCCTACAAACTAATCCAAGTTCTGTGGATTCCAAGCCATGCCCCATTTCTATAGTTTTCACCTCCCAGCAGCTCTTCTTAGTTTGCCTTTTTTGTACATCCCAAATCTACTTTTCAAGGTCTAGTTTAAATACCACCTTCTCCTTCATAAAACCTTTCTTGATTTTCCAAGCCTGGAGAAATTCCATCTCATTACAAACCACCTTTGAATTAGCATGACACTCTACATGGCTTCTGGCAACCAATCATATCTATGTGATCATTTTCCCATGAAGACTAGGACATGTTATCTATCTTTGTATCTCCCTCAGTGTCTTTAACTAGGACTTTGTTAATGTGGGACTCAAGTGGAACAACACTTAAATGTTTGGTGAGTTGAATAAATGAATTAATGAATGAGAAAATAAAGTAGGCATTTGTAATAATTGGTGCTTTGATGTAATAATTAGTGTACATGAATGTATTGATGGCTAAATACAGGGAAATATTATGGCACAAAAGCCAAATCAATCTTTTTTTGTTTTTTTTGAGATGGGGTTTTGCTCTTTTTGCCCAGGTGGAGTGCAATGGTGTGATATCCGCTCACTACAACCTCCACCTCCTGGGTTCAAGCAATTCTCCTGCCTCACCCTCCCGGAGCAGCTGGGATTACAGGCATGTGCCACCACGCCCAACTAATTTTTTGTATTTTTTAGTAGAGACAAGGTTTTACCATGTTAGTCAGGCTGGTCTTGAACTCCTGACCTCAGGTGATCCACCTGCCTCAGCCTCCCAAAGTGCTGGGATTACAAGCGTATGCCACCACGCCTGGCCAAGCCAAATCAATCTTAACTTGCATAGATATTTGTTATGAAAAACAGTAACTTTCAAAGCTAAAACAACCTTTATAAAGTCATCTATTGAAAGAGAGAAAAATATCCTTACATGTTTTTTTTTAATCTCAAAGTACCTAAATGAACCAAACTATGAGGCTCTGATTAGTATTCAGATTGGAATAATGGAACAAACCATTGCTGTTTTAGATAAGGTAAGTCTCAAAGACGTTGGTTATTATATCCTAACAGTTGTAAATCATTTGAGCAAAGTAATAGTGTTTCAAATCATGAATTTACCTAGACCCTAATAAAATCTTGGTTATTTACTAGTATTCATGAGGTAATTAAAAGTCCCTAAGTAGTATCTTTGCAACCGCAACTAATGAAATAAAATTAAGCACTTCCTTTAATATTAGAATTAACCCCTGGGGACATATCTGAGTGTAAGTGGATTTTCTATTTTACATTAGGTTAGGATTTATGTAATAGGAGTGTTGGTAGTCTTTCCTTGGCATTGGAAAGGTTTTATTTAATCATCACTGAATAAAAATGGTCAGTTTTTATTATGTAGCATATATTAGAAACAAAGCAATCTCAAGCTTTTAAAATATTCTCTCAGTTTAAGAATATACAAAATGTTTTTTCTAAAATTTGTTATTAACATACCATTCTACCTTTCAACAAATAACTCGAGTGCCTACTATGCCAGGCACTACAGATATGGCGGTAAGATGTTATCTTAATGATGATAATGTATTTAAAATATAAGAATAATGTCTTTATAGGATAAATTACATTTTTCAAAATTAATTTTGTGGGGTGTCATGGGAACAAAAATTTCAGATGCACAAAAAGAATGTGGAAAACTGCAAGAAACTACTCAAAAAACTTGGAAAGTTCAGCAATCAAAAAGATATAGCAAATTATGCCCTAAGCTGCAATCTACGAGAAGAGTTGGTAGCTGTCTCAGAGAGAAAAGACATCTGTAATGCAATGGGTAAGCATGCTTTTTTTTCTTTAACCAACTGTAGGTTTCTTTAAAAGTAATCAGTAATCCTAAAATGTATACAACAGTTAAAAAGCTATCAGCATTTCTTTAAAAATACATTGTTTAAAATAATTTCAACTTTTATTTTAGATTCAGGGAGTACATGTACAAGTTTGTTACTTAGGTATATTGTGTGATGCTGAGGTTTGGGGTACGGAATGATTCCGTCACACAGGTACTGAGCATAGTACCCCATAATTTTTCAGCCCTTCCTCCCTCCCTGCCTCCTCCCTCTAGTAGTCCCCAGTGTTTCTTTTCTTTTTTTTTTTTTTTTTTTTTTTGAGACAGGGTGTCCCTCTGTTGCCCAAGCTGCAGTGCAGTGGTATGATCTTGGCTCAATGCAACCTCCACCTCCTGGGCTCAATTGATCCTCCCACCTCAGCCCCCTCAAGTGCCTGGGACCACAGGCAGGAACCACCATGCCCGGCTAATTTTTGTATGTTTTGTAGAGAGTAGGTTTTGCCATGTTGGCCAGGCTGGCCTCGAACTCCTGAGCTCAAGAGATCCGCCCACCTCAGCTAACCAAAGTGCTGGGATTACAGGTGTGAGCCACCACACCTGGCCTCCAAGTGTTCCCTGTTACCATCTTTATGTCCATGAGTATCCACTGTTTAGCTCCCATTTATAAGTGAGAACATGTGGTATTTGGTTTTCTGTTCCTGTGTTAATTTGCTTAGGATAATGGCTTCCAGCTACATCCATGTTGCTGCAAAGGACATTATTTCATTCTTTTTTTTATGGCTGTGTAGTGTCCCATGGTGTATATGTACCACATTTTCTTTATCCAGTCCACTGTTGATGGGGCACCTAGGGTGACTCCATGTCTTTGCTTTTGTGATAGTGCTGCTGTAAACATACAAGTGCATATGCCTTTTTGCTACCAGCATTTCTTCCACATGTATGATTCTGAGTGCTGCTTCTGTATTTGAAAGTATTGATAAATAATCGAATTCCTTTATTCATTTTTGGGATAGGGTCTAAACTGACTTGTGAAAAGATTGTCAAAGAACGGTATGAAAACATGATGCAACAGCAGAAGTTAACAAATATTTCAAAACAACAAGCTGAACAGATTTCAATACTACAGACTGAAGTTGAAAGATTAAGAATGAAAACATTTCCTGCTCTTGTTCAAATGTAAAAACGCTGGCAGGAAAACACAAGGCCAAATCAATCATTTAAAAAATCATTTCATTTGGGTAAAATGATTTCCTTTTCTTTCTTACTGGGAAATTGAAGTAGCATGTCCTCTGAGTTGCATGTTTTAGATAAAAAATTGTTTAATTTTAGCCTTAATTGTATACAAATTTTTGTCCTGCATGAATAAATGTGTAAAATACCATGAATTGCTGTTTTTATTCAAGAATAAACAAGACTTGAAGTCAGAAAGTATTCAAGATCTATTTTACTCATTTAATCTGAGTTGGATCAAAGATATTTTCATAGTTATGGTATAGAAAGTCTTAAAAAGAAATTCTTTGCCAAACTAGCATTTCTAATTTTATGAAACTGTCAGAAAAGTTATGAGATTATGGGTAATTTTTATCTTTATGCTCTTCTGTTTCTCATTTTCTTCAGTAAGCATTTCTTTCATAATCAGAAAAAAATTACGAGAGTATTTAGATTATTCTCTGCTGCACCAATGAGAACAAGACAAATTGTTAGAGCTTTTTCCAAGCCTTGTATCATTTGTAAATTACAACATATTTTGGCCAGACACGGTGGCTCACGCCTGTAATCCCAGCACTTTGGGAGGCCGAGGCATGTGGATCACGAGGTCAGGAGATCTTGACTAACATGGTGAAACCCCATCTCTACTAAAAATAAAAAATAAAAATAAAAATAAATTAGCCGGGCGTGGTGGGTGGTGGCAGGCGCCTGTAGTCCCAGCTACTGGGGAGGCTGAGGCAGCAGAATGGTGTGAACCCAGGAGGTGGAGGTTGCAGTGAGCCGAGAATGTGCCACTGCACTCCAGCCTGGGCAACAGAGCGAGACTCCATCTCAGAAGAAAATTACAACATACTTTAGAGACATAATCTACATTTCTTTTATGTTGTAATAGAAAATTCAATTTTGTGCTTTACCCAATAGGGTTTAACCAACAGAAAAATACTTTCTTATTTCCATGAAGTAGTTTATCACTTTTAGATGGTGATAATTATATAATGAGATGAATAATTGGCCATAAAACTGCTTTGCCCTTCCATAACCTGTGGACTGCTGTCCACAGGGATCATGGACCACAATCTCCAAGTGATGTCACTGTCTCACTGTTCTGCAATTTATGAACTCAACGTTAAGTTTAATCCTCAGTACCATATCCAATATACACTGATGTAGATAAAGCAAGAGAGCTACTATAAAATCTTCTGTTTAGCAAAATAAATCTTTAGAAGATGTAATTGATCACCCACATAGTGATCTGTGCTGGATGGGGATGGTAAGGGAAATGATAGGACCAACACTTTGATGATTCCCCTCCTTTGTACTAGACGGACTCATGAAGTAGTCAGTTTGGCGTATTCAGTAGGGAAGTGCCCATGGGTACCATTTCCTACATCTGGGGTCCTTCAAAATTATCCCTGAGATGAGAGTTGTGGGGACAGACCCCAGGGTAGGGGTGCAAATACTTTATACTTAAGATGGTATTGCCAGAAGTTCTCTGTCCTGTTGGTTTGAGTCAACCATAGATGTACTAGACTTGATTTTTTTTACAATCTTTTCTGGTGACACAAACTCCATTTTCACCTAAGTTAGCTGTCTGGAGACTCCATTTGCTAGTAGTGCCACAAATTTCACTAGATAATGCTCTGTGGATTCCCAGGTCTTAACAAAGCAGCCGGCATCATTTCTATTTCTTAGTCATCAACCTTTGTTGACTCTGGCAATGTTCCTTGCTTGACTGCCTTACTTTGAGGCATGGATGGAGTGGGGCTTAGTGGGCACCTCTTGCCATCAAGCCCTATTCCAGAAGCCCTTTCAACGGGAGATACCTTCTGGTTTTGGGGCTTTGGAAGGACATGTGGGTCATGCACAGTAACTCCTCTCTTAATACTGTTCATGGTATTGACTCCTCTCAGCTTCTGCTGAACAGCAAATATATTCATATTTTATAGTCCTTTAAAATATTATTTATATTATCAACTAGTGATATAATTAACTGGATCAGACACAGTATGGCTTTATGCATAGGAATTAAAATTATAGGATCTATTCCTGGGCTTCAAATCTTGGCTCTGCCATTGGAGTTTTAAATAACCTCTTAATTTTGAAATAACTATCTTATATTTCTTCTTCTTTAAAACTGGAATATTCTAGTTTTTTAAAATTAAAAACAAGTGCTATGTTGTATTAGCTCTCATTTTTATAAGTAAAGCTGTCATAGTCAGTGGTTTTTAATAAAAGCATCCCATTAAATCCAACAGAGCAGCTGCTGTGCTGTTGGAACCTCAGCACCCAGTCAATGCCCTGGAAATCCCCATTACCATGCCCCTAAGCTTTCCCAGAACCAGAGTCTCGCTGATGCTGTATTTCCCCCAAGTGTATATATATGGGTGGCTCCAGGTGATGTGCCTGTCAGCAGTGGGCAGCTGCAGCCTCTGAGATCTGGAGAAATACCATAATGACCTACAAAATGCCAGCACCACCACAAGGGGCAACATTTCCCCTGCCACATTTAGGCCCCTGGTTGGCAGCAAGCAGTGATAAGAGGCTGGCTGATAAGCACTAGAACAGTAGAAGTCCACAGGGGTGCCCATCTAGGAATCCCAGTGCTAGAGGCAGCTCATATGATGTCTGGGCCAGTCTCCTCAGATTCATAAAGGCCAGCGGCACAGGAATTTGTGTATGTGGGCAGGGTAAGAGTTTACTGGCATGGCACTAACAATTAGAATGGACACAAAAGCAGGGCCCTGGCGTCTCCTGCTGTGCCAACCATTCAACACTGGTTAGATTATGTGGAGGGACTGGACTGAAAGTGGGATGTACTTGAGGGGGGTTCAGAGGAGTGCTAAACTAGTAGGGAAGTGCTTTTGAAAAAGCTAAGTAAAGCTGTTTTAACACTTAAAAGGACCCAAAAGCAGAAATCCAGAAAGCTCTTAAGAATGACTAGCAACTAAAACCAGGAAGCCACTGATCCATAAAATTCTCTCCTATCACCTCTGCCTTTCTCGGTAAGCACACTCACTGCCCTTAAGCATGTCAGCTCTGCTGCTTCCAGGTATATATACAACAGCTGCAGTCACAAAAAGAGATGGGCTTTCTTTTCCTGAGCTAAATTCCAAATTTTCAGAGACTGGCCCAGTTTGGGTCCTATCTCCATATATGGCCAAAATGATAGGTACAACTGTATAATTTGGCAGCAGAAACCCAACCTGTGGAGGTGGGTTCATAAATAGAATAACCAATCTAAATTTAACCCATTTCACAGATGAAGCTAGAAAGGCAAACAAATGCGAAGAACCTTATATGCCATGATACCTTCATGTGGGTGGGAGATAAGGAAATGTAGTTTTATAAGAAGTAGATGGTTTAGCCGGGTGTGGTGGCTCATGCCTGTAATCCCAGCACTTTGGGAGGCTGAGGCGGGCAGATCACCTGAAGTCAGGAGTTCAAGACCAGCCTAACCAACATGGAGAAACCCCGTCTCTACTAAAAATACAAAATTAGCCAGGGTGGTGGCTCATGCCTGTAATCCCAGCTACTCGGGAGGCTGAGGCAGTAGAATCACTTAAACCTCAGAGGCGGAAGTTGCGGTGAGCCAAGATCGTGCCATTGCACTCCAGCCTGGGCAACAAGAGCAAAACTCTGTCTCAAAAAAAAAAAGAAGAAGAAATAGATGGTTGTTTCACTAAATGATGAATATGCAAAACACATTTGAAGAGACAGGGAAGAATATGGTTTTGGACATATAAGTTTAATTACCTGCTAGACTATCAGATGGAAATATGTGGTAAATGGATGGAAACAAGGTACATAAACTTAGGAGGCAGAAATTTTTAAACTTTAGGGTTAGACATTCACCAGATTGGACAATTTTTAACATTTAAAATAAAACTTTTTGTCATAAAAAACAAATGTATTAAAACTAGTTTCCAGAACTGCCCAAATGACTTTTTAAACATGACTTAAATGTCGTTTTGACAAATCTATCCAAAATACTAATTTTCCTTTTAGAACTTAGTTTATAATTTATATATTAAAGTGCCCTTAATTGATATTCATTGGGATACCTTCCTCTGAGCCCTAATGGTTTTGGGAGGCCTAGGCGGTGGATCACCTGAGGTCAGGAGTTCGAGACCAGCCTGGCCAACGTGGTGAAACCCAGTCTCTACTAAAAATGCAAAAATTAGCCGGGCATGGTGGCGGGCGCCTGTAATCTCAGCTACTCGGGAGGCTGAGGCAGGAGAATTGCTGGAACCCGAGAGGCAGAGGTTGCAGTGAGTCAAGATCGCACCATCACACTCCAGCCAGGATGACAAGAGCGAAACTCAGTCTCAAAAAAAAAAAAAAAGTGCCTAAGTATCTTTTAATTAAGTTGTCATTCTCAAAGATATTCTGGAGCAAAAATCAGGAATTAAACATCTATAAATTCTTCTTCACTTCTGTTATAGTGTAGTAATTTATCATCTAACCCATAGTGGTCTATCAATTGAGTAAGGCTTAGTTTCTTGTTCTCTTCAGACACAGCTGACTGCAACTCATAAAGCAAGAGCTGGCTACAGCTTCTCCACTTCTTTATTAACAACTGTAACTGAGACAGATCATTCTGAAACAGAAAAAAAAACATGTATGTCAATAACTAGTCATGCTAGTTCAACTTAATTAAAGTTGTTAAATTAGTGGATGTGCAGGTTTAAAGGCTAACATACACAGGGATGAATGGGACTTCTATCTAGGAAAAAGTAGGATGGTCATATGTAGAATGGTTACAATGTCACTCAACTTGAGTTCTATGGCTATTTTGTTGGCTTAAGCTCTGGGCCATCTTTATGATAAGGGAAAAATCAAATCATTAAATAGGGCCAAAACTATGTCAAGAAGCAATAATACAGGGAAAAATCTACTGTATTACAACTGTACTTTTTAAAAAATGACACTATGCTTTCCACTAAATGTTGCTATGAACCTAAAACTGCTCTTTAAAATTACAATATTCAAGTTAAAAATATTTTTTTAGGCTGGGGATGGTGGCTCACACCTGGGATCCCAGCACCTTAGGAGGCCAAGGTGGGAGGACTGCTTGAGCCCAGGAGTTCAAGACTACACTGTGCAAAATAGCAAGACTCTATGTCTACAAAAAAATAATTTTAAAAAATTAGCCAGGTGTGATGGCACATGTCTGTAGTCCCAGCTACTAGGGAGGCTGAGTTGGGAGGATCACTTGAGCCCAGGAGTTCAAGGCTGCAATAAGCTATGACTGCACCACTGCCCTCCAGGCTGGGCAACAGAGACCATGTCTCTAAAAAAAGAATGAATAAATAAATAAAATATATTTTTTCAACATTCAATACTCCTAAATTTTATTTTTTAAAAACTCCAGAATTTCAAGAGAACAAATGAGATACACTATCCCATCACTTATTCCACGTAATTCAGGGAAAATGAGCTATTGCATATATATGAATTTTCCAGGTAATAAAGATTATTCTCCTTCCAAGTACCCAAGTTCTATTTAATTCAACCTATATGGGTTGAAATCTAAAATATAATATATATATATATATATTTTCTCAAATAAAATGGCTGAATCACATTAATTATTTGGGGGAGACACAAGATCATTACTAAAAATACCTTTTATTGTACTCTACAGCCCATTTTTAGTTTTACTAATTCACTGTCAGCTTTCACTTCTGTTCCCATTGTACTTGCATCTAACATTTAATACTTCTAATATTGCTGTGGGCTAGAAACTAGAGAGAAAAGTTTAACTGCATATTAAATCAGAGCTGAGATTCTTAAAAAGTTTTACCTGGTGTTTAAGGGCCTTTTCTACTCTAAATCTGGAGTTGAATTAAAGCTGTTGGAAGCCAGGTTTCTGAATATTTGGCTTATTGCTTATTATGGTAAAAAAAAAAATTCTATTTTTGAAATTACTTTCCTGTAATTTATGTAAAAATAAAAATTATGCAATGGTCCTGAAATTCTTCTCACCTTTGATCTATACATTTTGACTAGTTTTAGCCTCCGAAGAAGGTCTTCTTTCTCCTGAACCTGCTTCACCAATTTGGCTTTTTCAGCGTTTAATCTTTGTTTAGGAAGCTTCTCACTCACAAACTCATTTTGGAGAGCACTGCATGATCCAGAATCAAGTGACTGAGATTCACAGACATTGAGATTCTTCAAAGTATTTTTCAAATTTGTATTTTCTTCAAATTCACTGTCTATATGTTTAAAACTTTCTTGAAATTCCAAACAGTTTTCCTCTGTGGAAGATGCTGGTTTCTCTGAAAAGGTCTGATCATTTTCTTCACTCTCTACTTTAAGACGTTTCACCACATTGTAAGAGGAATTAAATGAAAATCTTGTTTTCCTTAATCTTTCTCTAAGTGTTGCACTCATAGGCTATAAAGAGCACAAAACATTAAAAATGTGAATCAAGAAAAACATTCTTAATGTCAATAAATCACCAGAAATAAAGTCCTTCCATTTCTATGCTAGACACCACTAGATGGCTTTCTGTCTCCACATCTAAAGAAGGCATCACAAAATGACTTTAATTTCTGGAAGCTCCATTTGTTTTATTTCCTTTTTACTTCAGCAAGATCAACACCTTTCCAAAAGTGTTGAGAAGTTTATCCCAGTAATCAAGGAACATTTGTTCAGTAACAAGCACATGCCTGATAGTACTCCAGGTGCTTCAGAATTACAGAGTAAGGAAAAGACCTAGACTCTGCCACTAAAGACCTTCATAATAATATTGCACAGATGCAAACTTTCTCCATCTGGAGTATTGTAATAACCTAATCTGAAACTAACTGAAATGAATTCATTCAAGAGGAAAATATGGAAGGGGGCTGGTGGGTGTCATATATGTCACCTTAGAAGAAAAACAAAATTATTTAATAAAATGTCTACTTATTTATGCTACACATTATGTTAATTAACAACCTTCCGTAGAATTTAAACCACCACTGCCACAATACTTAGAAACACATAATGGATCCACTGGAAGAACAAAGATTTTCATACTTGTTTTCGGGAACTATTTGTATAGGGAGATGATGGATTCGCAGAGGCCTGAGGAGTGCTAGGTAAAACCACAGCTGAGTCTGACGGACTTTCCATCTTGAAAGTGAAATCTTGGTTTTTCTCTAAAAAAGAAAAATTATAAAATAATCGAATTAACCACACCTCTCTATAGTCGACTTTTATCAAATAATATATTGTATTGGTGTACAAAGCATCCACAAGTAAGCCAGATATTTCTTCTAATTTCACTTTGTAATTCATTCTTGCTCTTTTTGCAGTTTTCCATTTACCTTCCCACATAGGGACCACTAAGTTTTTCATGATACATCAACCAGCTAGTATCTCATAGTCACAAGACTCTCCTTGTTTTCGTTTCATCCACCAAAATATATTCAAATTCTGCCTTGGAAGTAGGGAAGAATAACAGCTTTAGATAATCAGGAATTCTTTATTATGACAGCTTCATAATTCAAGAAGCTATAGCCGAAACCTTGACTCAAAAACAATAGGACCTGAATGTCACCCATCCTGAACTCTACAAGCTGTGACTAGAACCCGTTACCCTGCCGGCCCGAGGCATAAGAAACACAGCGGAGACGCATTTAAGCCCGTCTGTAGCCTTTTAGTTTAAGCGGCCAACAGGGACTGAAAAGGAGAGTGGACTGAAATTGCTTCCTCCGACAAAGGCATTAACTTTTGAGGGGTAAACTAGGGGCGGGAGTCGTCCCCTCCTTCCCCCCGTTGCAGAAAGCCCACTAGTTCCCCGGAGACCCCAGGCATAAGGTGAGGTTGAGTTCCCCAGACCCGGAAAGGGAGCTCAACTCGACTCCACAGCCGACTCCCGGGGAAGCCCAGGTGTCAGGGATCCCCCCTTCCCCTCAGCAGGGTACCTCCCTCCGCCATTCCCAGCGAGAGCAAAAAAGCGCGCGCACCTGCGGCCGTAAATCGATCCTGTGGCAGGGGCGGGGCCGTGCGGTAGGCGGAAAAGATGCGCAATTGGCCAGATTGCCTGACGCGCGAGGCGCCGCTTCACTCAGCGACTCAGAGCGGTGGGACTGCGCGCGCGCCTCCGCCAGCGGGTGGTTGGGGCGGGGCTTGGCCCACACGATGGGAGGCCCAGACGCATGATTGGCAGAATTAACCGGTGCGCGCGGCTCTCCCCGCCCAGCGCCCGAGAGCAGCGTGAGTGCGCGCGCGCGCGGCCGCGATCCGCAGCAGGTCTTCGGGGCGGGCGAGGCTGAGCTTCGGAATGTTAAACCAATCCTGAGGGGGGCGCGCTTCCGTTCGCGGCTTCTGTTGCCTTATTTTCAACCGCCTTCCCTTCAGGCTTCCTTGTTTTTGTGCGTCTGTGAAGTGCGCCTGAAAGTGCCTCTCCCCACCCCCGCCAGCCCGCCGCCTCCATTCTCTGGCTCCAGTCAGTCTCCTCTCCCTGCTAGTCACAGTGAAGGCTTTACTCAGACGTGGGGCGGCCAGAAGCCGCACGGCTGGCTGCATGTTAGATTTACAGCTTGTGGACTCCCCAGAGGCAGAGACCACAAAAGAACAGCGTTGGTTGGGTTCCAGCCTATTCCAGCGTGGTGGTTCCAGAGACCACAAAAGAACAGCGTTGGGTTCCAGCGTTGGGGTCCACATTTCAAACATGTTAGAAATCTATCCGAGAGTCCCGGCACTTTAGCTGAGCTCATCGCTAGCTTTTTTGGCTGCCGCAAACTCGGCGGTCCCGTCGCGAGGTTTTTTGTTGTTGTTGTAAACAAAAAACCGTTTCTGTACCTCAGTATGCAGGCTCCTTAGCGTGACCTCAAATCTTTTACTCAAATCTGAGGGAAAATGTAGCCCAAGGAAATTTGTTGTGGCGCAACACAGGAAGCAGAACAATCACTACATGAGATTGTGTCGGTCCAAAATTCACGTTTGAGACCGACAGGGCCCTTGCTGGCTACCGGGCAGCAGCATCCTCAGTCGAGAAAATCCCCCCCCCGCGCCCCGCTTCCAGTATGGCGAGGTTCTGTTGCTACGCGACGACAAAGTTAGCTACATTGGGTGGAGCACTGGGTTTAGTGAAAGAGTTGAGTAACTTCTGAGTCACGTGGAAGTTGGGAATTTCCAGGGGCCAGTGTTTTCAGTCCTCTTATTGAATGGCCATTTTAAACATTGATATCGTCTCTTTACTATTAATAACATCTGACAGTAGTGGCTTAGAAGTGGCCAAAAGGGAGTTACCTGAGTCTTAAGCAGTCAGGTATAATAATTACAGAACCTGAGGACTACCTAAGGGAATGATTAGGGGCGTACACGTTACAGTCAAATTGTCTAGGTTCAAATCCTGGCACCATACTTTATGTGCTTCTTAATGAGGTGATTCTGTGCCTCAGTTTCTTCACCTCTTAATATGGGATTGGAGAATTAAATGAGAACTGGTGAGAGGCAGCTGGAACAGAGCTAGGTATCTAGGAAGCACTCAGTAGTTATTTTATATATGCAAGTGTATTCACCATTCCCTAATGGATTTAAGGGAATGTATCACCTTCAGTTTCACCCCTTGATTTATCTCCCACCCCCCAAAAAAGCACATATATTTTAAAAAGATGCTGTGATCTGTAAGATCCCACACAATATAAACCATAAATAGCAGAAAATGTAGAGCCTCACATATGATTAATAATACATATTTCACTCCTAAAATTTTTTAAAATTACATAAGTTAACCCCAAGGAATTTACAAAGGGGAAGAGAGAACTCATGATTTTGTGATAAAGGTGTTACTCACCTCACCAAGCTGCAGGTCTCAGTCTGTACATTTATTTCTCCCTTTACTCATCCATTGGCATCAGTTAATCTCAAAGAAAAAGCAGAATGATTTGTCCTGACACTAGAAGCACAGTGCAGACTCTGCATATTCTTTATACCTCCCGGCATAAGGGCGAGTTGTTTTTATGAGTCTCTAAAATCAGCAGCTCCCAAATCCTTTTACCGTTACAACCTAAGCTTAGAGCTGTGTTTTTCCTGGCTGCAGAAAGGAAAACAACATTTTGCCTTGCAAATGTTCTGACTTGCTTATTATGTGAACTGGTATCTTAAAATGGGATTGTTTGGCCAGATTTTCAAAGAACTTCAGAACATATACTCAGAAAAACCCGTATTTCAGAAATGTGCATTTGTTGATCTACATCTCTGGCTTTCATGCATTATTAGAACTGAATTATCTCCCTGTACAGAAGTTTGTATTTTACTTAACCTTTTCACATAACAAACTGGAAATCCAGTTTCCTCTCGGCTTCATGTCAGAGATCTGGAATATAGCCCCCATACTTTTAATTGTACCTTTAGATAAAGCATAGCGTACATTTCAATGTCTTAAGTGACTTCAAATCTATTAGCCTGTGAAGACTTTGGTGTTTCTGACACAGGACATTGTATGTTTCGTATGAAACTTTTCAGGCAGGAAAAAATACTGGCCCAGTGAGCCAGGAAGCAAAGACTCCTTACCCTGCCATAGAGAACAATTTAAGCAGTAGACTCCAATAATAATAGTAATTAATATCAACTTAAGTCAGGCTTTCCTTGTGTTTTAAAATTTCTTCAATACCCAAGGCTACTGTTGGCTACTTTGTTACTCATCAGGGAGTGGTAAAATGCTTCGTTCTTGTCTGTAATTATTGTTGGTGGGATGATGATATAGACCTAAAATCTTTATGAGGTTTTACAAAAAAATTTTTTTTATTCTTATTCTTGTCTAATGGCAAGAAAAGAATAGTAAATAGTCTCTCAGTCTCTCTCTCTACCTATACAAAAAAGCACAAACACACGTACTTTTTAGCCATAATTAAAATGTTCATTTTAATTTTTAAATTCTCAGCTTTAGTATTATTTTTTAATCTTAACAATAGTCTCAAGCTAACTTAAATTATATTACCATAGACTTTTCTGTATTGACAAAAATTTTTGTGTCATGTAGACATAACTAGTATCCATAGGTTTTTTTTTAAAAGAAACGAATACATAGGCCGGGTGCAGTGGCTCACGCCTGTAATCCCAGCACTTTGGGAGGCCGAGGCGGGCTGATCACAAGGTCAGGAGTTCAAGACCAGCCTGGCCAATATGGTGAAATCCTGTCTCTACTAAAAATACAAAAATTAGCTGGGCGTGGTGGTGGGCGTCTGTAGTCTCAGCTACTTGGGAGACTCAGGCAGGAGAATCGCTTGAACCTGGGAGGCGGAGATTCGGAGATTGCAGTGAGCCGAGATCACACCGTTGCGCTCCAGCCTGGGCGACAGAGACTCCTTCTAAAAAAAAAAAAAAAAAGAAACAAAGATAAAAATATACGCTTCTGAAACTAGGATTAAAATCCACTTGGGTGAGGAATTGTGTAAAATCCACATGATTCTGTTGATTTATGATGTCCATTAGGACAAATTAAACAAACTAAATTTAATACAAATTTATAACACAAGAAAATCTGCCAAATTCTCTTAACTGACTTTCAACACTTCTTATGACATTTGTACATAAGTTGAAAATGCCCTTCAAAAACTCTTCTATGAGTTTCTCTTGCCATGAATTCAAGTCGCATCTTATAGACCCATCCATGGTAAAGTGATGTTTTAGTGCTGTGTAATTTCATAAATTTCTCTTTGAGAATAATTGACAAATATTTCTATTTTTTTCTCTATTACCTTAACGATCTCACATGGAATTCCATAATGTGTAATGGCTGCACTTGTAGAGACTTTGTTACCAAACATTGACCTTTATGATTTAACTATTTCATATTCTTTAGCCAAGATATGCAAGAGAGGGTTTTATTATCAACTTCAAGAGAAAAGGGCCCTTGACATAGCTGTTAGGCATGCCGGAGCGATTGCCTCACTGAGTAGGATGGTTACTTAGAACACGGAGATACGGAGAGGATCAGTATTATTAGCACAATGAAACCTTTCCATCACCAGGCAGCTAGAAAATGTATCTAATAACTAATATTCAGGACAATGTACTAAACAAGAACCTAAAAAGCTCCCTTCACCTGAATTTCCTGTCCTTTTATTCTCCCAGATCTGGCATTTTGTCAAATCCATTAGAGACTAGAGAGGCAATAGTGTCTATGATTCACTGCTGTTACTGGGTGTGTTCCCTTGGAGAAGAATAGAGTGATTCAGGTTAGATTAATAATGGTGAGGGAGAAGGTAGGGCAAGTGGGTGGAGGGGGAGGGATAGTGGCATAGGAGTTAGATTCTTAAAAGGTAATGGGAATAAAAGTACTGCTCAGGGCCATGTTCTTCTCAGACTCTTTATTAAATGTCACTCCTGCATTTATTTGGAGGAAAAAAAAAGCATTACATGTCAGCAAATCCTTAAGCAAGAGAACATGTCTTTTAATCATCTTTAAATACCTTGAAGTTTGAGGAAACAACCCCCAAGATAATTTCACAGTATTGAAATCTGTTTAAAGTGCCGACAAACAAGTCATCTCAGTTTTCTACCCTTGCCTCTCATTCCTGTTTCAGTCTTGAGGGTATAAAAGGTTTCTTCTTGGTGGTATTTTTTAGACGGGGGAGCAAGGGTGTTTAAAGGTGCCAGGAAAATAGGGAATTAAGAGACCATATTCTAGGATACTACTGATCTTCGTGCTTCTGCTCTTCCACCTCTTGGCAAACTTTGATGATAAGTATAGTAGAGAAAATCTGTGAATTTAGCCTAACCAGAAATTTTCTGGCTCACGTCAGGAGCTGAGAGCTAGAATGAAGTTTAATCCCTTTCCCACCACTCTACCAATCAGGAGAAAACACTACGTCTCCACTCCCAAAGGCAAAGTAACATTACATTAACACCATCAACCTTTAGGAGCAGCGTCAAACCTGCTGAATGCAGAGCCCCTGACCAGAACTTCTGAAGCCCCCGTGAGGACCAGGTGGAGAGGCATGATCAAAGACGGGCAAGGTGGCTTGAGCAAAGACACCTCTTCATGGATCCTCTCCCTTCCACCTGCAAGATTGTGTCGAGTGCTCATGTCCCCCATACTGTGTCTAAATTATACCACTTGTCAGTGACAGCAACATCACTCAGCTCTCCACCTCCATGACACATCTGTGGCTACCCACATATAATGTATAAAGTTTGATGATGATGCTGGTGATCCTCAACTGGCAAGTGATATTATTACTTTTTGATACTAAAAATATGTCTTTCTTACAGATACTAAAAATATGTCTTTCTTACAGAAATAGGATCTTGGAAAAGAAGTATAGAATAAAAAATCATTCACTCTGACATAGTCCTCTAAGATTTCACCCAGCTATTTAGACTTTATTAGCACAAGATTAAGACAGATAATACTTTTCCTTCAACAATGTAAACCTTTAATTCAAACCTTTCCAAACTGTCCCACCCCACAAAGTTTCCCCTTATGTTCCACTCTGGTTGTTATATCATCTATCAAGCACATTATCTAAGCTATTTTTCACTTGATTTAAGTACCTACCTCTGAGTCAACTTGTCCTCTTCTTACAGCCACTTTGAAACCTTTCTTTTATTATTATTATTTTAATCAAGAGAAGGGTGATTTAAACAATTGTTTTCTAACACTCCCTACTACATGGGAATGATGGCTTAATATATCTCCATTTTACTGTTTACTCCCTTTCTTCTGCTCTGGTATGACATGAATCTACACCCTTTTATGAATGCTGGATATTGAAAACACACCTCTGTTGCTGAAGGTCTGGTGTGAAGGGAATTCATACTAAGCACAGGAATAACACCCACCAGCAAAGATGGTCTTTAGGATGGTCAGGCTTTTGGAGGCCTGTCATTTGGCAAACAGCATCCCATGATACCAAAGAATACAGGTTTGGGTTTTGGAGGCCAGGCAACTAATTACGTCCAGATTTGTTAAGCAAATTCCTATGAAACTATGAGGTACCGATAGGTTAAAAAAAAAAAAAAAAAAAGCAAGCATTACTACAGGTTGGCATTGTCTGAAATGCTTTCCTAGTCTAACTCTGGAGAATTAAAATAGAGATTTTAAACCTGCATGTACAAGTTTAGGATTTTTGTAAAGCTGCCAAATCTTTAATGTAACAATAATTAGCATAAAGCTTGTGTAATTAAGTTGCCCTGAAAAGAATGAGTTTGAATCTTTTGCAAGATGTCTCTCTTATTTAAAAAAGCAGTTTTACCAGTATATATTATTTTCACTCAGAGCTGTTTCCCACAGGTTTTGAAGAGATGTAAAGCTGACTGTGTTTTATTTCAGTAATTGTCTGCAAGGATAGCAGTTTATTTTCAGTCACTAGTTTTTGGAATGAATCAATCAACCACATTTGCCCACCAATATGTCTATGAATACTTTTCATTTTTATAGTTGAGAAGAATCAGTTTTATTGCTCCCCTCAATCTAGATAAAATTCCTTCGTGCTCAGAATGGGATTAAGTCCCCAAATCAAATGTGAGAAAGAGAAATTCAGACATATCAAGCACTAGATGCAGTAAGCCAGTACCTATAGTGACTTGATTTTGATGGGTAAAAAATAGCATGTAATCACAGGTTTGAACCACTACAGGTAAGAATTACATGGACTAATGAGAATACTTATGAAGCTGAAATTAAACATTTGCATACTAACTAACAGTTCTCAAGGCAAGTCTTAGAAACCCCTCAACTTCCAATCAATAACTGCTCAAACTGAGATTACAGGAAGCTTTCTTGGACTACTGTGTTCATAACTGAAGTCAGTTGTCTTGAGTGTTCAAATATTTTCTGCCAAGAATTGTGCAGGAGGAGAGGGAAGAATTGAGGAGGTAGGGGCAGTAGGGAAGGAAGGGAGGGAAGGGGGCTATATTTACTACATGTTTCTTGCCCTTAAGCAGAACAAAAACTAGTGTTCCAAAATGATGTTTTTCATAACAAATTACTGATTACTAGGCTTGTTTACTCCATACTAAAGTTATTCTGCAGATTTGACCTGGGTTTTAAGGCCTCAGCATCAGCTCAAACACCAAGAATCCTGGGCACGCTTAATTTGGGCTAAATTCTGACAAAGTCATGATTTCTTTCTTAATGAGAAATGTATTCGTCATGTTCTTAAGGCCTTTTGATACATTTGAGTTAAAAGGATTATGGAAGTTCAAGATTTTGTGTTTAATACAGGTATAAGCATGCATTACAGATACATGTGTACTTTCTTAGCACTGGTGGAATATTATAATGATCAGGTTAAACTTGATTATACCTTGTAACTTAGATAAGCCATTTCACAGTAGGTGAAATTTTGAATGAGTAAAGCCATAAAGCCACAGACCTTACTTATTTGTTTTTTTTTTTTTTTTTTCATTCCAAATCTTGTCTTTGTTGAGTTTTTTTGCTGTATGGAGTCAATTGGGGATGAAATGGGCTGTGGTCACAAACTGTGAAGGTGAGGTTGCTTAAATCTGTACTAAACATGAGATAATCATGGGTTGTCAGTTTAAATTGAGGAAAATTGGGAAGTCTTTGGAATTTTTGTTTGAATACAAGTTTTGGTGAATAAAAATGACACTCATTGATGTTTACAACATTTTTCTCCAAGTCATTCATTCTCTTGGAAATATGGCTGCAGCAAGGGATAGGCCTGAGTCAGAGCATCTGAGTTATTTACTGACCCTATCACTAAAAACTAACGAGCTGTATTGACTTTGGGGGGTTCAATTCAGTTTTCTCATCTATAAATTGTGAAGAGAAAAGTGATCTTTCCCTGGCTCTGAGTTAGTTCCTACAATTCCAGGTGGGGTCATTTTGGTACACCTGAAATTACCACTTCCCACCAGAGTGTTAAATGAAGTTACGGGTAAAATTCTCTATAGAAATAACCATTATGATAATATGATGGAAGATGTATTAGGTGCTGTAGACGGAAAAATAAATATATTCTTTAGGAGTTTACAAATGGACACCAGTATTTATCACATTGATTAAACCAGAGCCAGCTCTGGGAAAAACTAGCACACAGAAGTTTTTGTTTTTTTTTTTCCAGTGACCTTTCTTTCCTCTTCGCAGGCCTCCCACATTATCCTAATCGAACCCTTTCAAGCCCAGGGTTTTAGGCTACTCTCATCAACCACCTCTTGCCATTGCAGGGCATACTCCAAGTTATTTTGCTTACTTGTACTGTCATCTTCTGGAACTCATGTCCCTGTCTTTATTAACACTGGATGCATAGAGTTGGTGCTCAATAAATGTTTTGAATGGGTGAATTTCAGAATGAATTGATTAATTATTTAATCAGTAATTCAGAAAGTGAGCATCCCAAAATAAGAAGAGGAAGTGATGCTGTAGCAGTCTCCAGGGAAGAATATTTTTGATGCAACTGATACCTTGTGTAACAGCTTCTCTAAGGGGAAAACTGTTCCTCAAATCTAATATAAACCGTTCAGCTGTATGTTTTCTAATTATTTCTTATCATTGCTTTGTATTGTTCTGTCATTGGACCAAGGAAGATTACTTTTACCAGACTAGAAACATACAGGAAACATGTGGTTCCTTTCCAGATGATGATATTGGCCATCTTTGAAAGTGGTGCCTTTGTTCACAATGGGATGGGTTTTAACAGCTTTGTCTTTTCTCCCCCTTACCCAAATCTTCTGTGAGAGGTAGTATAATTTTTAGTCTGTGTAGCCAGGAAATAGAGTGAAAGTAAATTAAGTTTGTGGAAACCAACCATAACTTCAGCCTAAGGAAAACAAGTCAGATATTACAGCAGGAAATAGATATATGTTGGGTGGTATACAAAGAATACTAATTTTTATTCCACAATGCATACATGTATCAAAACATCACATTGTACCCCGTAAATATATACAATTATTATTTGTCAATTAAAGTAAAATAAAAGTTTAAAAATGAATCCTGATTTTATTAATTCTGCAAACTGTGCTGTATACCTGTAGTACAACTTCTGAAAAAGGTGGAGAAATGTGCATCCTTTCAGGGATAACATAACAAGGTAAATAAGTTTAATTTTTTTATCTGAAAAATTGAGGTTACTATTTGATTTTCTTCATTTCTCCACTTTATTTGCCTGCATATGTCCTGTCTCTCACTCCTCTTCAACATCACTGCTGCTGTTCGAGCTCAGGTCCAGCCTGCCTGCCTGCAATAGCCTCCTGACTGGTTTCCTGACTTCTGGGTTTTTCTTCCACTTTTCCTATACCATCCCATTTCTCATGCCCATCAATTCTCTACACTGCTGCTAGAAAGATCTTTTTAAAGATATTAAAATCTTCCAATAACTCTCAATTCTCTTTAGGATAAATCCAAATTCCTTACCAAATCACTCATGCATATCTTTCCAACTTCATCTTGTGCCACTCCCTGCCACCCACCCTGCACACCAGCTTTACCGAATTATGTGCTTAAAATTCCCAGAATGGACCAAGCTCCTCTCCTTATCATCTTGCTACTTCCTTCTGCCTGGAAGACACAGGCATGTGTATGTGTGTGCGCACACACACAAATGTACACACACATATGCTTTCATCACCTGGCTAATGTCTACTCCAATCTCAAGATTAGGACCTTGTGTCAAAATCCCCACTCCCTCTCACTTGCTTCCCAATGGCCCACATTCTCCTTTTATTCTTTTCCTCCTCAGAATCTTCTGGCTAGAGTTAGATGCCTTTCCTTTTCCATGGTACCCTGTAGGTGTCATAATACATATTTACCATGAGCTATTTGAGAACAGGAACTGTGTCTTTGATCTCTATATCTGCAACCCCCACAACAAAAAGCTTAGCAGATTTTTTTTGGGTTCAAGCAGAAGATGAAGTGCTAAGAATACACAGGGAAAGTCCTAAGGGAGTTCAGAGAAGATTGAGTCAAGGAAGACTTCGTGGAAAAAATGGTATTTGAGTTGTATTTTATTGTCGCCACAATAATCTCGATAGACTCTTTTCGCTTTTCAATCAACATTTTTAAAAAATTGTTAAAACTAACTCTGTAAAATATATTCTATAAGTATACAAACCTGGTAACAGAACACAGATCTCCCTTGGGTGATATAATAATAGATTTATGATTGAGAGGTTTTTAAACACTTTCCTAAGGGCTGATTGACAGGTATATATAACATCATAGGTTGGTATTTTCCACTCTTATTGGGTCATAGAGAAGAAAGCACAAGGTAGCAGTTAAGGGAATGTACACTAGAGTTAGACATACCTGGATTTAAATCTCAACTCTGCCCTTATAAAGTCTATTGATGATAATCTCCCTAAATGTTTCCTCATATACTAAACGGGGTAATAATATCTACTCCATTAAATGTGATGCTGCAAATAAAGCGATTAACACAGAACTTGGCATATAGTGACACTCAACATAATGGTGGTGAAGGTCGTTGTGGTAGAAGTGGTGGTTACCTTGAAGCCAGGGATGGAGATAGGTGGATGGGGCAGTACAAGAGAGAGATGCTTGATGACAGTTTTCTTATCTCTTTCATTTAGGCACAATGTCTCAAATTGTGCTCCAAGGGCACAATGGTTCTATGAACTGGTCTAAGGTGTTTCACAGGTAAAATAAAATTAAGGTGATATTTTCCAGGCTTGTAGAAAAAATTAAAAAGAAGTAGAATGTTTTCTATTTTAATTTTTTTCGATGTCCTTTCCTTAAAACTTTAGTGTCTGCAAGTGGATGACAGCAGATAACAGAATGGATAGTTTACAAATAAATATTAAGAAGAAAGATCAGTAAACTGATTTATTTAGTTTTAGTTTTTGTTTTTTTGAGACAGGGTCTCACTCTTTCACCCAGGCAAGGCTGCAGTGACACGATCATGGCTCACTGTAGCCTCAACCTCCCAGGCTCAAGGAATCCTCCCACCTCAGCTCTCCAAGTAGCTGGGACTATAGGTGCATGCCACCATGTCAGCTAATTTTTTTTTTTTTTGAGACAGAGTCTCGCTCTGTAGCCCAGGCTGGAGTGCAGTGGTGCGATCTCAGCTCACTGCAACCTCTGCCTCCCAGGTCCTGCCTCAGGCAATTCTCCTGCCTCAGCCTCCTGAATAGCTGGGATTATAGGCACGCACCACCATGCCCAGCTAATTTTTGTATTTTTAGTAGAGATGGAGTTTCACCATGTTGGCCAGGCTGGTCTTGAACTCCTGACCTCGTGATCTGCCTGCCTCAGCCTCCCAAAGTGCTGAGATTACAGGCATAAGCCACTGTGCCTGGCCCATGCCAGCTAATTTTTTTAATTTTTGTAAAGATGAGGTCTCACTATGTTGTCCAGGCTGGTCTCGAACTCCTGGTCTCAAGTGATATTCCCTCCTTAGCTTCTCAAAGTGCTGGGATTACAAGTGTGAACCACCATGTTCAGCCTGATTTATTTTAAATGTTTGTTCAACATTCAACAAATATTTATTTTTTAAAAGGTTGTGTGTGTATCTGTTTTGTAAAGATTCATACACATGTAATTTAGTCATTTTTCTTGCTAGTATTATTGCTCCTAGTTCATTCAACAAAACCAAATATGGCTGCATTTCATGCTGTTCTGCAAAGAGCACCATGACGTCCCCATGCTTGACCAGGAGTATGTGATCTGCTAGCCATCATCCCACTGTCTGAAGCTTTGGAGCCCTGGTTTTTAAGACATACTTTAGATTTTATTGCAATTTCTATGGAAAGCCCAATCATTCCTTTCCTCATTCCTCTTACATTAGAGGAGCACTTCTTTACAGATACAGATTTTAAAAACAAAGAAAATCTTTGTTGCTGCATGTATTATTTGTGCCATATACCATGAATAAAAGAGTACGTCTATACCTCCTGGAGTCACTGTCCATTGGGATATTCCAAAGAGTTGGAATAAGAACACATGGGAAATAGAAAACATACCCTGCTCCAGCCATACTCTGTACAAGTCATCCCCAAGAAGAGAAAACCAAGCTGTTCACAGTTAATGATTGAACAAGGTTTGGAAACCACAGATGATTAATTCTTGACTCATCTTCCTCTCAGAAATCCTCTGAGACTCAGAGTAACTTGTCTATTGCTTGTTCTTGATAAGGAATGAATCTAGAACATTTCTATGTGTTGACAAGCCTGACAGATTTCTGAGGACTGTAGGGAGTCAATCTGTCAAATAACCCTGGGCAGCTCTCATATCATGGTATGGCTCAGTGTTACTTCTTCCGTGTTTATCCTAGTAAGTCTTCTATGTTTATTCAGAGGTATGGAAGATAAGAGATTGGGAAGGCTCATTATCCAGACACAAATGGAAAGGCTTAAAGGACATGGCATACGTTTTTGGACCCAAGTCCAGTTTTTCCAGGTGGTCTCACCCTGCTGAGGGTCTGGATGAACCTTACTTCAGTTTAAATGAAGTTTCATTCTAGCAAGTGGTTATTTACATTCAGGAAGCTATCATAGTCATAAATTTAATTGGTATTTTTATTAATTGTTTGTCTCAATTGCTGGCTTTACTGCATTAAAGTGAATCTAATATGTGAACAAAAGCTAGGAATAGCAACCCATCTTCCTAATGCTTCTGTACCTAGACCACAGTTGTATTCATTTTAAAAAATCTAGATGGTAAGCTCTGGTTTGAAACAAGAATAATTCAAAACGCTTTTGGAAAAGTTTCCTGGAAGACTCATCTTCTTTATTGTAGCTATGTGAACCCTGATATTGTTAAATATACCACAAAGAAATCCTTAAGTCCACAAAATCTTTTTCTACACTTTATCAGCTTTGCACTTAAGGAATTAGAATCTTAACATTTTTTATTCCTAAACAAAAAAACTAGTCAAATCTCTAATGTATACAAAGAATGACCAAACTGGGTTTATTACAGGAGTGCAAGGCTGGTTTAATATTTGATTATCAACATATTAACAGAATAAAAAAATTGAAAGTTATATGACTATCCAAATAGATGATTAATAAAAAGCATTAATAAAGCTCAACATTCATTCATGTTTTTTAAAAAAGCAAACTAGTGATTAAAAGGAACTTCTTTATATGATAGATTTAATCAAAAGATCTACGATAAATGTAGTAATGAAATGTTGAAAGTTTTTCCCCTAAACTTGAGAATAATAAGGATGCTTGTTATTATCATTTCTATTCATCATTGTACTGAAGCTCCTACAAAGTATAATAATAAGAAAAAGATACAAAATGAATAAGAATTGGAAAGGAAAAAATAAAACTCATTATTTGCAGGAGATATGATTGAGTATATACAAAATCTGAAAGAATATACAAATAAATTGTTCAAAGTAATATGTGAGTATAGCAAGTTTACTACATACAAGGTGAATATAGTAAAAAAATCTATTAGACTTCTAAAAGAAAATAAAATTTCAAAAGACATTGTTTCCAGTAGCATCAAAAACATGAAATACCTAGGAAAGACATAAAACCTCTACACAGAAAACTATGAATGATGAACTATAAAACATAAAAATGATGTATTTATAAAACATGTAAGTATATAAATGATAAACATTAAAACATAAAATATATGTTCATAACGCATATAAACTATAAAATACATAAAACACTAAAACATTATTACAAAAAATTATAGACCCCAATAAATGGAGGCATAGACAGGGTTCATGAACTGGAAGACTCTATGTTTTACAGATGTTGATTCCAGCTTGAGCACAGTGGCTCATGCCTGTAATCCCAGCACTTTGGGAGGCCAAGGCAGGCAGATCACTTGAGGTCAGGAGTTCAAGACCAGCCTGGCCAACATGGTGAAACCCCATCTCTAGTAAAAATACAAAAATTAGTCAGGCATGGTGGCACACACCTGTAACCCAGCTACTTAGGAAGCTGAGGCAGGAGAATTGTTTGAACCCAGGAGGCGAAAGTTGCAGTGAGTGGAGATCACGCCCAGCACTCCAGCCTGGGCAACAGAGCGAGACTCTGTCTTAAAAAAAAAAAAAAGATGTTGATTCCCCTCAAAATGATACATGGATTTTGTGCCATTTCAATTTTTAAAAATTCTTGACAGGTGTGTGTGTGTGTGTGTGTGTGTGTGTGTGTGTGTGTGTATACGTATGCAATTGACAAGCTGATTCTGAAGTTTAAAATGCAAAGACCCAAGAACAGCCAACATGTCTTGAAAAAGAACAAAGGGGGAATCACTTGCTTTACTAGATATCTTAATAGCTAGGCAGTGTGGAATTAGAGCAAAGATAGATGAATAGCAGTGAAACAAATAGAATCCAGTAACATACCCTTGCATGTGTAGGGACTTCATTTGTGATAATGGTGGCACTGCAGAGAAATGAGGGAAAGAATTATCTTTTTATAATGGTTGTAGGTCAATTGAATAGTCATATGGAAAAAAACAAAACTTGACCTATACCTTACATCATACACAAAAATCAGTTCCAAGAAGTTCTAGACCCAAATGTGAAAAAAAAATTTAAGTGACAACTTAGGAGATTTATACAAAAGAATATCTTCATGACTTTGGGAAATAGAAGGATTTCTAAAGTAGAACACAAAACACACTGATCATTAAGGAATTAATTAAGTGGACTGTATTAAAATAAAGAATTCTGGGCCAGGCACAGTGGCTCACACCTGTAATTCCAGTGTTTTGCAAGGCTGAGGCAGGAGGATTGCTTGAGCCCAGAAGTTTAAGAACTGCCCGAGCGACATAGCAAGACCTCATCTTAAAAAAATTTTTTTTTAATTAAGAATTCTGTTTATTGAAGACATTTTTAAAAGTTGAAATGGGAGCCACAGACTGGGAGAAGGTATTTACCACATATATAGCTGATAAAGCAAACGAATAAGAAAAAGACAAACAATCCCAACTTTAAAATGGCCAAGAGAATTGAATAGGCACTTCACAAAAGAGAATATCCAAATGATAGCCAATCAATGTATGAAAATATAGGAAACCTCATTAATAATCAGGGAAATTCAAGTTAAAACCACAAACAAATACCACTACACACCCACCAAAATGGCAAAAATGAAAAAGATTAACCATAACAAGTGTTAATGTGGAAATAGAGCAACTGGAACTATTGCGGAAAATCTGGCATTATTTACTAAAGTTAATATATGTACCCTAATATTCAGTAAGTATACCCCTAGGTATAAATCCAGTGAGAATTTTGTACATATACTCAACAAAAGACATGTCCAACAATGTTTGTAGCATCATTTGTCATAATAGTCAAAGTCTGGAACTAACTCAAATGCCATCGACATTGTGAAAGCAAAATAAATCTCAAGACCCCAAAATCACTAAGCCAAAGGGAAAAGTCATGCTGGGAACTGCATCAGGCAAACCTGCCTCCCATTTTATTTCTAAAAAGAGAGCTATAAAGATTAAAAAAAAAAAAAAAAAGCTACGTACCTTCCCCACATTTTGCCCACTAGGAAATTCCTTGTGGGCCCTAAGGTCTTTACCCTAAAATGGTTCTGTTGAATTTTACCCTGACAATGTATATTGATTGCTTATCTTCACAGGTGCGGGGCAGAACTGGGAAGTCATCCCTCTGCTCACCTGACACAAATGCATTATCTGACTGCTTCCTCTAATGTAAAATGCAGATTCACTGAACTAGGTGAATGTATAAGTGACTATTTCTCTACCCACCTCTCACATGTAAATTGTTATTTGGTCAAAGGCTGATCAAAGACTCAAAAGAATGCAACCATTTATCTCTCTTATCTACCCACATCTTTTACAAATGTCTTCCTCTTTCCCCAGTATCCACCCTTTCCCCTTTAAATATTGATGCCCTCAAAATCATGTTTGGAGAAAGGTACAGGCCTACTTCCCTGGCACGCATCCTGAACCTTGGCAAAATAAACTTTCTAAATTGATTGTGACCTGTCTCAGATACTTTTGGTTTACAACATAGAATATATAATAAATTTAATGTAATACATTCATACAGCAGAAAACTTCACAGCAACAAAAATAAATTACACACAACATGGATGAATCTCATAAATATAATGTGAAGCAAAGGAAGCCAGATACAAAAGATTACACACTATGTGATTCCGTTTTACTATTTCAAAAGCAGACAAAATTAATTTATTGTGTTAAATGCTTCTAAAAAGTGGGCTTCTGAGGTGCTAATAACATTTTATTTCTCGCCCTAAGTGGTGGTACGTGGGTGTGTTCACTTTGTGATTATTCATAAAACTCTATACTTATAACTAAAATATCTCCCTGTATGTGTATTATTCTTCCATATTTTAAAAAAGTATTTTTAAAATGTCTCAAGATTTATTCCTTTTTTGAACTTAGACTTTTTGAGGCAGCAACAATAATATATGTTAGATACATATTTTACATATAAAGTGTTTTTCTCTTTGTTTTGTTAATACACTTTATTTTTTACAGCAGTTTAAGGTTTACAGAAAAATGGAGCAGAAAGTGTGAAGAGTTCCCATATAACCCTTTACCTCTACCCCCAAACACAGTTTTCCCTACTAATAGCAACTAGCATCATTACTGTGGTACAATTGGTGAGACAATATTGATACATTATTATTAACTAAGGTCCATAATTTACACTAGAGTTCACTCTGTATTGTACATTCTATGGATTTTGACAAATGCCTAGTGATACATATCTACCATCACAATTTGTTAGTGTTTGGTTTCTAAATTCATACCATTTCCATAATAATTATTCCTTCACATTACTGATTGATTTTATCTTCTTTATAATTAGTGCTATTTCTGAAAGAGGATGCACATTTCTTTTTATGCCATTAGCCAATGGCTTAAGTCAAGTAACATCAAGCTAAGGATTTAAGGCCAAGTTCTTGGGCAAAAGATTTACCCAGGCCTAAAATTTCTAGAATAGCCGACTTTCCACTTACCTTTGGTAGTTAGAAGATGTGTCAACATTATAGTGAAAGATTCTATTACAATGCTTCAGGGAAGACCTGCCATGGGCCATTCTACCCTTGGCCTCCACATTAGGGATCACTGAGTCATGCTCTGAATCAACATAAGACTCAAGAGAGGATGTACAAGCCCTGCTCCAGCACAGTTGTCTCAAAAGGTCTAGTACACTTTAATAAGCAAAGATCAACCACATCCAACCTGGAGTGGGTCTCACAGCAAATTTCTTCCCCTGCTCCTCCCTCTGTATTCGAAGCATCTCAGAAATGACTAACACCAAGTAAGGAAAGGAAGACAACTGTTCTCACCTGTCTTAGTTCACAAAGAAGAAGCAGGTAGCAGTGGCTTCTAATAAATACTCAAGACTAAAGGAAAAACTCTAATGACTGCATTTTAGTCTTAGAGTGAACTCCGTTGGACCTGTAACTATGAGCACTGGATAAGAGACAAACCCACTTATTAGTCCTTAAATATAACAACATACAGTGAGTCTTGATTATATGTTGGAAGAAGAGAAAGCAGATGTACTCAAAGATGTTTTAAAACAACCAAAACTGAACTCCAGCCTAGGCAACAGTGAGACCCTATCACAAAAACAAAAACAAAAACAAAATGAAACCACAACCAAAACACTTGTCACACAAACAAAATCCACAAATAGAACTGATGAATTGTAAAGTCAAGAAAAACATCAAAGGCAGCTCAAAGTTGTCATGAGTTGGGCTTGCCAACATTTTAAACCAGATGATATAAAAATGACCACTAGCACAGTCTCTTCATAATGCTAACTTTACTAAATCAAAGCACCTTACTAAATCAAAGGGAAGGATTAGATTGATGTTTACTCTAGGCTTAATGAGCTTTTCTTCATGGAAATATTAAAACAATAAGATTATGGAGAATTATATAGAGCTCTAAGAAAATGAAATTATCATTAAACACTTTAATATCTATTCATACACTTACAATCATGATGATAATTACCTACTCAGTAAAACAATGCCTCCAAGAACTACAACAAAGCAACGTGGGTGGTACCTGAGTTTCAGTTACTACAAAACAGAAAGTCAGAAAGTAAACTCTGGACCTTGGTTAATTCAGAATTTCTCCTATATCATACTTCTCTGCATGAAGCTCACAGGAGCTCTCAGAGTAGCCTCCTCTATCAGTCATCTTTGCTGTTATGTAGAGATTTCCATTCACCATATCACAAGTCTTGTTTTAAAATGGTAAATATATAAAATTATCCTTCTTTTCTGAACACACTCTTACCTGATGGTAAATCATGACCTGTGCATTCAGGTGTAGCTGAAAGGGTCTTTGAGATACCAACATGCTTCCCTTTATGAGGCCAAGTTGAGTCTGCTCTCTGATAAATGCCATTAGCTGCTTTCTACAGGGTAGAGTTCTCAGAAATGTTTAGGTAAATAGAGCTGCACAAATATCAACACTGACAATGGAATACAAGGTTTATCCATGGGGTTAGCATGATTTGTGTACTATCAGGACCCATGTAAAAGTGGGCTCTGTGCTCATTCTATTTGCTGTGTGGTGTCATTTGCTTTATTAAGAAAGGATGTGTTGTTTTTATATGAAAATAATTCTTGCTTTTGAACTCCAATGTTTTAGGACAATCCTTTGAGTTGTATGGAGTTGTTGTGTCCTAAACTACACTGTTGCCATATTTCCTGTGAGCACCATGCCTGAAGCTGTGTTGTACTTTTAATATTCATTTAGACTAGAAACCTAAATAAAACTCTTGATAGAGTTTGAACAGTGTAAATAATTTATTTCTAGGAGTACTTGTACCATTTGCTTAAAAGATTGCAAAAAAAGAATATGCCTCAAGTCTCTGGGCCATCTGAGGGTTCAGCAAGAAGAGACCTCCTGTTGCTGACTGAGGGAGTTAGTTCACAAACTCTTGCCATTTACATTTTAGTAAAACTCTTCATACCAATAGGAAAGGCTCTCCCAAGGATACCAGAAGCTGTGGTGTATAGATTGATAGCACGTGAGGACAGCTACCTTAAGAACAGCAGGTGCTTTCACTGGGTTAAAAAAAAGACTCACAGGAGTCTTCTAAGCTTCTTTTCAGAACAAGCGTTGAAATAAATAATTTCTCTGGAAAATGCTTCTTCCATAGATCTAAGCACCCTTTAAAACTACCAGATGTCAGCATGCCAAGCTCCTTACAATGACGGAATATTTCTTATAGTTTTCCCTGTGGGCTAGAAAGTTCCTCCCACAAATAAAATCAAGGAGTGCATGCATCTTGCCTTTACCTGAAAATGTCTTGAGGTTACAGTTATGACATGTCATCACTCAAGGAGACTAGAGCATCAAACTTAAAATAAGCTGGCAACAGAACCCCAAAAAGAAAACATAGAGTAACTTAACACTATTGTAAAAAGTCCGACCAGAAGAGCAAGGCAGGGCTTGCCCCTTTACCTACCTAAAGCAAAATGGGGATTGTTCCCCATGGGAAGGACAAATGAACCCCAGCCCCAGGCTCATTTCAGAGCCTCATCTCAGGAACTGTGAGGTTAGGAATGAGGCATCTGATCACACTTTTTACTTTGTCCACTGTTATAAGGAGTCATAGTTCATAGTGAAAAAGAACTCAGCTGCTATTATCTGCAGGAGTGGCTGAAAAGGGTGGAAGTGTGCCCATAAGTCCTTTCTCTCATCACACCCACAAAACATTCAGAGTCTAACCCAAACTGCATGCAGTTAAGAAAACACTGGAAAGGAAGCGGAATGAGATGAAAAATTGTTCTTTTCTATCAAGCTCCTGTTTGGAGGGCTCTAGATTCTTTCTACCCCTCCTGGTTTGGGGAAAACCAACCTAAAATAGTCTTCTTACTCTTAGCCACCTTCCTCTTCTCCTTTTCCCTTGTTCTGGCCTTCATGACTTCTTTATTTTACTGTTTTTTTCTCATTTTTTTCCTGTCCTTCCTTTCCTCATGTCTCTACTCATTCCACTTTCAATGAATACTTATAGTGAGCCCAATACAGAGAGGCCCTTCAGACACAAAGATGGCTACAACATCAGAGTCATGGCCAAGTGGAGGAGAGGGAGGAGGAGAAAGAAGCAACAGGTCTGGTTTTTAACATGTTGAGTTTGAAGTACTTGTTGGACATCTATGGAGGTAGACAGTAGTGGTTGGGAATGCTAAGCAGGAGTTCAAGAAAGAGGAAGTTTTATTGAATACTACATATATTGTGTTTGGAGTTGAGAATACAGTGAAAAGATAAAACCTGTCCGTTTTTCCAAGGGCTTTAAGAAAACAAGCAAGAGCATTAAAGTGTTTGAGGTGCCCAGATAAAAGCATGGGCAGATGCTGAGGAGATACAAAGCAAAGCAGTCAGATCAAACTGAAGTGGGGGAATGGGAAAAGCCAGCCAGTTCCTTGGCTTCATAGAGCCAATCAGCCAGGAGGGTCTCTGTAGGCATTATGTGTGGGGTTGGCACTTGACGCTCTGTTGATGCTAAATTGTTCCAGCCAGGCTTACCCATGGAGTGTTAGCTTTTCAGATTTGTGTTCTCTCTTCTCTAACTGGATATTGATCTTCCCTTAGCAGAACAGTCTCCATCTCTAGATGGGGAAGGGAAACCCATGGCCTCCTTCCCATGAGTCTTAACACTATGCTGATTTGGCAAAATAGCCCATGGTCTCTTACATTTCTTCCTATTTTATAGGCCCAAGAATAAACCCAAGGGTGTTCTGAGATAAGTGTACAGACTTAAATAAATTTGGCAGTCTGATTGGCTGCAAAAATTTTCTGAGAGAATAAGAAGATCATTGCCATGGAGTTTTCTATCTTGTGAGATCTAATGAAATTAACTTTCTACTTCAGAAACACTTTTCAGTCTTTGTGATGAAATCCCTTTGACCATTAACTTTTCAGATCTTGGAGCTAATGGAAATTCTCCCACCCTACCCCACCCCAACTCTATTTGTGTGAGCATCAGAGAAAACTCCCATGCTTTTCATCAGCCATCCATTTGTGTCTATTCCTCCTAGCCTAAAAAATCCTCATAAGCCAATTAAGTAAATTAAGATTTACATAAACAGCTTGGTTCTCCCAGTCCTTCCTCAGCTGCCTGAGTTAACCTAGACAAACTAAAAATAGAAACCCAAAAGACAAATACTTGGTGCATTTTTAGCCCTTTAAAGGAAAACTCCCCTTTTGTGCTTTTTCTGTGGCAAGGACATTGTCCTCTACTCACAAGTTATTGCTAAAAAAACAAACAGCGTTGCACACTGGCATGGAGTTCCACATGGGGTAAATCCATACAGCTGCAGTCAACTGGGATATCTTTTCCCAGTGATGTCTGGGTTTGTTTCTCCAGGTTTTCAATTTAGATTGTTCACTTGGTTTCAAAATTACATATTAAAATGTGTAATTTAAATTATGGTCATATGTTATGAATCACTTCTTGAACCTTATTTAGGATATTCTTGCAAGTTCCACAAGATGATTATAAATACTTATCTTGAAGTTAATGTTGCTTCTTGTTTGTTCTAGGAAGAGAGAAGAATTGCTTATTGAACGTTTATGATATTTAGCTCATTTAAAAATTTAATTAAGTATGTTAGCTGCAGGCCAAAGAGGGAGGATTTGAGATATTCCAAAATAATAACATTTTATTTTAAATGTTAGTATCTCATTTCAGGTACTCTTCCTGCTGTTGCTGTTTCACGTAACATTGATGAAATGAACACAATCTGATTAATGTATGGTATATGGCAAAAAACATTACCTTATGAAGTATATTTTATTACGTGCCATCCTAACTATGCTGCCAAGTATTCTGTAAGTATATAGGCTAGCTGAGCCTCGTTCTTACTTCCAAGAGGAATGAGTGGATGGTAAAGACCATCAAGAATAGGATTATTCTGTCTGGGTGCAGTGGCTCATGCTTGTAATCCTAATACTTTGGGAGGCCAAGGCAAGAGGATTGTTTTAGCCCAGGAGTTCAAGACTAGCCTGGGCAATATAGCAAGACCTCATCCCTACAAATAATAAAAAAAATTAGCTGGCATGGTGACACATATCTGTGGTTCCAGCTACTCAGGAGGCTGAAGTGGGAGAAGAATTGCTTGAGCCCAGGCAGTCAAGGCTGCAGTGAGCCATGATCACACCACTGCACTCCAGCCTGGGTGACAAAGCAAGACCCTGTCTCAAAAACAAAAAACATACAAACAAAAAAACCAGAACAGGGTTATTCTATTTAAGTTCATCATCACTATCACATTTCACTGAGAATTGCTGAAACTTGCACAGCATTTTAGTGGCATAGATTTGCTCTGTAAATTTTTGATAATTCTTTAAGCTCCTCATGATTTAGGATAGCTAAGAGCCTGGAAAATTATTTTAAACAATTTTACAGAATGGCATAGGAAAAACGATCAAGCAAACAAAAAGCTTTCATACTAGTCCTGACTCTGCCATTAACTACCCTCAGCACATTATTTAGTTTACCTTCTCATTTTGCAAACTAGGTGACCCAAACTAGGTAATCTGTAAGGTCTCCTTGAGCTCTAATATTTTATGATATTAATATTAGAATTATGCCCACTTTTACTAAAATTACTCTCAAAGCTCCTAATATCTTCTGAGAGTAATCTCTTCATAGTACTTTTAAGTCGTGGGTGTCTACGTGGCCTTTATCAAGAGGAAGTTATAGTCTTTATATATGGGGTGAATCACTCTCAGCCTTTGTAAATGTGAATACCTCTCTGTGAAGTCAAAATATTTTGCATGTAACTTGATATATTTTGATGTAACTTGTACTTCTGTAATCAATTGATTGAAAAATTAGGCAATGCCAGGGCGCTACTCCAACTCCAGTAACACTTTAAATGAATTTGTGTTTATTATTCATAACAGTACCTACATATATTTGGAGCATACTATTACTTATTATTATGAACCAGTGAGGATGCTTTCAAATTTAATAACTGAAAATACCAACTCAAATTGGCTTAAATGATAAGGAAGTTTATTATCTCACACACAAAGAATCCAGAGGTAGGGTAGTCCCATGGTTGTTTATTCAGGCTCTCAATGTTGTCATTGAGGAGCAAGGATGTTTTCAATCCTCATCTCCTCACTGTGGTGATACCCTTGTGAGTGTAATGCATTAGCACGTCCACATCACATGCAGATGTACCAATGTCCTGAAAAAGAAAATGGCTGTTTCTGCTTTTTCTCCTTAGAAGCAATAAACTTCTCCTAAACATCCTGAAAACACTTTTCCTCATGTACCATTGGCCAACAAATGAGTCACATTTCTTCCTAAATCCACCACTAAAAGGAATGGATGAAAATTAACAATTTTGGGGGCAGAATGGGAAGGTAACCACTATGATTGCAATAATGTATAATATAATATATTCGTAGTCCACAGATAGTGCTTGCGCACAGATTCCTTGTCATAATGCTACATGTACTGAACACTTCTGCTCCCAAACATTCTGGAAATTCTTGGTCAATTCCTCACTCTAAGACCAAAGCCCATTACTGTTGCTACACTACTAATGATTTGTATTCTGTGGGGAAAAAATGAAATTAATGGTTCCTAAGTAAATCGCCCTAACTTGTGTGTATGTCTTTCCTAGAGGATACATCTCAAATATTGCAACAAATAGAACATATGATGCAATTCTATAATTTCAGTGAAATGGACGAGCTCTTGAAAGACACAAGCCATCAAAGCTCTCTCAAAAAGACATAGATAACCTGAATAATTCTGCTTCTATTAAGAAAATTTTATTTGTAGGTCAAATCTTTCTAGAAAATAAAATCCCATGCTCAGATAGCTTCACTGAAAATTCTGTCAAACTTTTGAGAAAGAAATAATACCAATTCTACACAAATTCTTCCAGAAAAATAAAGGAAAAATGAGCAATTCCCAGCTTATTTTATGAGACCATTATTATCCTGACCAAAATAAGGCAAAAAATTTACAAGAAAGAAAAATCTATAGACCAATATCTCTCATAAACAAGGACACAAAAGCTTTTTGTAAAACATCAGCAATAAAATGCAGCAATATATTAAAAGGAAAATGTGTCATGTCCAAGTGCAATTTATTCAGAGAATACAAGGTTGATTCTACATTCAAAAACCAATCAATGGATAGAGAGGCCTTGTCTCCAGAAAATAAAAATAAAACAAAGTAAATAAATCCATAGGAGTTATATCAGTGAAAATGATGGAGTAAGAACCTTTTTTTTTTTTTTTTTTTTTTTAAGCCAGAGTCTCACTCTTATTGCCCAGGCTGGAGTGCAATGGTGCAATCTCGGTTCACTGCAACTTCTGCCTCCCAGATTCAAGTGATTCTCCTGCCCCAGCCTCCCAGGTAGCTGGGACTACAGGTGCCCACGACCATGCCTGGCTAACTTTTGTATTTTCAGTAGAGATGGGGTTTCACCATGTTGGTCAGGCTGGTCTCGAACTCCTGACCTCAGGTGATCCACCCACCTCAGCCTCCCAAAGTGCTGGGATTACAGGCATGAGCCACCACACCTAGCCAAGGACCTCTTAATATTTTCTCTTCTGTGAAGTAATGGGGGGAAGTGGGAAAAATAGTCACAACAACTTTTTCAGAACTCCGAAAATTAACCAAAGTCTTGCAGCAACCTGGGAAGTATTTATTCAGGAAAATGGCTCAGTAAGAGCAGCAAGCTTTGTGGCATTTTAACTTGCCCTATTCCATTCCCTCTCAACTCTGTGGTATCTTTGAAAACCAATAGCCCACAATCATGGTGAGAAGCAGGAGGCTGGCAGCCACTGGAGTGGACAGAATGAGGTCGGAGTTCCTTCAAAACTGTATTCACAGAGCACTGTCACTATTTGACCCGTCTGGTGGTTCTTTGGAAGATTCCACTTACAAGATTGTCTTTATTTGACCTGTCTCAGAGCTCATTCAGTGTGAAAAGCCTTTTCCGTGGGGCATTTGTCAAAAACAATTCAATGCAATTGTCTAACATTGTGGCTACCCAAGGAAATCGATAACAGTTGAGGGAAATAAGAGGCTAAACAAAAAGTTTAAAAGGAAAAACTGGGGATAAAATATCCATAGTGGCTTTTAAAAGTTTTAACATATTTCTGGAAATCTAGAAGACCATGTACATGCATAGACGTGTACATATCTAGGGCTGTGTGCATGCTCAGGAAAGACCTAAGAAGGCCCTATGGATGACTTTGAGGCTCTGTGATAGCAGAAAGTAAAGGCTAAGGCAGAGCTGTCAACTGGCTGGCTGAATCTTGAATGTGTGTCCCTGCATGCACACAGAATCGCTTGGCAAAGATTCAGAGACTTATTGGTTCAGGGCATTTAAGGAAATCTCTGTCCAATTATTAACTGACCACTGACCTAACTGGGCAAAGACTTTAGTGGCCACATATAACAAAGAATACAGACTTTACAGAATTAGTCCAGGAAAATCATGGCCAAAATATAAGAAAAAGTAGCAAACAACAAAAACAACAAAATCTGGAGAGGGAGGAGAATCTGGTTTTCAGAGTTGCCATATTAATTATTTGAAATGTTGAGTTTTCAAAAACAAAATAATTATGAGATATGCAAAGAAACAAGAAAGTATAACCCATATAAAGTTTTAAAAAGCAATTAATAGAAATTGTCTTTGAGAAAGCCCAGACATTAGATTTATTAGACATAAGCTTTAAATCAGCTATTTTCATATATTCAAAGAGGTAAAAGGAACTATATCTAAATAACTGAAAGAAAGTATGAGTACAATGGCTCACCAAACAGAAAATATCAACAAAGAGATAGAAATTATAAAAAAAGAACCAAAATCTGTTGAGGGAGGGGGTATAAAGGTAAAAAAAAGATATAAATGTATTTATTATCACTGAAATGCACACTTAAAAGTAGTAAAGATGGTAAATCTTTTTTTAAAAAAATTTGAGACTGAGTCTTACTCTGTCACCCAGACTGGAGTGCAGTCGCGTGGTCACCACTCGCTGCAGCCTGAACTGGGCTCAAGTTATCTTCCCACCTTTGCCTCCTGAGTAGCTGGGACTACAGGTGTGCACCACCATGCCTGGTTAATTTTTAAATTTATCTGTAGAGTCATGGTCTTGCTTACATTGCACAGGCTGGTCTTGAACGCCTGGCCTTACGTGATCTTCCTGCCTTGGCCTCGCAAAGTGCTAGGATTACAGGTGTGAGCCACTGTGTCCAGCCAAAAAAAATTTTTAAAAATAAAAAAAAGAGAATTTGCCAATCTGTAAGCTCTGTGAGATGTAGCAGTAAATAGTTAAAAAGAAACAAAAAGAAAAAAAATTTTTAAATAAATGTAACCACCATATCAATAGACCAAAGAAGACAAATAATGTAATTATTTTAATAGATGCAGAAAAAGCATTTGACAATCAACAAGCATTCATGATTTTAAGAAACCAAACTCTCAAGAAAGTAGTAATGAAGGGAGTTTTCTCAACCTAATAGTGGGGATCTACAAAAATCCTATAGCTAACATGATACTTAATGGTGAAACACTAAGTGTTATTCTTCCCAGATGGGACCAAATCAAGATGTCTTCTCTTACTACTCTATTCAACATTGCATTGGGGATTCTAGCCAGTGCGTAAAAAATAAATAAAGGGTATTTCTTTATTAGGAAATAAGAAATAGAACTATTCACAGATGACATGACTGTCTATGTAAGAAACTCCAAAGAATATCCAAAACTGTACTAGAACCATTGTTTAGCAACATTACAGTATACAAAGTCGATATATAAAAACTAATTTTGCTTCTACATATCATTGATGAAAAATTAGAAAATAAAGATTTTTTAAAAAGCATTTTAAATAGCACCATAAAATATTAAGTACTTTGGTACAAACCTAACAAAATATGTGTAAAATCTGTTTGCTGAAAACTATAACACTAATAAGTCAAAACGATATATGTAAATGGAAAAATACACCATGTTTGTGGATTAAAAGACTTACTGTGGTTAAGATGCCATTTATGTCCTAAATAGATCTATAATTCAATGCAATCCCAATATATTTACAAACAAGATTTTCTGTGGAAATCAAATTTATATGAAAAAATGAAGGAACTAGAATAGCCAAAACCCCAAAGTTGGACAATTTACACTTTCTCGATTCAGAGTCCGGAACGTACACCACTATGCAATGGAAAACATTCATAGGCTCTGTACTTTCTGATTTCAAGACTTAGTATATTGTTACAGCAATTAAGGCAGTATGGTATTGGTGACAGGTAGACACATAGATCAATGGAACATAACAGAGGTAAGAATAAATCCTTACTTATGTGAGTAGTTGATAAATAAATCCTTACTTATGCGAGTAGTTGATTTTTGACAAATTTGGAAGGACGATTCAATGGAGAAAGGATAATCTTTTAAATACATGGTTTTAGAACAAATAGTCTTATATTTAAAAATGAAACTTGAGCCAGGTACAGTGGCATATGCCTCTACTCCCAGCTGCTTGAGAGACTGAGGCCAGAGGGTCACTTGAGCCCAGGAGTTTGAGCCCAGCCTGGGCAACATAGGAATATCCCATTTTCTAAAAAAAATTTTTAAATTTTTAGAAACGAACCTTGGTCCACACTTTGCACTTTATACACAAATTAGCTCAAAAAGGTCCATAGGCATAAATGTAAACCTGAAAATACTAAAATTTTGAGAAAAAAATATATAAGAAAATCCTTGGCCAGGTGGGGTGGCTCATGCCTGTAATCCTCACACTTTGGGAGCCCAAGGCATGTGGATTGCCAGGTCTCAGGAGTTTGAGACCAGCCTGGGCCACACGGTGAAACCCTGTCTCTACTAAAATAGAAAAAATTAGCCAGGCATGGTGGTGCGTGCCTGTAGTCCCAGCTACTCGGGAGGCTGAGGCGGGAGAATTGCTTGAACCTCAGGAAGAGGGAGGTTGCAGCGAGCCGAGATCGCGCCACTGCACTCCAGCTTGGGTGACAGAGTGAGACTCTGTCTCAAAAAAAAAAAAAAAAAAAATCCTGTGAATGCAGGTTAGGCAAAGATTCCTTAGACATGACATCAATAATATGATTCATAGTAGGAAAAAAAATGACAAATTGGACTTCCTCTCCAAAAGACCTTGTTAAGAAAATGGTCATCTAGCTGTAGACTGGGATAAAATATTTGCAAAAACACCTATCTGATAAAGGACTTGTATCCAGAATATATAAAGAACTATCAAAATTCAATAATAAGAAAACAACCCGGTTTTTAAATGGGCAAAGATTTGAACAGACACTACCAAAAAAGATGTATGAATGGCAAATAAGCATGTGAAAAGATGACTCACATCATTAGTCACTAGAGAAATGCCAATGAAAACCACAATAAAATATCACTCCACACTTATTAGAATTGCTAAAATGGAACAAACTGATAATGCCAAAAGCTGACAAGGATGCAGAACACCTAGAACTCTTATACACTGCTAGTAGGAATGCAAATGGTATAAAACTTTGGAAAACTGTTTGCCAGTTTCTTATAAAGTTAAATATACATTTACCTAGGCAAGCATTTTACTCCTAGGCATTTACCCAAGAGAAAGGAAAACTTATGTTCATATAAAATATGTACATGAATGTTTATAACAACTTTATTCATAATTGACAAAATGGGAAATAATTCAGATGTCCATAAACATATAAATGTATAAAAAAATTATTGTTCCACACAATGGAATATTACTCAATAATAAAAAGAGATAAATTGTGATGCTTACAACAACATAAATGAATCTCAATGCTAGGTCAAAAAAGCCAACTCAAAAGGTTACAGATATTGTATGATTTCACTTATATGACATTTTGGAAAGGTAAAACTGTAGAGATACTGCCAGAGGCTGGAGATGGGAGTGGACCACAATGGAGCATAAAGGAATTTTACCGGGCAATGGAACTGTTCTATATCTTAAATATGGTGGTGGTTACATGACTATATGCATTTGTCAAAGCTCCTAGACCACTAAAAAGTGAATTTTACCAAATGTGAGTTTTCTGATTTGCATCTGATTCTGACAAATTGCTGACACCAGGGTCCTCAAAAACACATATTGGAAACCACTGGCATAATGACAGTTCAAAAACTTTTAGATGACTGTTATAATCAGTAGAATGTTAAGTCAATGAGTATGTCAGGCAATAAGACCTGATTCTCAGCATGAGTTCATGTGCTACAGATATATCCTTGAGGAAAATAGTGGCAACCACAAGCCAGGTAATAGGGTGTGGTCTTTATATTAATGAAGATAGTCCTTGTGTAGACATGTTTTGTGAAAACTAAGCACATCTCCTGAATCATGGCCTGCAGCATAAGAGAATGCTTATCCTTATGCAGACTTTTCAGCTCTCTGGCAAATCCATCTATCAGGTGGCTTCCAGCTGTTTTGCTGAAATTTTTTGTTGCCCCTCCAATAGGGATCAAGCCTAACACAAATTTCAAAGAACTGGTCTACTTATATAAAATAATCAGATTTTGAGAGCCTATCTTTTTCTGTGAGCAGTATTAAACTTTTCCTCTTCTTGCTGCTCCTGACATCCCTCCCATGTCATTTCTGAGCAAATAAAGTACAGATGACTTGGCTTGCCTCAGTTCTTGGAGAGGCTTAACTCTACCAGGGTGGGTAGATAAACACTGCCAAGCATAAAACAAGAAGTGACTTCCCATCCTGATGGGAGGATTTTCATTTCTTCTGCTAGTAAGGCGAATCTTTTGGAATCAAAGGGATATTTTTCTCTGATTATAAAGGGTGTCCTAGTCTGATTTGTGCTGCTATAACAGAATACCAGAGAGTAATTTGTTTAAAAAAACATTTCTCACAATTCTAGAGGTTGGGAAGTCCAAGATTGAGGGGCTGGCATCTGGTGAGGGCCTTCTTGTTATGTCATAACATAGCAGAAGGCCTCATAAGGGTGAGAGAGAGAGACGGGGGCCAAACTCATCCTTTTATAAGGAATCAACTCCAGAGATAACAAATCCACTCTTGAGATAATGCCATTAATCTATTAATGAGGGTAGAGTCATGACCTAATCACCTCTTAAAGGTCCCACCTCTTAACATTGTTGCATTGAGGATTAAGTTTCCAACACATGAACTTTGGGGGATATATTCAAACTCTAGCAAAAGGGGAACAACTGCTAAGGCTAACACTTCACAGATTTTTCTTTGGCTCATTTTTGTCTTTTGATAAAGCTAATTTATAATTGTTAAATTATTAGACATAAGTTACAGATACTTTAGTAGGCCATGTGTTAAAAATAACCTATGGTAGCTTTAATTAAATGCATCATCGATAGGTGATATATTCTAATATAATCCTATAGTCTTAATATCTAAGTTCTTCAAGTCCAGAGAACGGAAACCTTTTTTTTTTTACACATCTCCCATTGATAATACGTTAGGTGGTGAACACAGGACAAAATGGGAGCAGGGAAGAGTGCAAACCAAAGCGAATAAACTTTTTGTTGTTGTTATTGTTTTTATATCCTCCACCAGAAGGTAAGCTCTAACATGGGGACTTTTGAGAAAGGTAACTTGGCAGAGAAGGGGAAAGAAGTGCTGTAGTCAGTGGTTGGCTTGGAAAAATCTCAGCAACATCCTAGGCCCTGCAGGCTCCCTCATCTTAACAGCAACCACTAAATATCACTGTCTCTGTCCAACCTTGCTGATCTTGCGCTGCTCAGTTCCTTTTTCTTTTTCATCCTTGCCTTGCTAAAGCTCAGGCTCTTCACTAAACTACTGCCAGAGCGTCCCCATCAGTCTATCTTGCCTCTTTCTGTTCTACTCCACTGTCTACACTATCACCAAATTTATCTTTGTTCAGCCCAGCTGAACCTTCGGCAACTCCCCCTCACCCTCAGAATGACACTGACATGCCGCAGACTGGCACTTCAGACTTTCTCTGAAGGGTAGGTGCATCCTACCCTTCCCACCTCTCCTCATCTTCTCTCCTTTCTCACACTATGCTCCACCACTCTCCACCTAAGCCTTCCTCTTTCCTGCATCTGTACCTCTCGTGCTGGATTCTGTGCTTGAAATATCTTCTTCAGCCTTGGCTTCTCACCACCCCCGATCCTTTAAGGCCCAGCTCAAAGGACACCTCTTTTGCGAAGCTTTGGCTGATGTTCACAGCTGAGAGTGAATTTTCATAGTTCTTAACTGTTCTCTTGTGGTTTATATTCTTCTGTATGTTGTAATTATTGGTATATGTGGTGACTGTGTTCATATATTTTTTCTTTTTGTGTTGTAAATTACTGGAAGGCAGGTTTTATATCTCACCCTCAGTTGTATTTCTACACCTCATGCCTTGCTCATGATAGACACTCCATAGGTGGTAGTCCACTCACTCAACAAATATGTATGAGTTTTGAATGGAAAAATGAGTGAATAGATCTGAAGTTGGGAATGGAAGAAAAGGAAACCAGGGTGCTTTGTTATTATAATCAAGGCAGCAAGGAACACAACTGGCGATAATTCAAGAAGCCCACATGGGAAGGGCAGGAGTTCGTACTACTTAGCTATGTCCTTCCAAAAGCCAAACAATTCCACACACCATGACATATGATGTTGTCATAATTGTGTATAGAGAAGTCTTATCTAGTAGCACATGCTAAGCAAAGAAGCCAAGCCGGAAGATGGTCTTCCAGTCTTAGAACAGTAGTAGGCAACTAACAAATAATTGTTGTATTATTTTTATTTAATATGTGAGAATTGGTTTTTTTAAAAAAAAATCAGTGGATTTACTGTCCAACAAAAGAGCTGAATCAACAATTGTAGATACTGGAATTACCTCAGTAAATTTAAAATTATTTTCCCTCACCTCCTTTTCAGAGAACTTTATTTCTTATTGTCTCTTGAGAATGGAGGGCAAAATGTGTCCCAAAGCTATAAGATACCTCGTGAAAGTATCATAAGCACATCATGGCACTATCATGTGATACTGTTTTTATGAGAAAAGAGTCATAGAATAGGTAGAAATCCACCTATTGGGTACACCCCTTTAAACCAAACACATAAAGAAAATATGCATCTACAAAGATTCATAAGGTAGTGAACAGTCACTTGGCAAAAGCACTCACTCTGGTCACCAAAAACAAATCCCTTTTCAGAAACACATCAGTCACATAAAGCAGAGTCCGCCTGTACTCACGCTGCTCAGAGAGTGATGCGTCTGGTCACTTGGTGCCAATCTGGGCCACACGTGAAAAGACACTCTTTCTCCCCAGCCTATTTAAAAGTCAGTAGATAATTTTGGAAGTATAACTATTTTTCCAGGTTGCCTTTTAAGGGACTTTCTAGTCCATCAAAAATGGATTAATGTGACTCATTAACACAGCTCCAAATGCAGTCAGAGAGCAAAAAACACCTTTCCAGTGTCTTAGTCACTTCTATTTCCTAAAGCTGACTCTTTGCTTCTTCATTTTGGCAAGAATTTTGTTGTTTTCTGGCTAATTTAAAAACATTTAAAAGACAGCTCCCTTACTACCAGGCATATGGTAGGAACTTGATACATAAATGTTAAATGAAGTTTCTTTCACTGTATGTACCATGTCTTACTCACAGATTTGCCAAGTACAATAATCTAAGAACATTGAATAACTAGAATGTGAGTACTTGAATTCTTTTTTCTTCTCCCCCAAAATACCTAATATAGGACTCTGTAAACACTACTCACACATGCACATCTGAATATGTGAGAACCTGCACATGCACACACAGACATGCAGTCTTATTAGCTGTTGAGTTAGCTTAGAGCATCCTTGACTAATTAACTTTGGGGGTTATCTGTTATAGATCTGACTGTTCTATTGTACCTGGAGAATACCAATATTTTTATAGGAACCCAAGGGTAGGAAAATACCATCCATGCTGATTCTGATGGTTGCTTAGCATGTTAGCTTTATTTTATTTTTTAATTTATTTTTATTTGTAGAGATGGGGGTCTCACTATGTTGCCCAGGCTACTCTTAGACTCCTGGCCTCAAGAGATCCTCCTGCCTTGGCGTCCCAGAGTGCTGGGATTATAGGCATAAGCCACAATACCTGGCCTGTGTGTTTGGTTTTATATAGTTGTTATAGTTGAAAAATTGATTGGTCTGTGGTTGCTGAGTTCTATAAATAGATTTCTATCTAAAACTATCAATAAGTTATTCCAATACCATACTGCTGTTAACTGAAAACATCCCCACTGTTCAGATGGTTTGGGGTTTTTTTTAGTTGTAATTTGCCCTCAGCCTGATCTGTTCTAATATTGCCTATTTTCTTTCAGTTGAAAGCTATGGGCAGACTTAAATTTTAATAATACACAAGGCAGTGGGAAATGAAGGTCCAAGAGTCAAGTGGAATCTATTAGACTCTGCCACTTATGAGATGGAAGACCCTTGGCCTGTTACTCAGCCTCTCAAACTTTACTTTTCTCAGGTATAAAATGAAGGTAATAATGGTACACACCTCTCGGAGTCGTTGTCGGGATTGTGTTAGAGAATGGATGTAAAAAATCTGGCTTACAGTAGTTCTAGAAAGCATTAGTTGCAGTCGTTCTTCTTTCCTGGGATCAATAATCCGAACACCCACACAGTGCCTGTAGGGAGTTGCTCCTTAATGTCAACTTAACATTTGCCACATAACCCAAAACATGACCCTCCACAGCCTGTGAGGCCCTGTGTGATCTAGTCCTGCCTCCCTTGCCAGCCTCTCGCCCGCTGCCTGCCTCCCTTCACTTGATGCTTTTGAGCAAATTGGCCTCATCACTCTTCCCCCAACTCACCGTGCAGCTTCCACCTGAGAGCCTTCTCAGAGACTCTTGCCCCATCTAGATAGTAGAACACTCTCCACCCTGCCCTTCACCTGTGTGATCTCTTTTCAACCTTCATGTATCACTTATATAGCAGGACTTTTCCTAACACCCCTCTCCAAGATTATGTCTCTTCTTACGCTCTCACAGTAGCCAGTACTCTTTCTTTCTGATCTTGCTCTGTCACCCAGGCTAGAGTGCACTGGCGCCATTATAGCTTACTGTAACCTTGAACTGCTAGGCTCATGCAATCCTCCTTTCTCAACCACCCGAGTAACTGGGACTGCAGGTACATGCCATCATACTCAGCTATTTTTTTTTTTTTAGTAGAGACAAGGTCTTGCTATGCTGCCCAGGCTTGTCTTGAACTCCTGGCCTCAAGTCAGTATGCTTTCTTTATAATAGTTATCATATTCTTGCAGTTGCTCTTATAATATATATATATATATAATCTGCAATTATATATTGTACGTAACTGTTATAGGCTGAATAATGTCCCTCCAAAATTCATATGTGAAGCCCTAGCCATTAGTACCTCAGTGAATTTATTTGAAGATAGGGTCTTTAAAGAAGTAGTTAAATTTAAGTAAAAAAGGAGCCCATCAGGGTGGACTCTAATTCAATCTGACTGTGTCCTTTAAGAAGAGGAGATGAGGACACACAGAGAGAGACATCAGGGATGTGCATGCACAGAGAAAGGCCATGTGAGGATACTGCAAGAAGGCGGCCATCTGCAAGCCAAGGAGAGGGGGGTCTCAGGAGAAATCAAACCTCCTGACACATTGATCTTGAACTTCTGGCCCACAGAACTGTGAAAAAATAAATTTGTGTTGTTTAAGCCACCCAGTCCGTCGTATTTTGTTATGGGAACCCTCACCGACTAATACATTATGTAAGGCCTGTCTTCCTCCATTAGACTGTGAACTCCATAAGCAGAGGGACTATGTTCATATTTCACCACCAAACTCTTAGCACATAGTTTAATGTCTGGCTCCAAGCAGGAGCCAATATATTTTTGTTTAATTCTTGAATTCATGAATAAAGAAATAAATGATGCAGGGGCATGTCTATTTTATGCTGAAAGCTCTGTGTGTTCTGGGTTCTTCAGTGTTCTTCTACTATGAAACTGACGGAAGACATATTGAGTATTTATTTGGGGAAGGCAAGAACATCCTACAAAGCAAGTGTCAAATTCTGCATAATTGAAAGGGTTCTGAAATGCACGACTCCAGTGTGGAATATGGGCAGCTTAGGAGCAAGAGCCCCACAGCTGTTGTTGTGGTCTGCTACCCTTCCATGGGATGCAGTGCCCACAATAGCAAGGTGCAGTTGCACATCGGTGCTATGCTGTAAGGGCCCCACTGCTCCCCTCCAGTATCTTAGGATAATGCCTCAGAACTGGGAATCCCAGTGTGATGCTGGGTCCCAGGAATGTGCTATGGCCTCAAAGGACTGCCTGAGTGAGTTCCAGGTTCAGACTTCCCATTTTACCAACACCAAGTGTCTCAAGCTAGTCTTTAGGCCCCCTGGGAAGCCAGATGCTATCCAGGTATTCATAAGAATTATCCTGATTGATGCAAGTTGACCCTCTAGGGAAATCTAAAGGTCCCCAGGATGTACTTGGAGTTGCAGGACATCTGGGAGCCCACACATGTCTTTAGGTGTATGGAGACTATGCGGTCACCTGATTTGAAGGACAAGAAGGTCCTTATCCCTTCCCAACAGCACCTCTCTCCATTATTAGGTGGCTAAATGCCTAAAATTCCATCACTAACATGTCACTCTTTTAGGTCAGCATCACTATATCTGGTTGCCTCTTTTGTAAAACGAACCCCTACCCCACCAATTGCTCAGTACATTCAGTCATTAGCATATTATGAATTAGTTCACCAACTATTTTCTCCAGATGGGCTTGACCTGGCTTGAGTCACAAGAGGGGAAAGAGGACAAAGACATCTATAGGGGAAACAAGACAAAGGACACAGGACACAGGAACAGAGGACGAAGACATCTATAGGGGAAACAGATCTTGAATATAAATCCTGCCAACTTCAGTTTTTCTAGGGCTCAGGCAGTATGACCACAGGCCATCCATGTGCCTAGACCATGCTCATCCATGAGCCCATCCACGTGCCTAGACTCATGAATCATGCAGTGGGATTCCAGTACCCATGGCACTGAGGAAGGGTACTGCCACAAAGTTGTGGCAGTTCTCCAGCTGTAGAAGGTAGGCAATAAAAAAGCATTTCCTTTATGCTGGTCCTTTGTTTCCTTTTCCCCATGGGCCTTATAAATAGTTAATCTACCTAAGCTGGAAGGAGAAGCTTTCTGCCTCCAGTAAAGTTTGATTCCTGGAGGCAGATTTTTTTTTTAAATCCAGCAAGTGTCAGATAATTGGAAGGGTGGAGTAACGCTGTAAACCATGACACACCTTTGTCAGGACATGTTTGGAAGCAAAGAGTTGAAAGAAACAAGGTGGAGAGAAAGAAAAGTGAACATTTTTGAAAGATCACTCAGCTTTAACACACCTTGGCTGGGTCTGGATAAAAAAAAAGTGAGCACTGCAAATTTCTAGAAGAAAACATCAGGAGAAGAAAGAGAGAGGGGGATTTATTCAAAGTTGTTTCCAATTCCTTCAAAACCTCAAACCAGGTAAGTAAACAGGAAGACTGACCTTTCTCCTTTTCTCTGAGACTTTGATTTAAGGTTTGCCATTTAGAAATTAAATGTTTATTGGAGAAAAGAAGATGAAGTTCTGTAGTTTCTAGCATTCTGGTTAAAGTGATCAATTGGTTATAAAAGATGACTTTGGTGTATGCATTCTGCTTAGGGTAGGTCTTTCAAAGGAAATAAGTGGGGAAAAGGAGAAGGCTGAAGGCTGGTTAAAATATAGCGGGCTTTAGAGGCAAGACCTTTCTGCATTGTTTTCAGCATTGTAAAATGACTTGTGTTGTTTTATTTAGAATATGATACGGGCTTATAATTCCTTCTCTCCCAATCTCAGTTTCCTCTCTCGCTATCTTGCTCTCCTCTTCCCTCTGTCTCTCTCTCCACTGGACGAAGAGAACAACTCAGGGGTGAAGTTAAAGTATAGGTAAGGGGGCCTTCTAGAAACAGTCCCTGTGCTGACTGGGCCTCTCTGATTAAGCCATACATGGTAAACATTGCTGTTTACCATGCTGTAAAATTACCTCTAATCTAAAGAAAAGTAGGATCTTTGAAATGATCTGATTAATTCAGAAATTTTGCAGGATCAAACTTAGAGGAATAAAAAAAGGAAGAAAATTGTTTCCCGTATATATACTCTTACGAGTCAACTTGGGTTTCCTCCTGCCAAAAAAATTCACTTTGAGATGAGAATTACCAGTTTAGATACCTAAGTGGATGACGTTAACTGGTAACTGACAAATTATCACTTTACTTTTTGAAGTGGAGGCAAAACCTCTGGCACATTCCTTCTTTTGAGAAGTAGTTAATCAGTAGTCTAATAGTGGACTTGTAAAACGTAGCAAGATTTTTAAAAGGTATTTATTTGAAAAGCAGAATAGTTTCTTCTTACCTCCATATGTTCTCTCTTAGAGCTAAGGCACAGATCTGTCAGAACTAACCTAAGACAGATGTCTATCCCCACACAGACTCACTCCAGAGATTCAGAGGTGTCCTGCTTTACTCTTAGGCCCTGCAAAACACCCACATGAGTCTGATCAGAGTTTACACAGGAACAATTAAAGTGAACAGCTCTGCTTCAAGCTTGCATAGAAACTTACCAGCCTGGGTAACATGGCAAAACCCTGACTCTACAAAAAATACAAAATTAGCCAAGCATAGTGGTGTGCGTAGTGGTGCACACTCATATTATACTAACCCCATCTCTACTAAAAATACAAAAATACAAAAATTAGCTGGGTGTGGCGGTGCATGCCTGTAACCCCAGCTACTTGTGAGGCTGAGGCAGGAGAATTGCTTGAACCCAGGAGGCAGAGGTTGCAGTGGGCCAAGGTTGTGCCACTGCACTCCCACCTGGGCAACACAGCAAGACTCCGTCTCAAAAAAAAAAAAAAATAGGAAAAAAACTCCTTAGATTGGTGAAACTGACCTGACCTAAGAACTAACCACCTTCTCAGATTATGAAAAACAAAAAGAAGTCTGTGTTTACATTGTTTGTTTCATTTGCCATTATTAACAGTGGCAGGACACAACTGTAAACAAACCAGCATAATCACAAAGCTGGTGCCCTATCCCACCTGCTCCCAGTCATGAAAATCCAGGATACCAAATGTAGCAAGCAGCAAACCCATCTCTGGGGTGTTACAGAGACAAAGCCTCCAAGATATTCAATTCCAGGGCATTGGCTTTCCTGGCATCAAACTGCTGGGCCCTTCTGTGTTATCAGGTCAATAGCCAGTGGATGGTTTTCTAATACTTTGGCAATTTTGTTGTTGTTTTGTTTTAAAATTTAAAGTGTATAGAGAATGGAGTAATAGAAGCTATAAAAATACTTGCAATTCATTAGCAGAGTATAGGAACATTTGTTCCTAAAACAAAAAATAAAGAGAAAAATACTTAGCTTCTTCATTCTCTTTGTTGTATCAAGAACAAAGTGTTTCATGTGTCATTAGAATAAGATAATGTGATGGTTTAAACCCAAATGTGATGGTAAACAGTTAACGTGATGGTTCACTGTCACTAACAGTGGTTTGTCCTTGTGTGTGTGTGTATGTTAGACAGCATCGGCTGAATAGTTTTAGGTAGACGTGACATCATTTAAATAAAGGGGAAAGGAAAAAACTCATAAAAGTAGAAAAATGATTTAAAATTGTGTCTTCTTGCCTAGAAAAGTGACATGGGATCATTTTTACACCTTCACAAAAACATTAGCTATAAAATAGCCACAAAGCAACCCTTTAGAACTATGGATGGAAATTAGTATAATTTTGGAATTGAGAGCTTGAATGATCTGCTCATCCTTAGTTCTAGTGAAGTGGCCCAAATATCTGAGAAGTTAAAAATTATGTTATTTGACAGTGCTTCCATTAAGTAGGACTTTTGGAAGACGAACACACTGGTGAATCCTGCTAGGATAGGCAGGCTCAGGCATGTACCTGGGCAGGAAACGTTCCTTTTCCTAACGTTACACTTTTAAAAACTATCAGCACTTAAAATGTGTAAAAAAGAAGTCCTGGGAATATACTGTAGGTCCCATGGGAAGATCCTAGTCCAGGCTTGTGCCCCACGCCATCACTCTCCATTTAATATAACTCACTTATAGAAAGTTTCCTCTTATATTTCGTTTAAAGGAATCAGTCTCCCAACACGTACCTGGCACCTCAGATTGGCTGTGGAACACACAGACATTGGGGTGGCTTCAGATTGAGAGAGAGGCATCTACCTGTACCTGCCTAGAGCAGGTTATATCCACAAAGTACCTTCCAATGAGGAGCTCCCAGGCCCTGAAGGAGGGCATCTGATTTCTAAGTAGGTCATCACTTCGTGCCCTCTGGAAGTTGGGGAATCCTTAGCATTTTACTGCAGAAGTCAAGGCTTTGTCATTGGGATTCAGGGAAAAGATGGAGGGCCTAGAAATGCCTGCTATGTTTTGGATAAAGAAAGAACAAGCAAAACTTTCCAGGTTTGCTGCCTGGAGACTGTATTCTTAGCAAACAGAGTCATGATCCATCTGCCTAAATGGCTGCAAGTCGAACCCTTCCGGCCAATCCCAAATGTATAGCTGTCAGCAGCAACTTTCACTGAAAGATCAAAGTAAGCAATAACTTGTAGGAAGTAAAAGTTTCCGTGGATTGTTATAAACAGTTCATTTCAGGATAATATTTCATATCAGTTCAGGTACCATCCTAGAAAGCTAGTCACCTCCCCACTGACTGCCAGGCGCATTTAAAGGTTTAATCTCCCCAAATGCCTCCTGATCCACAGCTTATTACCTATTTTTTTAAAAGAAAGTCAGAGAAGGCTTTCAGAGGTATCAAACTGATGCTTAAACAAAGGATTGCAAAGGTGTCCAGTTGCACGTAGGTTTGCATGACATAAGTCATATAGGTTATAGCTGGAATGCAGACAGATTCACTGGTCAGATTTGTCCTTGTAATGAGGCTAGACTCCTTTGTTAAACTGTGTATGAAGCCCCTCCTCTGGGCTCCAGGAAACATACCTATAAAGACATTCTTTGGCTTCTCAGATCCAGCTAGGATTTTTTCCATTGTGCCTCATTCCTTGCCTCGAGCTGTGTTTGAAAAACACCAACGAGCAAGAAGTTGGCACATTTACTAGGGCCTGAAGCTAAGTGTACGAATCTTGGTTACTCCACCAGATCGTTGATCAGCTGGTCTCATTTGGTCTTGGTTTCCATCAGGGAAGTCACCCAGAGCCACAGTATGACTTTCACGGTCCCTAGACACTTTTGCCTTTGTAGGCCCCTTCCTCCATCAAAAAACTTTTTAAAATTCTATTTTACAACTGCACTGGTATAAAGAAGGACATAATCCTGATTAGATTCTGATTATTTTTCCTTCTGATGTTAAAAGTAAACATTTTGTGAGCCCCAAAATGTGCTGTGGGCCTAGGCACTGTGCCCACTTTGCCTACTGGGTAAGTCGAGCCTGAAGGCACTAGGCAGAGACTGGAAGGAGAGCTCTTCAAGCAAGGGGCACCTGGCAAAAGCAGTGTGCCTCAGCATTCTAGAACCCAGTTCCAACTACAACCAAAAAATAAACTAGAAGGAAGAGAAAGTTAGAGGAAGGGAGAGAACCACAGGGTAAGTCAGATTTCAGGTCCTTTCAGAACCTGGGGCCAGGCAGCACAGCAAGAAGAGAAGAGCCCAGTTGGGACGGGACCCTTGCTGTGCATTCCTGTGTGTTTAAGACTTGAGCTTTCATCCCCACCACCGTTTGGCAACAGCCCTGCCTCATACCATCCATGCTGAGGGACACAGTGGACAAGATTGCACTGGTTTTCTTTTTCAGAAGCAGAGTAAGAATGAAGGGAGAATATAAAAAATACAAATATGTATTTTCCTACATGCTTCTATAGATTTTACAGGCTTTCTTGAACTGTTTTTCATACTTATGTCTGCAGATAAGCACATGAGAGCCGATTATAGTGAATGTTTCATACTTTGAGAAGAGTAAAGTTCCATACAAGTACGACAAATATAATTATTTTTATCCTGATTTAAATCCATCAAGTGCCATTCTTACCTCCAGACTCTTAAATAATGAAGCATGAATGTCTCATATGCATAGAGTTCCATAAAGAACATTGAACATTATGGGAGACATTAAAATGAATTAGTTGATAGCACTAAGTACCTTGACAGATCCCCTTCAGCTATTTATTACCATGGAAAAGAATGGAGGTTTTATAGTCAAACAAAGGTCAGGACACCTGATCTGCTATGTAAGCCTCTTGATGCTCAGCAGGGGGCAGGCTGATCAACTAGACACTGAAAAACAAGATCCCAGCACAAAGAAATAGAATCCAAAGTGGAACAATTAAATTAACCTCTATTATACCTGTTACAAGAAATGGGAATGACTCATAAAAAATATTCACGTGAAAGAATTATGGTTTAAATTCTTGAAATCATGTTTTTGGTTATCAGCTTCAACAGTGGGGACCTATAATTACTAAAAACAATGATAAGTATGACTATCATGGTTTCTGATTTTTCCTGCAGGTGGCTATGGTATGGATGTAACCAAGAAAAACAAACGAGATGGAACTGAAGTCACTGAGAGAAGTAAGAGCATCAGAATTTTTTAATTTATGTGTTTTATTATGAAAGTAATAAAAATTTGGAAACAGAATAAGTAATTCATTAATAATTCTACCACAACCACTGTATCATGTTTAAGTGTGTTCCTAAATGGACTTTAATCCTTCTCATAAGACAGCTCTTGTTGATTTTTATGTCAAAAGATATCCTGCTTTTTCTTGAATGATGAAGGTTGTCATTTCCATGTACAGTATTTATAACCCTCATTTTTAATGATGGGATAGGATTCTGCTAAATGAATTCACCATAGTTTATTTTATCATTTCCAAATTTAGGGGTACAGGGCAACAGAAATCTAAACGAATAACATCCTAGTTATTGTATCATAGTTGACCTCTACGCTGAAAATTGAAAACAAATAAATTTATTTTGTGGAACTGCCCAAATAATAAATTCAGAAACATTTAAACTCTCCTCCTACCAACTCTAAGTCAGGAAACTCTTTCACTTATTCTGTGACTTTCATATATCTCCAATAAAAAAAAAATTCTGGCTCCATAGACTTGAAAGTTTTAGTTAGGAAATAATTCACTTTTATGTGTCAAAGAATCCCAAAGGTCTATACAATGAGAGGTTCTATACAATGAAAGCTGAAGGACTATTATTCAAATCAAGCTGCCACTGCACTCTACAAAAACATTTCCTTTTTTTTTTTTTTTGAGACGGAGTCTTGCTCTGTTGCCCAGGCTGGAGTGCAGTGGCGTAATCTTGGCTCACTGCAACCTCCACCTCCCAGGTTCAAGCCATTCTCCTGTCTCAGCCTCCCGAGCAGCTGGGATTACAGGTGCCCACCACCACACCCAGCTAATTTTTTGTGTTTTTAGTAGAGACGGGGTTTCACTATGTTGGCCAGGCTGGTCTCAAACTCCTGACCTCGTGATCTGCCCGCCTCGGCCTCCCAAAGTGTTGGGATTACAGGCGTGAGCCACTGCGCCCAGCCAACATTTCCTTTTATGCATTAAGTACTGTTTCTGGCATGTCCATAACCGCATCTTCTTGCTAGGACAACCAAACTAATTAGCAAAATGCAGTATGAAGAAGGACAGTGTGAATGAGAGTCATGTGGGATGGAGCAGGTGTCAGCGGCACAGCTGAAAGTAGCACAAAATGATCCTGCACCATCTTCCTTTACTCTTTTCTCCTTTCACCACCTTCCCCACACGTATGTGCCCATGCATGCCACACACACACACACATACATGCACACATACACACATGCATGCATGCATACAAGCACACTGGAAACCTGATATCAAAGAACAAAAGCCCCAGATAGGTAGGGTCTTCTGTATACCCACCAGAGACGGAGGTAGTGCTGAGGGCCACAGTCAGAGCATGAGTGATGGATTCACCATCTCTCAGACCTACAGGAACTAAATTTCAGAGGCCAAGGGACTGGTTCTTCAAGTCTGTCTGTGATGTGCCTGGATCACTGATTTTGCCAAACCCCAAATGTGACTTACCAGGAGCACCCTTCCTTCCCACAACTCCCCACATTCAGGGGTTGCCCTGAAGACATTAGAACGAAACATAATGTTCTTAAACACCTCCAAATTCATGAAGAAGTACACAGTGAAGTCAGCTAGGGTGTTGGTCTCAGCTGAACTGAGAGACCATGGGGAAGGAGAAATGCAGAGAAACGGAGTGACTTGAGACAAGAGGGCCTGGTCCTCCTTCAACCTCAGACCAGGCCTGGACTGGATCTAATTGTCCAAGGAGAGACATCAACAGCAAAACAACTCATGTTTCAAACGCAGTGCATAACTTCTTTTGGCTCCAAAGAGATATAAACTTATTTTCCAAGCATATGAAACCCATTGTTGTTGCTCATATCTTTTTGCACAGTGGGTCAGATCACACACCTTAAAGCACAAGGATAGAAAAATCAATGTCGAACCTAATTTAATATGCTTAGCCTGTGACAGAGCTTAGACCTTGCCAAGATCCAGAGGTGTCAGTGCATTACATAAGAACTCATCTTTTCTTTGTCTTTTTCTAGTTGTCACTGAAACAGTAACCACAAGACTTACATCCTTACCACCAAGTAAGTAACTACCTCAATAGCTTTCTTTTCAGTAGGTCACATTTGAAGGGCCCCACACCTGTAACCTTTTCCATGGGAGCTCCAAAATTTTTGACATCTTTTTTAACAGCTATATTGACATTAATTTCTATACAACAGAATTCGCCAGTTTGAAGTGTATAATTCAGTGATTGCTAGTATATTTACCAAGTTATGCAGCCATGGTTACAGTCCAATTTTAGAAGATTTCCATGGCTCCACAAAAAGAAGTGACCATTAGCAGTCATTCCTCATTCTCCCTCCTCTCTCCTCAGCCCCTGGAAACCACAAATCTACTGTCTCTGTAGATTTGCCTATTCCAGATGCTAAAATATTGGATATCTGATCTAACCTGAACAAGGATTGGGGGCTACCAGTCAAGCTTCTGGTTGAGGCTACTTTTTTTTCCAGGAGCTCCTATCACTCCTGTAATATTGATCTGAGCCCAAAAGCTACCCCCTGCCCCCGCCTCCAGGGAGCCTAGTTCCCTGGGGATGGGGAGAGCCCACCCACCAGCAGGTGAAGTCGGAGCAGTGATGGGCTGCCAGGTGGAACACCAGCAACACAGAGCTGCCACACGCCCCTCCAGCACTTCTAGTGGCTGCCATGCCTGGGCACTGACCAGGCACTCAGAAAAAGCAAGCCCAACCAGGTCCTGGACTCAAGGAGCTTTCATCGCTCAGCCTTTTCTACTATTTAAAATTTCCTAATATGCAACTTGCTATATTCCACCCAGGAGACTTTTCTTTTAAATCAGGTGGAATACTCACTCTAGATATTTGTATAAAACAAAACAAAACAAAACAAAACAAAACAAAACAAAAAACCAACGAAACTGGAGCATGGCAGCTTGCATCTTATAATGTAGGTGGGAAAGGAACCCCAAACTAAGAAGGTCCTGGTGAAAAACCAGGGAAGCCTTCCACAGGGTGGGGGACCAGGGGATCCTCTGGCCTGACTCCACCCTGAAATTATCACCTGCTTTTGTTCCTGGCAGAAGGCGGGACCAGCAATGGCTATGCTAAAACAGCCTCTCTTGGTGGAGGGAGCCGGCTGGAGAAACAAAGCCTGACTCATGGCAGCAGCGGCTACATAAACTCAAGTGAGTGCCCACTAGTGCAAGAGGTCAGGGAAGAATGGGTGACAAAGAGAGAGACACCAAGAAAGTCCTACACAGGACACAGGGCAGACACAATTTTGAATCAGTGCACAAAAGGGACAATTACAATCACCTGTCATCCATTCCAAATCCCCCTGAGAGTTATCTAAATAACACACAGCTATTGGGCAGCAGGGCTGGAGACCGGGGGTGCAAATTATAAATCATCAGCATTTGAAGCCTACTTAAAATCAGATCCATTTTCATTAAGTCCACAATATAAATAACTATCATTAATTAAGACTTCATGGGTAGGTAGCTATTTCCTCACTAAATCACTCCCTTTAAGCCATCTCTTTAGAGAACAATGTGCACGCCTGAGGGTTTACAATTTGAATTAACAACGAAAGAAACTTAACGATTGGGTTACTGTGCTAAGGGAAGCTGGTGACATGTGATCCCATGCTGTGCAAGATTCCACTGGGCAAGCATCCAACACAGGCCCATTGTTCCCAGTGAAGCACTCTTTCAAACTAAAACAAAACAAAGCAAAGCAAGGCAAAAACAAAACAAAAACAAGAAGCACCCAGATAGCCCCTGAAGCCATTTAAAATACTTGGAAGTAAGACTAAAAAGGAAGCCCCAAGACATTAGAACAGCCAGGTTGACCAAAAGAAACACCTGCCCTTACCTGTTGAGGCACACTTCCACGCTGGATTATATTCTAGTCCATCCAAGCAGTGTCTACAAGAAAAATCCTGCCAAATCCTTTCCATTTCCATGCATGGTAACCATGCACAGGAAGGACGTTCCCAGGCAATAATTCCACCTTTCCATTTGTGAACAGCTGGGGGAATGCTGAGGTGGCCCCTTTCAGCTGTGCCCTCCCGAAGACCCTCCCTGAGTGTACTTGGTTAATATAGCTGGGTCACAGTAGCCATTTGGTTCACCTCTCTGCTGAAGCACTGAGAACTTATGCTTTTTCCCTCTTGCAGCTGGAAGCACACGAGGCCATGCCTCCACCTCTAGTTACAGGAGGGCTCACTCACCTGCCTCCACTCTGCCCAACTCCCCAGGCTCAACCTTTGAAAGGAAAACTCACGTTACCCGCCATGCGTATGAAGGTATCAGTCCCACTAACCATACAAGAGAACCATTCTCTTCCCCAAGCAACTTCACTCATTCTTTGAAGATTTACATGCTGGCCACCTGTGTCTGCCCTTCACCTTTCTCCCCACTCCTCCTTCATTTCTTTTATGGACTTCCATTACTTGAAGACTTCATTCATTCATTCACTACCTCATTTATTTATTCATTCACCCATTTAGTTACTTTTCCAACTAGTATTTTATCCAGTACCTGCTATGCGTTTAACACTGTGTAGAATGCCTTGACGAATGCTTAAATGAATCAGACATAGATCTTGTCTTCAGGACCTGTAGTCTAATAGACAAGTTAAGATGACAGATAAAATACAATTGTATAAAGTAGATGGAGATTATCACTTTAAGCTGAGGAAATCGGGGAAAATTCTATGGAGGAGGGGACATCTGAGCGAGGTCCTCATGACGAGTAAGAGTTTGATACCCAAAGATGGAGAGATGGGACTGTCCAAGCTGTGGGAGCAGCAGCATAAGCAAAGACAGCCAGGAGAGCCCAGGGCTTAAGTCGGAAATTCAGTGGTACTTACGTGCAAAAGGTTTGAGGGACTCAGATTCAGTGCTAGGATAAGATGTTTAGACTTTATTCCATATGCAATGGGAAGCCACAGAGAGTTTTTAGCAAAACAATCATATTTTAGGTCCAGGACTGGAACTCTGGAAGCCATGTGTTGGAAAAATTGGTGAGAAAGAGACTAAACACAGTGACAAGTTAAAAAGAAATCCTCGGTCATCCAGAGAAGGGACATTTTGGCTGGGACCAGGTTGGTAATGATGGAGGTCAGGAGCTAGAAGTGAAAGTTATCACTGAGGTGGAATTGACAGGTTTGGCAATTGATTAAATGTAAGGAGAAGGCTTCACACACAGGTTGGGTTCTTGGTGGTGCCAACAACTGAAACAGGGAATTAGATGGATGACTCCACTTGATGAATCCAGCTAATTCATCCTGAAGCACAGCCACTTGCCCAGCTCTCTGGCGAGGGTAGCAAGCAGGCAGTGGGTGATGCAGGATTTGAGTTCAGGGAAGAAGTCAGGGCCCAGATACCCAGGTGGAAGCCATTCGCAAAGAGGTGTTAGAGGAAGTCAGAAGACTAAAGGAGTTTGCCAAGAAAGAGAGTATAAAAGTTGAAGGAAGCAAAGGAAGGTAAAGCGGAGGGAATAAGGAGAAAGAAAAGCCAGAGAACAGAGAGAGGAGGAAGAGTCTTTTAGGGACAAGGGGAGACCAGGAACATACAGCAATGCTGAGGTCAACACAAGAGAGTGCTCAGGGTCAAGAAGGAGTCGTAGAAGAAGACACCTGAGTTCCATTACTAAGGTTCCTGGAGTTCCTGGTGATCTGCAGAAGCAGTTTTATGTGGGAAACTGACCAGCCAGGTGGCCAAGGAGTTTAACAGTGAGAAGAGATTGGTGCTGGTGTTGGAGAAGCAGGAGTAAGGCCCAGACACTCTAGTGAATGATCACAGCGGGCTAGCATCCCACACGCACAGCAGACTCCCTCCTGCCGCTGCAGGACAAGAGCTGCTGGGCTGTTGGGAAGCCCCAAATCCAGGTGAGGTGGATTGCATCATCACAGTGCTTTCTGAGGTCGGGCCTGACCAGGGATTTGTACCTTCATTTTAACTGGGTCCACGTTTGGGACAAGCCTCATAAGGTCAGAGAGGTTCCTGGTGCTGAGGGCAGGTTACTTGATCAGGGCAGGTCACTTGCTCTAGGACAGACACAGGACAAGCCGGTGGAGGAACTGAACAAAAAAGAAAGAAACCAAAACCTCCTGCTCTCCTTTGTTCATCCCTGCCTCATCTGAAGTAGGTCCTTGACCAGAGCAAAGTGCTGCGACCAGGGCCATGATGGGTCGTGTTTTACATCATGAGCCTGGCTCCTTTGACATGCATGCTGAAGAGCATACCTCATTCCCCCCTGAAACACTGAGGGCTGTGGAGGTCCAGAAATAAGTAACAGGCACTACCTCCCGTTTTGGAAGCTTTATGGGCCTAAGAGGCCATTTGTTCTAAGTGTTTCATCCCCTCTCCAGGGAGCTCCAGTGGCAACTCTTCTCCGGAGTACCCTCGGAAGGAATTTGGTATGTCCTCTCCTTATTTTCTAAAGAAATGGTCAAACGAGGCACTAGGAAAATCCCTGGGGGAGATGAAGTGGTGGGAGTAGGGGACCTCATGAGTTAAATGGATTCTTCTAAAAGAGTTTGACCCCTGCTGACCTATTTTTCCCTTGCTTTTTATCCTGAAGCATATTAAGGGGACTATCAGCCACATTAACTTGCTGTCATAAGCCTTTGCTCGTGGCACTATAGAAATGGTAAGCTATATATAAGGCTCAGGCTTGGATGGATAAGCCCCTAAGGCCAAGCAATAATTGTAGGGATTCTTCTTTCCATGAGATGCACAGAGGCCTCCCAAAGAAGCAGAGCAGCGAGTAGAACACACAAATGCCAGGCATCCCGGCACCTCCACTATTGCTTGCTTTCAAGGGAACTGCGTGTGCTTCATGAACCCCCAAGCTGTGTCTTCACTTGGCCTTAAGTTTTTGTTCCATGTTCTTGGAATCTCACTGTGCATATGAATTGATGCCAGGATCATTGGTTATACAGTGATTATAATTTTCTGTATTTGCTTACAGTGGGGAAACCATGGCAGTCTCGAATAAAAAATCAAAGGGAAGACTTGGGAGCTTTTTGATACATTTGATCAGTGTAGTCAGCCAGTCCAAATGGATCATGCTCCCCAACAGATTACCTTAGCTAACTTAACATTCAAAATGTTAGCTAACTTAACATTCATTTAGCTAATTTAACATCATAAATGTACTAGGGCATTGCAAAACATTCTCTGCTGTTGCTAAGTGATCATCATTTATTAAGCAACTGCTATACAGAAAAGCCCCTATCTGGATTTAGACACACTATGAAAGTAACCCCTCCCCAAATATATCTGCCTCCATGTCAAAAGTATTTAGCATGCCACCTCTTATATATGCCTAAAAATGCATTTCTTTGTTTCTCAGCATCTTCTTCAACCAGAGGACGGAGTCAAACACGAGGTGAGTGCTGTCACTGGGTTCAGTCCAATTCATTCAACAAGTATTTTCTGAGAAGTTAATGTGTGTCCAGCCTTGAGCCAGGGAGTGTAAGGAGTACAGAAGAATAAATAAGGCATGCTTTCTGCTTTCGAGGAGCTTAGAGTATCCTGGGAATCTTCCACCGGCTCTATCGGGAGGGGAAGGGTAGCTTTTGACAGTAATCTAACAAGCACGTAGAGGCAGGAAGCAAAACACATGATAACAATGTGGGGCATCATTTGTCTTGCTGTGGATCATCTGAAGATGCAGATACCACATCTGCTTTCACTTCTGGTCTCCTGGCTGACTTTAACAAGATATGCTCTAATTGCCTTTACACGTCAAAAGATGAGCAAAATCTCCCCAAATTTTTTTTCAAAATTCATCCAGGAGATAAACAGCTCCATGACAGTTTTGTAATCTAGTCATGTAGACAATGATATAGGAGAGAAATGTGGTCCTGGGAGAAGCAGCCCTTGCTAAGCTTTGGGCAGGGTAGGGGGCAGCATGTTAGGGCTGAGCTGAAGGCAGAATTCTTCACAATGACCCACCTAGACTTCCTATGGGCCTTATTATCATCAATAACTTGGAAGTTAGGAGTATGCCAACCACTCACAACTTTAGGCTGATAGTTGAAAGATGCCAATTCTCCACCTGAAGCTAACTAATAATGTTAGCTACCAGCTTCCTGCCCCTCCCATCTCTGAAGAGGCCAAAATGGCAAGTAAACACTCTGGCTTTTAGAATCTTTTGCCAATGCCTGAGACCATGGACGCAGGAGAGAACCTTGGTTCTGGCAGCCATGAGGTGGATGATGGGGAAAGGATTGACCATTGCTGATTGTACTGGAACCTCCTTGCTCAGCCTGGAATTTTATTAGAACATCTCCAGCTGCCTGGGAGGTATGCAGTTGGCAGGATGGGGAATTGTTGGAGGTAGGGAGGTCTCCCTTTTTAAGCAGCACTCTTCTTGGGCACACCTAGATTTCCTGTTTCCAGAGCTCAGAAATGTCAGAGCAGCCTAAAGGGCCATCTGCTGCTAGGAGTTCAGTGTCAGGGATTGTGATCTAAGCTCCTTCATTCACACCCTTCTCTATCTCTTCCCTTGTACAGAGAGTGAAATTCGAGTTCGACTGCAGAGTGCGTCCCCATCCACCCGATGTAAGTGGTCATGATCTTGCTGAAAAGAAAGGGTCCAGAAATCCAGGGCTAGTGCTGTGTGTGTGTGTGTGTGTGCATGCGTGTGTGTGTGCATGCATGCACACACATGTATGTACATGCATGCAATCATAAAACATCTTTAAGGGTCTTCTGTGAATTGGACCCTGGGTTAGGTGGCTGGGGTTAAGCCGCTGAGTAAACCGTGGTTCCTGCTGTGTAGTAGTTCACAGACTAATAGGGAGACAGTAAGTCAACCAACCATCGCAACTCAGTGTGGTGAGGGAACAGGGAGGAGCAGCTCCACGGCAGCCCATGGAGATCAGGCCAGAGAAGACTTCCCGGGGTAGGTGTTACCTGAAAGGAAACTGAACAGTGGATCAGTTCGGCTCAAAGGGATGAGCCTGCATGAGGCATCGAAGGAACAGTTCAAAGCAAGGACATAATGGGATAGTTTAAGATTAGAGAAGGGTCAGTAGTAGAGTATAAGAATTTGAACTTTATTTCAAATGTCAGAGACCCCCCAGTCTCTGTCGATGGAATATGTTAGATACCTGTTGTTCTTGCTAGAGGTATTTAACAACGTTTTGAAATGAGCTCAACTTTAGGACAGCAGTCATGTTCAAGGAGTAGAAGAAAGAACATGGTCAGTGGCTCAGGACAGAGATGGGTGCTTGTCCAGAGAGCTCAGTACCTAGGGTTGTGGAGTCTGACTCCAGGCCCGACACCTTCTCACCTGAGTCCTTCCAGGCTTAGGGGTGGTGAGGCGAAGGGAGTTGGGGTTGAGAGTTCCTTCAGCATACAGTGCCTGCAAACCTGTGTCTCCTCTCATGCACTCCCCATGCATCCTCTCATGCACTCCCCATGCATGGTGCCTCCCACCTCTCCTGCTTCCCTGCTTCCTGTATGGGAGGCACAGGGAGCTTGCTCCACTTTTCACCTTGCTACAAATTAAATCAGCCAGATAGACTTGAAATTAAATCACACGTGAACACAGCATAATATTTAGGAGTTATGGCCCACAGATTCCTTTTGACAGCCCCAGGCATACAAGGTCAAGGACCCAATATCAGATGCATCCTGTGCAGGGGATGAGACTGCTGTTGAAGCATCTGTTTCAAGGGACCTGGTTCTCTAACTGCCTGATCCTAGATAATAGTGTCTTCCAGCCACAGAATCATTCCTGTGATGTTTGATGAGGTCTAATTAGGAAATATCTCCCAAGCACCTTGACCTCCTTGTGAGACGCAGAAGATTTTTGAGGCTAATATGACAAAGTACCAAGTTGATAAGTGCTATTCATTAGTAAAATGTGAATATTATAAAGCCAAGCAAAAAGTTCCAATGTGTGAGGCAGATGCCATTCTCCCCAGTAGTCAGAATGCCACAAATGTTCCCCCCAGTTGCACAGGGACTCAGGAAAGAACTCTGGACTTAACAGAAACGTCTGTGGATTCTTTCACAGGGACAGAATTGGATGATGTTAAGCGTTTGCTCAAGGGGAGTCGATCGGCAAGTGTGAGCCCCACCCGGAATTCCTCCAACACACTCCCCATCCCCAAGAAAGGCACTGTGGAGACCAAAATTGTGACAGCGAGCTCCCAGTCGGGTAAGTCTGACAGCCCAGGCTGCCGAGGAGTGTGAGAAACAAACTTACCCATCCAAACCCAAAGAGTGGACTCAGAGACCCAGAGAACAGTGAAAGTGAGACTTGAAATTGGGGCCCACCAAATCTCATTCCAGCTAGCACAGGGCTTTCCCTAATAGCAACCTGTTTTAGGGCATAGATATTTGTTTGCTTGTGACAGCTGCCTTTGGTTTCCTAAATTCCCACAATGTAAGACTCAGCAGGCATTGAATTTTATGGTTTAGGGGGTAGAGGTTTTAGTTATGTTGATTATTAGATTGATTGGATATTCCCTACTTTCCACCCCTAGTACTGGGCCCTATCCAATACTCAGGTCTTCTTTTGTGTGTTAGGATTAATCCTAACCATATCCACCCCTAATGAAGGGGTTTGCTTATAGCTCTCTTCTAGGTTTTCCTTAGAGTTAGCTTTAAGTGTTCCTTAGGTGATTTATACACTTCCCATTTGCCCTTTTCCCTTCCTTCTTGGGTTTCTTTTACCAGTCCCTTGAGTGTAATGAGTTCACCCTCGTTTAGCTGTTCGTTGTCACGTTTCAGTGGTTAGGACCACTTGATAGGGACCTTGGCAGCTTGGGTGGGGCTTATCTTCTTTTCAAGTCTTAATTAGCACCGAGATGCCAGGCTGGAAGTGGTGAACTGTGAACTCAAGAGGCGGGGTTTGAGTTCGAAGTCCTTTTAAGCTAAAGGATGACAGGGTGGAGGATATGGCCAGTATATGATTTCTTAAAAACTGGTTTTTGGTTTCCATAGTAGGAAGATCAGTAGTCCTATCTAAATATGGGAGTCCATATCATAACTTGTAAGGGGACAGTCCAAAGTCTTTGCTTGGGGCTGTTCTAATCCTAAGGAGTGCTACTGGGAGACATTCGAGGCATTTTAGTTGTAAAGATTAGTTTAGTAATATGCTTTTTGAGAATTTGACTTATTCTTTCTACTTTTCCAGAGGAAGGGGGATGCCAAGGGGTATAGTAATCCCATTTAATGTGTAAACTTTCCATAATTCCCCTTAGCACCCTTGAGGTAAAGTGATACCCATTGTCCGAATTAATATTTTTTATCAAGACAAATCTAGGTATAATTTGTTTTAAGATTATTTTTACCACATTCCTGGCGGTGGCAGTTGGGAGGTGGAATTCCTCCACCCAGCCGGAGAGGTGGTTTACCATTACCAGTAGATACTTTAGTCTCCCTATTTTGGGCATTTCTGTAAAATCTACTTGAATGCTTTGAAATGGCCTTAACCCAGGAGGTCTTCCTCTGGTAGTCTGTTTTCTAACTACTTTTTTGTTTATTCTCTGGCAGGTTACACAACACCCACACACTTGTTTAGCAAGGGTATAGATCCCTATACACCCATAATTTTTTAGTATTGCATCACACATATCCTGGGGACCCCAGTGAATTCCTTTATGCAGTATGGACATCAGTTTTCTCATTATGGGTTTGCTTATCATTTCTCTCCCATCAGGGAGCACCCACCTCCCATCCTCAGTTTGAGTGGCCCCTATCTTGCCCAGCTCTTCCTCCTCCTTTTTAGAAAATTTGGGTTTTAATATCACCTTAGGGATCTGTGGGATTAGGCTAAACAATCTAACTTCTTCCTCCAGGGAAGCTTGCTTAGCAGCTTTATCTGCAAGCCTGTTCCCCACAGCTTCTATAGTTTTGCCTATGGCTATCTCTGCTAGAAGCAAGAGGCTTTTTAAAACTTGTTTGATCAGTTCCCCATGTACAAATTCTTTCTCCCTGCTATTTATTAGGCCCCGCTCTGTCCAGATCTTTTTAAAGGTGTGTACTATTCCACAGGCATATTTGGAATTAGTATATACAGTGCCTTCTTGGCCTTCTAGAAGCTTGAGGGCCTGGTTAAGAGCATGTAATTTACAGGTTTGGGCTGACCAATTATTGGATAATCTACCTTTTTCACATAAGGATTATTTGTTTCCATTAATGACAGCATAGCCATTGTGTTTTTTACCATTTATTACTTGGGATGACCCATTTACAAACAGTCTCATCCCATTATGTAATGGGGTGGTTTAACTTTAGTTTGATATTAAGGTCTGGTTTAACTTTAGTTTGACATTCTATGATATCCAGTTATGATTTGATGCCTCTTTATTCTCCTCTCCTTTTCATAAGAAGCTGGCTGGATTCAAGAAAATACATGTTGTCAAGACTAAATTATCTTTTTGTAATAATATGGCTTCATATTTTAAAATCTGGGAATTAGTTTACCATCTCCCAACTCTTTGATTTAATATATTCCTGACCTGATGTGGGGTGCTCACTACCAGGGCCCTGCCGAAGATCAACTTCAGACTCCCCTCCGCCAGCAGGGCCATGGCAGCCACTGCCCACCTGCACCTTTGTCTCCCCATCTCCCGTCTTACATGGCCTCTCTCTCTTTCCCTGTCTCTCTCTCTTCCTCTTGTACTCTTTTTTCCTTTTACATTATGTCTCTCCCCAGTTTCACCTTCTGTGTCTTTGATCTCTGTCTTTTCCCGTCTCTTTCTCTTTCGCTTATTTTCTTTTTTCTTTTTTTTTAATCTCTCTGTCTCTGTCATCCCTGTTTTCTCTTTCCCTTACACTCAGTTTCTTCTTCTTTCTCTGGGCGCCAGCGCACTCGCCATGTTAACAGCTTACTTACATTAGCTCTCTCACACTGTCCACCTTTATCTCGGCTGTTTGCTTCGGCTCTGCAGCTCCTGCCGCCCCCACACCTGCAGCTGCACAGCCGGCTCCCTTGCCTTCAGGGTCAGCAGCTTAACTCTTTCTCTCTCTGAGCACCAGCGTGAGCCATGCCGTGGCTCCCCTCTGTCCGTCTGCAAGATGGACAGCTTTGGCTTTCTCTCTTTCTCTTTTTCCAATTCGTTTCTTACTTTTCGCAAAAACCTTCTAATTCCTTAATTGGCTTTTTATTCCATCCATCAACTTTTTTGCAGTTTCTTAGTAATATCAGGCCAGCTTTTAGTCATAAAATTAACCTTTAAAAGGCCTTGCCCTACTAGGTCCTCTGGATGTAATCCTGATTTTTTTTTTTTTTTTTTTTTTTTATTCCTGAGCCTCTGCAGAAATGCAGAGGGAGTCTCCTCTTTTACTTGTTGAAGCTCGAATGCTTTTGAGACATTCTGTGTCCTTGAAGTGGACTCTTTAATCCCTTTAATTATTCGTTCCCTTAGGTCCTGCATTTGGGCCCGATCTTTGGGGTTATTGTTATTCCATCTGGGATTTGCATTTAGGAATTTCTGCTCAGCTGGCGGGACTCCTTGCCCGAGAGGATGCTGTCTTTCCCAAATGGTCATGGCTGCCCTTTTAATTATTCCCCTCTCTTCCTCAATAAACAGAATAGTCATGATTGACATCATCTTAGCCCAAGTACAAAAATTGGGTCCTAAAAATTGATCTAGCTGCTTTGCTACACCGAGGAGATTTTCCAAGAGCGGCCTTATTTCCTATTTAAAATTCCTAACCTTAGTACTTGTTAGAGGCACACTTACATATCCAACTTCTCCCTGTCCCATAGGGACTTCTCTAAGAGGGTACATATTAGACATCTGCTGTTTAGAAGGAATAGGGAAATTCTCAATGTCCTTCTTACATTGTTCTAATTCTCTCCTCAAGTTTGGATAAGGATTTACGGGAGCATTGGGTTTAGCTTCTTTATGATCCCCAGATTCCTCTTCCTCCAGCCTTCCTGTTACTCCCTGATCTCCCTGTCCTCTACTTTGTGAGATGTAAAGTGGAGGCAAGCGTGTTATGGGATTCCAGAGCTTTTTATTGGGTGAGGGCTTTTTACTATGCTCTTTTTTTTCCTCTTGAAGCGGGAGCATGGGGGTTAATTCACTAATTTAACAAAGAGCATAACCCGTCTCCTCTTGTGAGGATGGGGTTTTATTATTCACATAGAGAATTAAAGCTTGGCACACCCAATCCTCGTCTGAGCCAAACTTAGGCCAAAAGACTGAAGGCTGATGAATGGGCTCTTTGGCCCAGATAAAACAGCAATACTTTATCATTTTTTGCTTTTCCTTGTCCCTGGTTCAAGGGTTAGCCCTTAAAAACCTGCAGCATTTTCCTTAATGGACTATTTGGGAGAATGTTAGAGGGTGTCTTTTTAGTTCCCTCTTTTGTTGGGCAGGGGCTTTAGGTGTTTGTTTAGGGTTGTCTTGGTGCATTTTGTTGCAGCCCACAATGCATTGCAATCCTAGTTAGCTTAGGGGCTCTTCAAGTATTTGACTTATGACCTAAGTAGCTGGGCAAGCTGATAAGAACAGACAAAAATGAGCTATTTTGCAGTCTAGTAAACTTTTACCTTAGACTAAACTTCTTTGGTCTGAGTGAGGGAAACTAAGTGGGGGGACCTGGTGGGGAAGGGGAGACCAACAAGCAGGCATTAGCTATCCAAGCAGGGGCCTAGTATATCCTGTTTCTTCTGTAGTTTGCTGACCTAAGCTGATTTAAGAAACTTTGTCTTGGAAATGGACCACTGTATACATTATTTCCTTCAGGAGAAAAGGCAACAAGGTGGCAGATCTATCCTGGCCTGGGGATTCAACCACGCCTTGGCAGGCCTTTCAGGCTTTGCCAGAGACCTTGAAAAGCACTGAGCACCTTCTCTTCAAGCAGTGAAAAAAGTGGGCTGTACCTATCCTACCCCTGGCTGGTCACCCATTCCATATGCATAGCCCAGCCCTAAATCCTAGAGATTCTCTCCCAGGACAGTATGTTGGCCAGATCCCCCAAATGAAGAATACTGGGGAAATGTGTAGAGTTTTCGTGTATTCATTCAGTGACTATTTATTAAATGTCTCCTCTATGCCAAGCACCAGGCATTGAGGAAAAGCAATGGACAAGAGAGACACAGTCACTGCCCTTGTGGACAGTGGGTCTCTGGAGGAAGTCAGAAAACCAACATGTCCCAGTCAAGTAGGATGAGCATTGTTCAGCTGTTCCATATTACATGTCCCCCAAGTGCAAGATAGGTTCTGTGGAAGGCAGAAATATAAATTAGCAGAGCCGTGGAGGGAGGTGAGGGAAAAAGCTAGATCTACTATGATAGGAAACATCCCTCCCATTCACTACTGGAGAAAAGCCTAGAGATTGTGATCTTTCTTGTTTTTCACCCTAAAACCAAAACATCAGGGCACTTTCTGACCTGCATGGCTGGCTCCCTCTCACAGACAAATATGCAGAACTGGCCCCAAATATGAAGAAGCAGGAAAATCCTCTCTTGGGGGCACAGTGTCTGGCTGGTACATAGGAATGTTTAAGGAGGGTGGAACCAGAGAAGGCTGCCAGGCATGCAGTGTGGCCCCAGACCAAGGACTCCCCTGCCCAGGCATGCACCCTGCAATGGCCATGGTGCCTGGAATTCTACTGAAAGAGGTTCTCTTCGGGGTCTCATTTGTTGCTCCTGAAAGAACTGTTCCCTCAGCGTCTTTGAAGATGGAGGAGTTGGCAACAGCTGGAGAGGAATGCCATTGGTGGGACAGCCCACCAGGAGATGGGGAGCCAGGTTTAGAAGGAGAAATTGTTGGACCCCAAGGCAAAATTTGGCTACCTCAGATTTTACCAGGAGCCAGCAAAAATTTCTAATCCAAGAGATAATGATTTCACCAGCTCTGAGATTTCAGATGGAAACTACCCCAGGTTCCTGGACTGAGAAAGTTCCTGAAATGTGGGGCTTTCAATGCCCAAACCAGGAAATCCCAGCAAAATGAGGTGACTAGATTCCCCAGCAGGGAGTGTTGATTTGTCTCTCACTGGGGTGTGTGCATGTGTCTGTTTCCAGTGTCAGGCACCTACGATGCAACGATCCTGGATGCCAACCTTCCCTCCCATGTGTGGTCCTCCACCCTGCCCGCGGGGTCCTCCATGGGGACCTATCACAACAACATGACAACCCAGAGCTCATCCCTCCTCAACACCAATGCCTACTCTGCGGGATCAGGTACCTGGCGGGCAGCCCACACCCTCTCTCACCCCTGAACTCGGCATGCCTCTATCCTGGAGCTGGATGACCCTCAGAATGTTTGCCATCCTCAGGGCCTCCTGGAGAGGCTTTCTGTGGCCAAACATCCCAGGAGATTCCCCCTGGAACTTCAGTTCAATTCAATCTAGAAGGTATTGCTTCTGGTGCGTCCCCTTTAGAATATATAGCACGGTGTATCAGGAAAACTGGAAAGAACACTGAAAATGGATGTAGGAGATCTAGTTTCATTTCATATGAATTGACGGTGGAGCCTTGAATAAGTCATTTGACTTCTCTGAGCTTCAGGGACCATCTCTGTAAAGTGGGGTCACTCACAAGAGAGCCTTTGGCTGGACCCACTGTCCACTCCAGGTTTGACAGACCTGAGATCACCTGTTGGCTGTGACCCAAGGTGCAGTGCAGGCTAGTGTTTCATTCTCTGCTGCAAGGCAAGAGCCTGTTTTTCCTAAAAACAAAAATTTACCAAAATATAAAAACCCAATCCTGGCATTTCTTCTGGTGCTTCTGTGGTATCCAAATCTCTATCCCTATCTGGGCCAGATGTCCCTCTCACCAGCCTTCCTCCTTGCCCCTGCAGTCTTCGGAGTTCCAAACAACATGGCGTCCTGCTCACCCACTTTGCACCCTGGACTCAGCACATCCTCCTCAGGTCAGTGTCACCATCTTGAGATGACTTTTCCAGGCTATTTGCATAGAAGTGTTAGGATGCTTCACCCAAGAGCATGAAGGCCTTTCTTCCATGCATACTGCAGCTCAGAAGCAGAGGCACAGGGTTGCACAGAACCTGCCTTCAACCACAGGGAGAACTCAGACCCCAAGGGAAAAGTCTCAGGCGAGGGGACGTGAGCCCACATTGACGTGCGTATTCTAAGGTGGCGCCTTTATTTTCTGGAAGAGTTGGAGGATTGGAAATGAAGGGTCTAACGGAATCATCGTGTAGGACATTTTCAGGGTAAAGGCATTGTTAATTTAGAAGGATTTTATTTCAGATCTTTTAAAGAAAAATAGAATTCATTGAGTAACTACTTTCAGATCTTTCTATAAATATAACACATAGTTTGTTGGAGTAACTATATTGGGGTAAATAATGTTACTGCTTATCTTCCAATGCAAACATAACAACAATTTTAAAGAAATATTTATTTGCTATGTTTCCACATACATCTTAAGAGCCTATATGTAAATATTACCAGCCTACATCTTTTCTTTTTAAAGGAGTCTGCCTTCTCCATGTGATAATGTGACTAATAAACATAATGATGTGGGCCTTGTTTATTTACTTGACTGATATAGAGGCAAGTACAAGTTTTGCATTCAGATTTTCAGCACCTTCCTCCAGTTGACTAGAGGCCCACCAAATCCAGAAGACATTGGCTACATGTTTTATTTCTTCTGCCTTTGCTATTTTGCTTTGCAAAGTCCTGATAAAAACCAGGTCCCAAGGGAAGGTGGGCTGATACCAGATCCTTGATATTGTGCCCTAAATAACAAAGCTGCTGGCCAGGAGGAATAAGCTTCTGCACGTTGTTGAAAACAAACAAACAAGCAATCAAATAAACAAGGAGCCTTCGAAACCATAGTGGAGGTGGGGGAGTTTTATGTGTTTGTGTCAGGAGAAGGAAGGGCTAACGGGAATACTAGGAGTCTGCCAAGTTAGTGCCTCTCAGCACCCGAGGTGTCTGTGTCCATATCCTAAGCTTACAGTTCCCACACTGTGCACCAAGGCACCCCAGGGTGTCACAGGAAACAGGGAACCCCTATGATATTTTAAAATTTTGAGAGATCTGTCAGCAACATCTGTCAGACCCTGTGCAAACTACTGCTTTTAACTTGGATGGACCTAACTACGTAATAAGTAGAACTGTTAGTAATATTTGGCCTGGGGTAGGTAGGTGGGGGTATTAACAAATTTACTACGTTACAAAGAGTGTGGGAACCGAGGAAGTTTGGGAATCTGTTGGCAAAACCATTGATCATGAAAGTGGTTTGGGACTCTGGGGGCCGTCCTAAGCCAGGGGGCATCCCCCGTGCTCCCTGTACTCACCTGACCTTGGTTGCTTTCACAGTGTTTGGCATGCAGAACAATCTGGCCCCCAGCTTGACCACCCTGTCCCATGGCACCACCACCACTTCCACAGGTCAGTAGGCTAGGGTTGGAGCTTAGGCGCTGGAAAGTGACACCTCTTTGCAGCTACAACTCACTGAATTAGGAGACCCAAAATGTCCCTGAAAATCAGTCGACCTTTCCCACCAAAGACACAACACTCAAGATATCAATCTTGATCATTAACTGGCTCAGACATGAGTCAAGCACACAGGGAAGGCTGTCCTGTCAACAGCATCACCTTGTAAGGCATCACTTGTATGTTCCTGTGTCTCTCACAGCCAAACTGGTTAGGTTGGTGGTCTTGCCAGCTCACTGCTGTCCTTGACAGCCCACTGTCACTGCAAATCAATCATCTGGTTGATTTTATGGTGCACCCCCTACAGGTTGCCACCGCTGTGCCAACCTGGGGGTGACTGGGGACATGAAACCTAGGTCAGCCTTTGCCTCCAACTTGCCTGCTACTTAATTGGAAGAGAAAGTCTAACACACATGAGACAACGAGAGGCTCTATAAGACAATGGGAATAAGTGATAGGCCATGCAGAGCAGGTGTTAAGGGCTGTAGGAGTTCAGGAGAGAAGGAGATGCATGGGGGTCTAGGAGGACTTCCTGGAAGTAGCTAGAAGGATGAGGAGGATTATACCTAAGAACGTTCCATCTAAACCCTCATTACTGTCCCCATGGCTGGAGAGAGTTGATTCATCATCTGCTTCTCACTGGAGAGGGTCGGGGGTACCTCTCTGCCAGGGCTGATCAGGCTTCTCCTGAGTCACCTGGAACCACCCTCCCATGCTGACCCAGCTTCCTTTCTTGCAGCATATGGGGTGAAGAAAAACATGCCCCAGAGTCCTGCGGCTGTGAACACTGGCGTTTCCACCTCCGCCGGTGAGTGCTGCTCCCAGCTGCCAGGGTTCAGGCTGGTGCACAGGGAGGATTACTCTGCAGTAATCCTGCCTGTGTATCCTTCCAATACACATGGTATACTGGAAGAGGAAATAGGACCCATGAGTGGTCTTAGGCCTGCAAACGCAACTTGCCCCAAAGGCCTCTTGGATGTTTCCATGAGTGAATAAAGGTGAACATTCCCATGAATGTTCCTATCAGAAGGGGGCAGGAAGCTCCACCCTCCATACCTGCCTAGGGCCAGGCACTTGCACATTAGCCACTGCCCTTGACTGGAAGCCTTTGGCCTTCACCTGTTACATGCAGCTCATGGAGCCCTCAGAAACTGCTGGCACCCTCCCTGCTTTCTACAAAATCTATATCAACTTTGTCCACATATTTCAGCACCATACAGTGAGCTGTTTCCTCCATTGTTCTAATCCTAGTGTGTTGTCTTCCATTCAACAATTCATTTATTGGAAAGCCTTTACTGAGCACCTTCTTTGTATTAGATGGACAGTGTTCTAAGTGCTGACAGTACAGCAGTGAACACGACAGGATAGATTCCTGCCTTCACTAAGCTGATGTCAGTGGTGGAGGCAGACGACAAACACATAAAGTATGCAAGATAATTACAGAAAAGGATACAGATTATAAGGAAAGCAATAAGTAATGTGGTAGAGATAGGAGTGTGTGTATGAGGGTGAAGTGCTTTAGATGGGGTAGTCAGCTAAAGCCTCCTCAAGAAGGCAACTCTTAAGACCTGGAGGATAAAAATGAACCCAAGTTAGTTAAGGAAGGACTTACCTGACTGGGGGACTTTTACCCATTCAATAAAGATCCTATAATCTCCAGGAGGGGAGGCAGCCCCCATAAACCAGCCATCCAGAGCTTCTGACATTGACCCAAACTCTTGGTGGCCAGGCCCAGCCAGGCATAGAGGGTGTCCTTGGTCCCCAAGATGCTTCATAGTAACCACTGTCAGCAAGAACAAGAGACCCTCATACACACCTGCTAATTTACCTCCCTCCTCCTTCTCTTTCTTCTCCTTCCTCTTCTTGTCTTTTCTCCCCTCTCCCTTCTCCTGGCACATGTCCTTCCTTCTTACCCATTTTCTTTCTCCCCAGCCTGCACCACAAGTGTGCAGAGCGATGACCTTTTGCACAAGGACTGCAAGTTCCTGATCCTAGAGAAAGACAACACACCTGCCAAGAAGGAGATGGAGCTGCTCATCATGACCAAGGACAGCGGGAAGGTCTTTACAGCCTCCCCTGCCAGCATCGCTGCAAGTGCGTCAGATCCTGTGTGGCTTGGGTTTCAGAAGAAAGCCAAATAGTGTAGGAGACCAAATGTCCTAGCAAGGTGGTTTGGGACCCTATGAGTCATGAAACCATAGCCATCCCATTCTAATGAAAAGCACCTGTCTGAATAGTATGTTCCAGGGTCTGCCTTGAATGCAGATGAGCTGAGAAAATTCAGGCAAAGAGCTCTCAGAGAGGCATTTGGGCGACAGCAAGTCTAACCGCAAACACAGATCAGGGGAGATGAACCCCAGGAAAGAGGGGCTCTTCTTACCAGTCTAACCTAGACCTTCCCAAGCAGGGTAGTGGGCAAGGGCGGGGGGAACACAGGACAGAGTTGAGAGGTTGAGAAGAGAATATGCCAGGTTATAATGGGTTCTGTACATAGCTTCTTTTTCAGAAGACACCCTAAAAAAAGAAAAGCAAGCTGCCTACAATGCTGACTCAGGCCTAAAAGCCGAAGCTAATGGTAAGAACAAATATGATTGTTGTCCACCTTGACTTCAGCCAGGCCACATTTCATTTCATTGTCTTCGGAGACCTTGCTACTCAAAGTGTGGTCCACGGGCCAGCAGCATCAGCCACACCTGGGAGTGTGTTATAAAAGCAGGATCCCAGCCCTAGCTCAGATCTGCTGAGTCAGAAGCTGCAGTTCAACAAGCTTCCTAGGTGATTTGCATTTGCATTACTGAAGCAAAAGCCTGCCTCTGCCATGTCTACGAAGGCATTTGTTTTCTCATTTTACTTTTTCTCCATAATCTTCAGAACTAATAGAAAAATGCTTTGCAAAGCAGTTGTTAGCTTTATTTTTTTTTCTTCCCAAATATCTGCGTTCTTTGTCTGATAACCACATTTCTTGACGATGCCCTATAGGAATCTCTCCAAATCACTGATTTCAGGGAGGTCAGTAAAGGAAGGAAAATGTTAAGTCATAGAACATTTTCAAATGAATGCCAATCAAATCAGTTATCACTTTAACAAGGTGAGAGATTGGAACCTGACTGTAAGTCTTTAAAGTTAGCAGTTCCTGACATTTTAGGGGTAGGTCTAGGGCTGTGGAGTCAAAAGATCCTTTTCAGAATCTGATGAAAGGTATGAACAAATTGCCGAGTAAATTCTACACATGCCCACAAACACTCAACTTTCTTTTTCTTTTTTTGTTTTTTTTTTTTTGAGACGGAGTCTTGCTCTGTTGCCCAGGCTGGAGTGCAGTGGCATGGTCTCAGCTCACTGCAACTTCTGCCTCCCGGGTTCAAATGATTCTCCTGCCTCAGCCTCCCAAGTAGCTGGGACTACAGTCATGTGCCACCACATCCAGCTAATTTTTTTGTATTTTTAGTACAGACGGGGTTTCACCATGTTGGCCAGGCTGGTCTCGAACTCCTGACCTCGTGATCTGCCCGCCTCGGCCTCCCAAAGTCCTGGGATTACAGGCGTGAGTCACCGTGCCTGGCCTAAACACTCAACTTTCAAATAGCATCACGGACTCAGGAACAATCCTCCTCCAAGCTCATCCTTCTCATTCCCAATTCCTTCCACCCCAGGTCAGGAACTTGTGTTCAGAGTCCCTTAACCAAGAAATCAGAGTCATTTCTCACAACCACACTTATTGTTTGAATGCAAGCGGCACCCATAACTTGGTGTTCCAAAAATGTTTTGAGGTGTTAAGGTTTAAGGTCATAAGAGAATTAAAACATAGTGCTTTCTTCCACCATTAATTGTTTGCCAAGCCATGTCTTCATGGATGTAATTATCGCAAATATCAGATTAGTGAGGACTGAGATGCTGGATGTTCCTGCACGTCGTTGAAAGCAAGTTTATTAAGAAAGTAAAGGAATAAAAAAATGGCTACTCCATAGGCAGAGCAGCTAGCTCCTCCAGTTTAAAAGCTCAGGTCAATCTGTTTGTCCTTTCAGGAGACCTGAAGACTGTGTCCACAAAGGGCAAGACCACCACTGCAGGTGGGTGAGAACCGCGAACCCTGCAGTGACAGGATCCAGTGGGGCTGCTTATGGCTAATGGACCAGATGATGGTCCCTCGCCTGGAAGCAGTGCAGTGCACAGAAGCCACCAGACTCTAAAGAGTTTCCCTAAAGGCTCAGAAGGGAGCAGGGTGGGGGTCAGGGGAGTGGCAGGCTGTGGGTCAGAGGTGGCCGCAGAAGGAGCTTAGCTCAGGGGATGAAGCTAACAGGCCCCCCGCCCCCAGCTGCCCCTAATTAACACTTGTTAGTTAGGTTGTCTCCTAACACAACAGGGTGACTGTGTCTTTACACAGCAGCTCAAGAAGAGACTAAGCCATGCACGCCTCCAGCCCCTTAGCCTTTCCTCATTTCCTTCCACCGCCGTGTGATAGAAGCAGGTCAAGTCCTACCACCCCATTTTAGGGAACTAAAAACACTTTTCATTACAAAAAACATTGTTTTAATTCACTAGGCACCCCTGAAGAGCTGAGTATAATTCTAGGCACTGTAAGGATTAAAGAAAGCACTGTGTGAACTGAGGCATGGAGATGGGAACGCTCTAGGTTTGGGCCCAGTCAGATGCAGACCAATGCTATATTCAAAATAAAGATGTTTAAGCCTCGTGCTGTGCTGCTAACTCCTCTACTATTTTACATTCCTTGTCCTATTTCATTCAACAACCTTCCCAAGAAGGAGGCAATCTTTTAACCCCATGTTATAAAAACGGAAACAAAGGTGAAGTGACCTTCTCAGGTTCACACAGCTGGAGCCAGGATTGCCAGACTTCTGGTCAGCACCAGTCAGGCCCTGTGCTCAGTCCAGGAGCCAGCCCTGTCCTGGGTGGAACAGCACAGGAACTTGAAAGCCCCCAGTCGTAGTCACTCAGGCCAGAAAGTCACCAAAAGTCAGAGAATCTGGAGGGAAAAGGCAGGAGCTGCCTGCATTTGCTTCATTTTCCCTGTCTCTTTCACAGATATCCACAGCTACGGCAGCAGTGGTGGTGGTGGCAGTGGAGGAGGTGGCGGTGTTGGTGGCGCTGGCGGCGGCCCTTGGGGACCAGCGCCAGCCTGGTGCCCCTGCGGCTCCTGCTGCAGCTGGTGGAAGTGGCTGCTGGGCCTGCTGCTCACCTGGCTGCTACTCCTGGGGCTGCTCTTCGGCCTCATTGCTCTGGGTACGTGGCAAAGGCAGCAGGGCAGCCTGTGTGGTAGGAGGCAGGCCAGCCCCACTGCCTGTCAGAAGGGCAGGAATCTGTGAATGGGCCCACGTGTTAGGGGGCGAGGGGACCTGAATGCATTGGTGCAGACCCTTGTTACCGCAGATGAGTAAACTGAGGCCCCAGGAGGTACCTGGCCAAGGACATGCTGCCACTTAGTGGTGGAGCTGAATTTGGATGCAGCGCCTGATGCTCAGCCCCACCCTTGCTACACCTGTAGGCCCTGGTCTAAGCACCTGGCTGCCCTTGGTAACAAGGTCAGGACTTTCTTAGCCTTTTTGACTTTTGCTGTTTCCAAGCAGCCATATCTATTTCTTTTCTTTCTTTTCTTTTTCTTTCTTTTTTTTTTTTGAGACGGCGTCTCGTTCTGTCGCCCAGGCTGGAGTGCAGTGGTGCAATCTCGGCTCACTGCAACCTCCGCCTCCTGAGTTCAAGCGATTCTCCTGCCTCAGCCTCCTGAGTAGCTGGGACTACAGGCGCATGTCACCACACCTGGCTAATTTTTTGTATTTTTAGTAGAGATGGGGTTTCACTGTGTTAGCCAGGATGGTCTCGATTTCCTGACCCCGTGATCTGCCCCCCTTGGCCTCCCAAAGTGCTGGGATTACAGGCTTGAGCCACCGCGCCTGGCCAGCCATATCTATTTCTATCAGCTCTCACACCACCTCACAGGGAGAGTGAGGACAAGCTTTGTCACCCAGCTCAGATGAGAAGACTGACTCCCAGGCCAGGTTTCTTTAAGGCTCTGCTGTGATGCTGAGCAGCTAATCCTGCTGGTGGCCACGGCAGATTATCTCTGCATGAGTATTCTAGCATGAAGAAGCCACCACAGGCCCCAATCCCTTGTGTCAGGCTCTCCACTAGGAGCGAGTGTATGGAAGGCGAAGGACCGGGCCCTCAGTGACGCAGTGTGTGTCTGTTTGTTGCAGCGGAGGAGGTGAGGAAGCTGAAGGCGCGTGTGGATGAGCTGGAGAGGATCAGGAGGAGCATACTGCCCTATGGGGACAGCATGGATAGAATAGAAAAGGACCGCCTCCAGGGCATGGCACCCGCGGCGGGAGCAGACCTGGACAAAATTGGGCTGCACAGTGACAGCCAGGAGGAGCTCTGGATGTTCGTGAGGAAGAAGCTAATGATGGAACAGGAAAATGGTGAGAGCATCGCCGGGCACAGGGCCAGCTCCCCTGAGTCCCTTTCTTCTTTGCATCTATGTGGTATGTGTGCATGTGCTGTGAGCACCATCATCCGGCCCACTCTCGGCCTCTCTCCTCCCCTGATCCTCTCAATAGCGCTGAGAGGTAGGTGGGACCAAGACTGTGGTCCCACTTTACTCCTGGAAAAACTGAGTTCTGGAAAGAATAATTGCTCAAGATCACTGGACTAGCCAAATTTAGAATCTGATCTCTAGTCTTTGCCTCAGTTTCTTCTTCCCATACCATGATCCCCTTATTGTGTGTGTGTGTGTGTGTGTGTGTGTGTGTGTGTGTGACAGGAGATGTGAAGCTGACTCAGGATTTGCTTTTTCTTGCAGGAAATCTCCGAGGAAGCCCTGGCCCTAAAGGTATTGCCATGGATTGAACCTTGTCTCTGATTCATTTCCTGCAGTTGGAAGTGAGTTTTCTGGGTAGATTAGAAGCCTTTTTCTTTGTTCTAAATGGAAGGATGAAGAGCTGAATGATCTTATGGTATCTGTTGGGAGGTATCTGTTGGTTTTAGAGTCAGAATATCTTAGATAAGGCAGCATCTAAGAGAAGCCCAGCAATGAGCCCAAATGACATAGACTCTGGGACTGGGAGGGACTCGCCGCATGTCGCCTCACCTTGAAATACAGTTTACATCTTGTCAAATGGTTTTAAAATACAAGGCAGAGTATGGCCTTTGGGTTCTTGCCCCATCTCACAGTTTTCATATCTTTCTGGTTTCAGGTGACATGGGAAGTCCAGGCCCTAAAGGTAATTATAACATGGGCATTTTTACCTTAAATATTAGCAAGTGTTAATTGTTTCAAACAATCAGCAAGTGTCAGAAAACCCACCTTGCACTCCAAGAAGTAATTTGACAACAGATGGGACAGGTGTGTGAGGAGGAGAGGTTTCCAATCCCAGGGACCTTTGGCTGGACACAGAGCAGTTTTCCTTGGTCCAGCTGACCGGGATTGGCGAGCTTCCCTGTGCACAGGAATCTCCAAAAGAGTTTGGGCCACATTTCCCGAGCCTTTGACTCAGGGGGTATGCATGTGGGCAGGAGTCTTTATCTTAGTCATCCACGGTGATTCTGCAGCCAGAAGAATACTGAGCACCACGTTCAAGATGACAGGATCCCACCTCTCTCCAGCTCCCTCCTCACTCCCTAGGCAACCCCAGGGCAGGAAGTCAGCTCCTCCACTTTGGGGCCCTCGAGTCTCTTCTTTCCCTTCAGATCCTTGCCACCCACACCCTCGCATATACCTGGGTCATTGTCCCAGCCCTCCTTCCCCAAGTCTCCAGCCCGCACACCCCTCCTGACCATGTTAGTGGTGGGGACTGATACTGCCAGAGTACCTGAACCTGCAGTTGTCAGATAAAATACAGGACTCCCAGTTAACTTTGAAGATAAACAACAAATAATTTTTCACTATAACTTGTCCCAAATATTTCATGGGACATACTTATAACTAAAACTATGTGTTGTTTATCTGCAATTCAAATGTAACTGGACATCTGCATTTTTATTTCCTAAGTTTGGCAACCCTACCTGAATCCCACTAGTGACTGCTTTGGGAATTGGGCACAGTCTTCTGGCTGACCACTCTCTCTTTTGCCTTTGTTCCTGCAGGAGATCGAGGGTTCCCTGGGACTCCAGGTATGTACTCTCTGATGACCTCCAGGCCTGCCAGTGTTGCAGCTGCTCAATCCTAGCTGATGGCTTCTGGGAGGAAAACAGGGGCTGAGATATCCTTGTGTGTTCACAGGTATCCCTGGGCCCTTGGGCCACCCAGGTCCACAAGGACCAAAGGGTCAAAAAGGCAGCGTGGGTAAGAAACACATTTTTCTTTATTCATTTATTCCTCATTCTTTCATTCATTTAATAAACATTCATTAAGTGCCTGCTGTATGTGAGGCCTTGTTTTAGGCTCTGGAGAGACACCAGTGAACCAAACAGAGAAACCCTGCTGTTGTGGAGCTGAGATTTGGGTTTGGGAGAAAGACAGTAACTGTGAGAAATAGTGAAGTCTATAGCAGTTTACGGGTGATGCACGACATGGGAAAGGAGAGCCTGGAGGGATTTTGGGAATGAGAGCTGGGGAGAGTAATTTTACACAGGGAAGCCAGGGAAGGCCTCCCTGAGAGGCCACCATTTGAGCAAAGATTCGAAGGGCAAGAAGGAGCCAAGCAGGAGAGATCTAGGGAAAACATTCCAGGCAGAGGGAGCAGCCAAGGCCAAGGCTCAGGCCCCAGGGCAATTTTTAAGGAGCATCAGGAAGGGGAAGACCTCTGAGCTGGAAAGTCCAAAGGGATGGGCCGAGAGGAGGCAGGCTGTGTGGGGCCTCAGAGGCCAGTGTAAGGACTTTGGCTTTGACTCTGGGTGAGTTGAGAAGCCATGTGCAGGTTTGGGGCAGAGGTAGAACATGATCTACTCACATTTTCAAAGGGTCACTCTGGCTTCCAGGTTGAGCCAAGGCTATGGGGTCCAGGAGAGAAGCAAGCAGGGAGGCCAGGGAAGGGCTCCAGGCAAGCGTCTGCCGTGGGAGGCTGCCTGTGGAGCCGTTAGCTGGGGTACGGGATCCTGACTTGGAGGCTGGCCATCCCTGTCTTTAGGAGATCCTGGCATGGAAGGCCCCATGGGCCAGAGAGGGCGAGAAGGCCCCATGGGACCTCGTGGTGAGGCAGGGCCTCCTGGATCTGGAGAGAAAGGGGAAAGAGGTAAGAGGCAATTCCTTCACCGGCAGAGTTAGCTATGCCTGTGCTTCCTTCTCTCTGTCAACACCCGTCCCTCCTTCACTCTGTCTCTGTTTCTCCCCCCTTCCTTCATTTACTGAGCACCCACCCTGAGTCAGGGTCTGTGCTAGGCCCTGCAGAGACGCTGGGCATAGGCTGGGCTACAGGGCCAGGCCTAGGGCTGAGAACCCATCTGACATCCCTGGAATCCACCGGGAAAGTGGTCACAGGAGCAGTGGCCTTCCTGGAGTTGGGTGGTGAGGGTGAGGAGTCAGGCCGAGGTGGGGCTCAGGGGGCAGGGCAGGGCAGAGTCAATTGTAAGGTGGAGTGGGGCACAGACCTTTGAGCCTTTCCTAGCTGGAAGGAGGCCAAGAGGGAGGTGGGGAAGGCCCCAGACATAGGTTCAGTGCTGGAGAGGCTGGGGAAGGTGTTGCAATTCCATCCTTAACTATGAGACTGCTTTTGTCAGGGGAAACCAAGACAGATACCAGAAGTCCTCTTAATGCTAACAGACTGTGAGCAGGAAGCTTTATTTTCAGCTTTACTTTCTCTTTAAAATATTGCTCAACCAGACAATAAAATTTATTGAGTGCCTACTAGGTGTCAAACTCCATAGACTATAAAGTCTCTGGGGGTAGAAGCTAAGGAGTTTTGCTGATAAGTGGCCTCACTGGGGCACCAAATGGATCCAAGACCACTAGCAGGGTGGGAAGCATCCCCTCCAAATGACAGTGCCAGGATAGGGGGCAGCCACACTGGGGCCTCTCCCAAAGTGCTCATCCCTCCATTTCTCCTCAGGGGCTGCTGGTGAACCAGGTCCTCATGGCCCACCTGGTGTCCCAGGTTCTGTGGGTCCCAAAGGTAAGTCCAGTGTGCAGGAAGGAATCAAAGTTTTCCAGAGGAGAAGCCACATTCAGGATGGATCACAGAGAAGAGGCCCTGGGACCCCAGACAGCCCTAACCCCCTGCCCCAGGCCTGTGCAGGGGTGGTGGGTGGGTCCAAAGAGCATCCCCCAGAAAAGCAGTCCCTGGGGAGTCAAGACTAGGGCTGTAAGTTTAGCCCCATAATGGGCTTGGGGCCATGTTTCCATCTCTCTTCAATGGCCCCGTTATGTGATCCCTAAGTGGGTGGATGGATCATTCAGGAAATCAGAAGTTAGACCATTTCCTTGACTGACTGCGGCCCAGATGCACACACCAAAAGTAACATGTCTGGGCAACCCAGGGAGAATGGGCCCCTTCTCAAAACCCAAATGTTCTACTGCCCCAGCCCAAATGTTCTACTCTGACCAGGAAAGAGCAAAGGGTAGTTTGATCCCACCCAGCTGCACCCCCTCCCTAAGGAGGACATGCACTGGGGTCACCCCTGGCCTGCAATACACTCACACAGCCCTCACCTGGAAGACAGCGTCCCTAACCCCCACCTGCCCTGCACCGGGGCCAGATGTCCCCACCTGTATCTGCCCCTCTGCTGATTGCTGTCTTGTCCTCCTTCTCAGGTTCCAGCGGCTCTCCTGGCCCACAGGGCCCTCCAGGTCAGTTTGCTGCTTCTTGTAAATAGGTTCTGTTTCCAGGGCAAAGGTGGCAATGTTAAAAGGAAAACCAAATATTTTTAAAGCCAAAGAAGCAATTATAAAGCAAGCCTCCTAGAGATATAGAATTCAAGTCTGCATGTGTGTCTCCTGTGGCAGAGGTTGGGCTCCCTGATATGTCCTGTCCAGATCCCTTCTGACCTGGCTTAGGGCTTGAGACCCTCCAGCAGCTTCAGCAATGGAAGTCCCCATCCTGCCTCCATCTGAGCAAGCACCTGCCTCTCTCTTGTCCCCTATGGCCACAGAGCTTGTCCTGCTGTCTTGAGAATCTTGAGCTGTGGCCAGTGCCTCTGCCAAGACTCGACAATGTGTTCTAATGCCTGTTCATCAGCAGAGGCAAGGAACCTGGGCCAAAATGACTTAAAAAGGACTTGGGAAGGAGTCCATGGAAAGCATCCTTTGACTTTTACTATAGGGTGTGTGCATATGTGTGCCTGTATGTGTGCATGTGTGTGCATACATGTCTCATCATTCCAAAGCTAGGGATACTCATCTGTGTGCATGGTTTCTTCTGCCGGGCAGGTCCTGTAGGTCTCCAAGGGCTCCGAGGTGAAGTAGGACTTCCTGGTGTCAAAGGTAAGCTGGAGGGAGGCCTGGGGGGACAGTGAGGGTCTGATGGACACGACCCACAGCCTATGCAGGCTGACAAGTGCAAGAGGGGAAGAAGAAGTCAGGATTGAGGGAGCCTGTCTTCAGAGACAGACATTGCCCCTTCCTGGTTGTCCCTTGTAGGGCATTTTACACCAAGGTGTCCATTTCCTTTTTAGGTGACAAAGGACCAATGGGACCACCAGGACCCAAAGGTATGCCACTCACTGCTGCTCTGTCATTACCAGGGCCTGCCTCACTCCTGGGAGCCCAGATGGGACCCTCACTGTAGGGTCTGAGGGTGCACAGGACCTGGACCAAGATCTCATTCTAATCCAACCTCTCAGATAGGGAAACTGAGGCACAAAGAAGGGAAACAAAGCACTAACATCACATTGAATTCTGGGGTGGTGAGTGTTTCTCGGGGTGGTGAAGACACAGAATTCCAAGGCATCTGACCTCTTGTGTCCATGGCACCAATTTGTGCAACAGCAGGGGCTGGGGAGTCAGTTTGTAGGGGGGGAACTGACTCTGCCAAAGATCAGATGTGCTCCTTTGGCTGCATTAATGCTGTGTCCTCACCAACATCCGCTGACAGGAGTTCACGGATACAGTGAGAACTACCCTGCAGCCGGGGACCCTGTTACTGGGTGAGAGTGTTTTCCTTGCTCACAACTGTGGCTTTTTCCACCTCCCCCTTGTTTGCTTTAGGTGACCAGGGTGAGAAAGGACCTCGAGGCCTCACAGGTCAGTCTGTCATGGGAATCTACTTTAATCTATCCACGACTTTTGTAAATCCATCAGTCACTAGGTTGGAAAAAATCCAGAAGTAAGAGACCGAATCTGTTTAAAACCCTTCAGGGAACTTGTGATCTAGAAAAAACACAAGATGAGAAAATAAAGCCTGGAGTGGAGGATAAGGAGGTATCCAGATGTATAGTCCAAACAGTAAATGTTTGGAGCAAAAAAGAAAGTGTAGGATTGTCTCTGATTCTTTTGGGGAATACAGTTGAGAAAATTAAGCTCTTCCCGAAGCAGCAGAAAGTTTGCACCCCGGTATCCTCTCAACCACTGACCTCCTGCCAACTGGCATGATTATAAAGGAAATTGACAGTGATAAAGCTGTGACTCAAGGGGTGGTTTTCAGTTTCCAAGGAAATAAGACTCATGCACATGCCCATGATTCTGATTAGGTGTGGTTTCTGGTTGAGCCCATGCCACTTCCCAGGGGTTCCAAGTGGCCCTGACCTTGGAATCAAAGCAGAAGCTGCTTCCTTGACCTCTTGGAGGAGGGAGCAGACCACCATTGTTAAAGCATACACAGCTTGCAAGTGTCCAACCAGCTAGTTCTTTGTCCTTTGCAGGCGAGCCTGGCATGAGAGGTTTGCCTGGTGCTGTTGGTGAGCCCGGGGCTAAAGGAGCAATGGGTAAGTGTTCCAAAGGAATGGATTCAGTGAGTTCCCCATCTGAGGGGTCACCACGACCCTGGAGAGATCCGTCTTCTAGAGCTGCCTCTCCTACTCTCTAATCTGCCCACTCCTGGTAGAGTCTCCCTTGACCAGTCATTTCTGTGTCTGGGCATCCTTTCTGGGGATCAGAGAGCTGCAGGTACCTCTGTGGGTTTCTTTCCACTTTGGGAGAGGCCTTGCAGGGCATGGTCCATTCACCTAAGAGCTGCCTGTGAGCTCCCCACTCCCCTGGGGAAGACAGTGTTGAAGTCCTTAGGAGCCTCAAGTGTTCCAGGAATCCCAGGGCTAGTCTCATGGCCAAATCCAGGTTTTTACCCTTTTGTTCACCTGAGGTGCCTGTCAGCCTGGCTGCAGAAACTGACCAAGAATCTCAGAGGTAGCCAGGTGCAGTGATTCACGCCTGTAATCCCTGGGACTCAGGATGATCGCTTGAACTCAGGAGTTGGAGGCTGCAGTGAGCCATGATTACACCACTGCGCTACAGTCTGGGTGACAGAGCAAGAATTCATCTCTCAAAAAAAAACCAAAAAAAAAAAAGACCATGTTGAGGATCAAACCCAAGAAGGGTTTAAGCCTTACCTGTGGAGATGCAGCATGTGTACTCTCGTTCACTTCCCCAGCTGTGAGTGCTGACACTGTGCTAGGCAAATGAGATGCTTTACCTCCCTCAAGGGGAGATAAGACTTGCATGAGGTGACAAGTGTCACGCAAGGTACAGAGTGCTGTGAGGATACAGTCAAAGGAGAGATTTCTTCCAATAGGAAGGACGGAGGAGGGGGCATTTCAAGTGGTCCCAAAAAGTTGGAAAGATTTTAAGCATGACCAGTCTGGAAAATTCCATGCAGGGATGACAGCACGAGCAGGGAAAGACAAAGAAATGGGAAAGAGCAAGATATGGTCCCAGAAGGCCACCATTTTGGAGAGAGGTTACAATAATGCCTAGAGCAGAGGAGACAAGAACATGGAGGACCTTGACTTCTAGGCCCTCAAGTAAACGCGACAAGCATTGAGCATCGAGGCGCTTGAGATGCAATGGGAAGGCACTGAACAATTCTCAACAGGAAAAGAGACAATTGCTGGTTTAGGAGAAGGGGCAGTGGGAGTACCGTATCCAGAGAGTGTGACAGACAGGGCTGTCCCGTGGCTGATGGCTGCGTGGGCTCCTGGGACACAATGTGCTTCAAGGCCACTGGGACAGTAGAGGGAGGAATCGCAGAAATCACTCCAGGAGCAACTGAGAGACCTTGCTTCTACTTTACCAGGTCCTGCTGGCCCAGACGGACACCAAGGCCCAAGAGGTTGGTCACTCATCTGCTGCCCCCAGCCTCACTCCCGTCACAGCCCCTGTTCCAGCATGCAGCCCTCAGTCCCCTTAACCATAGTGCAGAGGAGCATATAGCATGTGGAAGTGTGCAGTGTCCAGTTCTGTTCCCCTTCTCCTTTCCACCTGCCAGCAAGTCAATTAGGAAAACCCTCAGAAACTATCAGTTCAGATGTGATAACCAGTTTAGCTTTCCTAAATGTAAACACTTCCACGTTGGCCATTCTCTCTCTAGGTGAACAAGGTCTTACTGGGATGCCTGGAATCCGTGGCCCACCAGGACCTTCTGGAGACCCAGGAAAGCCAGGTAACAGAGCAGGAAGAGGGAGCCATGGCCCTGCTTAGTGTGTGTGTGCTTTGTGTGTGTGGATGTAGGCATGTGTGTGCGTGTGCATGTGCAGGTGTGCAGGTTGTGGGGGAAGGGGTGTATATGTGCATGGTTGTGTGTGTGCATGCAGGTGTTTACAAATGCACCCATGTGTGCCTTATCCCGTTTTCCTCCAGCAGCTCAGCAGGGAACTGCCATAGTGTTAGGTTGTTTTGCGTGCAGTGGCTGTAGGCCCTGGCACCTCTGGGTAACTAAGTCTGGCAATTCAGAAGAGTGGGATTAACAGCTAAACATAAGGATTTCTAGAAAGGGGCAAGGACACTCTTAAAACTGCAGACTTGAAGGTCACCTCGCTATCTTGCTCCTCTGAGCCCTTCTCCTCTTGTCCTCCTCTCCTGTACTGGGCCCTCACCAACACCCACGAGGCCGAGGAGGAAGCCATTGTTAGAGTCTCCACCGAGAGCAAAGAGCAAACTTCTCAGGGTTGCAGGAAGAACAAATGAAAACCAGCCAAGAAAGCTGTGTGGTCAAGGCGGGTGGGCATTCATCGGGGGCCTCTGAGAGTAGGGGCCTCCTCAGCCTCCTTTGGCGGGTGCCCAGACAGGAGCCATAGAGGGGGAACCTGGGGCAGCATTGGGATCCGTGAGTGTTGAGCATTCCGGATTTGTGGCTCTCCTCAGATTCCAAAAGGGTCTGTGAACCCAGATAGGCTCAGCACCATTGCCTGAGAAAGTGGTGGGTCGCTTCACTGCAAAGCCCGAAGAACTGCTCTCCATCCAGAGCTGAGAGGTCCAAGGATGCTGGCTGCCCCGGCATGAGACGTGTCCTTCTGTACCCACTGACCCCTCCACTGCAGTGTCCACCGGTTTCTGCAGGTGTGGGTGTGGCTACCAGGGATGGCCTCCACCCTTCAACTCTTCCCTCTTGTGTCTGATTTTCTGCAGGTCTCACAGGACCCCAGGGACCTCAGGGTGAGTCGCTGGATCATTCCCACCTGCTGTCTCCCACCTTCTCCTGGGGTAACTGCTTGGGCCAGGGCTTTTCCTGCAGTCACCAGAGTTTCCTCTCCTCCACCAACTCCCTGGCACACACTCCCTTTCACTATGAGTCGTGAGAAGCACCTTAGGAAGGAAAAATAGGCACAGAACAATCTAGAACACCATTCGAGTAGAAATGAGATTAGATTGTGTGTCAATTCTGTCTGCCTGTGCCCTGTTCCCCTCGGGTGCAGGAATCTGAGAGGAACCCCAAGCTCATAGCTGAGCTCCCACTAGCCAGGAGAGCTGTTAGTCCAGAGGCCCAAGTTCCCCCACTGGCATGACAGGGCATGGGCGCTCATCCTTGTTCGGGAAAGCCCAGTTTCTCTGGGACAGCCTCAGTGTTAAAGCCTGTCCTGTAATTGGACCATTGTGCCCCCATATCACTACATTCATCCCCTAATTTCCTGAAAGAAATTAGGCAAAGATTGAAAATGAAATCAGGCAGCAGCCCCCCAGCAGTTGAATTCATAGGGACATGCTTCCAATGCTCTTACAGAGGAGTTCAGTAGTTAAAGGCAAGAGGGTGATGCTGCATTGGACTCAGGAAGCCGAGCCCCTCCCCTGCAGGGGAGAAGGGAGACAGAGGCTGCTCTGCAGGCTCCAGGTGGCTCATAACCCCAAGGGATGGAACCCTCCAAAACTGAGCCCATAGGCCTCTGCCTGCTCCAAGCCAAGCTGTTGCCCCATTTCCCAAAGAGGGACAAGGGCTCAGAGCAAGAGGCTCCCCGGGGTTGTCTAGACTAAGGCGGAAGGCAAAGCTGGTGCGTCCCAGGGTTTCAGTCAGCAGTGTGGCTGTGCTGAGTGACGGAGCACTAGTGACCACCCAAGGGTATCTGGAATTGCTGGGCCTTCATCGTCCTGACTACTTGTTCTAATCACATCAGGACTTCCCGGTACCCCTGGCCGACCAGGAATAAAAGGTAAGTGAATTTCCAAATGAGATTTCTTTCTTTTCACTGGCCATTTTTGTGGAAGGAAGGGATGGACAGGAGGAGGCCTCTCTCTGGCCAGAGCCTGGATCAACAGTGGCATCTAGTGGTTCTAGCAGAGGGCTATGAGGCTGGGAGCCCAGGGATTTGTGAACCAAGCCCAGTCCTCAAGCCCCACCCCTCCCCAAACACCTCCCCACCCCACAAACCTGAGCCTTGCTTTCATACTTGGATGTCTCCAGGCCACTGTTACAGGAGGTTCTAGAAGGGCACTGCCCTCCCCAAAGCCTTTCTGTGCCCTGTTTTGCCTCTAAATGCCCCCATTAGTGCTTCATCCCCCTGGTATGTAGGCTTGGTCCCCTCCTAACAAGTCTTTTCCCCTGGGGCAGGAGCTACCTTTGCCCTTATCATTCATATCAGCCTTGGTGTGAATGGCTACATCAGACCCTTCCTGAGAGGAGGCTTTAGTACAGGCAGAGAGGAGTGTTAAGATGCTACTGAGAGGGCAAGTCGGGTACTCAGAGGGGAGCTCATCCTCGGGGGTCTGACTGGGGCAATGTGGTGATGCCCATGCACACAGTGACCCTCTTGTCCAGTTCTGCCTATCAGACCTCAACCCCGAGCAAGTTCAGGGACCCACAGTGCTCAGGGATGGTCTTTGTCCTTCTGTTCCTTTGATTCCAACACGCTCCTGAACTTTGACATTCTATGGAGCTGTGCTCTGTCATGAGCAGTCACTGTCACTCTTGGTGGGACCCTAAAATAACCACTTTCCAGAAATCATTTCCAATGACTGATTGGGCCAAGGAGTTCTTTAGGGCTAACTAAATGTAATTCCAAAATAATGATAACTGAGTTTATAGGTCCCAGGCAGACCACACTAGGTCCGTGGATATGTTCACGAATGGATGGTACCTTTTGTAAGAGTCTCATAGGTTTTGGAATTCCCAAGAATAACAGAAACCTTCCCTTTTTGAGGGCCCGTGACTTCCAGTCCAAGGGGGAGTTCAGACCCTGCCTGGACAACATGCACAAGAGGGGCCATTTTACCGAACGTTGGATTGCATCCCAACAAAACAAACTCAAGTGCTTCTCCCGTCTTGTTCATGAGCCCTGGCTGAAGGATGGTGAGCAGAGACCATCCCTCTGCTTTCCTTTAGGGGAGAGAGCAATAGTCTCCTTTCATTGTGTGAATGACTGAATTGCTAACAGAACTTGAGAAATGAAAAAAGGGGCCCCTAAAGAATGGTTTCCCCAAGTGAGTCCGTGGATTGTCAGTTCTCAGCACTGCATCCAGTTGATACGTTTGGGAATGTCCTCTTCTCGAAAGTTCTCCACGCACACTTGTATTTTCAATGCTCTGAGACACAAGGCAGAAAAGAGATCTTGTTAACCTTTATATAACTCAGACCTTCTTAGACTTACCCACTGCAGAGCCCCCCTTTAATCCTGCACAGCCCCTACAACTGTCCCACAGAGCACTCTAGGAATCCCGCTCTACCTGGCGGGCTCATCGCCTCTGTCCTTTGACCTTTGAGTAATTTTCCCACCTAAGGCGATTCCCAGGCAGAGGTGGTGGAATGTGGGAGCATGAAGGACTCTCCAGTCAGCCCCATTCTGGGCTCACTGAAAGGCAAGCTTTCCACATCCTCAAGTGAAGCCACTTCTCTGAATGAAGACGGATGCTCTGGCCTCCAGGGACTCTGGCTGAAAGATTGGGGCTTAATGCATCCTGCTTGCCTTCCTTCAGTTCATTAAAATGCCTTTAGCCTGATGGTGAGAGGCCCAGAAGTGGGTCCCAAATGCAATCAGAAGCCTTGAAAATGGCTTATTGAGCCACTAATTGATCCTCAGAACAACCACTCTCAGCCTTTTCCTCTCTTCCTAGGTGAACCAGGAGCTCCAGGCAAGATCGTGACTTCGGGTAGGCAGGTCCTAGAGGGACCCTCCTTTCTGTGTCTTTCTTATACTGGGCACCTACCTTGACTCTGCAGCGTTCTGGGCAGGATGTGGCTGGGAGTTTTTTGGATCAGTAGCGGGGGAGGAGGGAAATTTAGCAGCGATGAGAAGAAGAAATGCCAGGCTGCCCACCACAACCTGGCTTGGGTCCCAGCGCCTCTGAGTGAGAAAAGTAGGGCTCAATGTTCCATGTGCCTTCTGTTTTCAGAGGGGTCATCGATGCTCACTGTCCCAGGCCCCCCAGGACCTCCTGGAGCCATGGGACCCCCAGGACCTCCAGGTGCCCCAGGTCAGTCTATTTTCTTGCTTTGCCCCAAATCAGCAATAGGTCTTGGCGGTAGTGACTCTAGCCATATTTCTTCAGATCCTGAAACCCAGGGCAGGAACTGAACCTGGTAAAGAGAATAAGGAGTTTGGCCTGAGAAAAGCAAACTCTTGCATTCTCAGACAATGAGGTAGATCAGTTATCCTACTTCACAGCATAGGAGGTGAATGTGCTCTCAGCATTTAGAGAAGGGGAGGCTGAGGCTTGGAGTGGGTAAATGACTTGCCCAAGGTCCCACGGCCAATAAGCAGCAGGACAAAGGATTTGGCCCAGATCAGTCTACCTCCAGAGCCTGTGGCCAATCAGAAGACTCAGTCCTTGAGCCCTTTGTTTCCTCCTGGAAAACAATTTGATATTCTGCATCCAGGGCAACAAAAATGCTAGGTATCTATTTGAAGAAAATATCTCCACATGGGATGGTGACAAAAATATGAAAACTTCTGAACAAAGTTGTTAGGAGATAAAACGTTTATTGAAAGAGCAGGACACTCACTAATGCCTGCTCTGTGGTTTCAACTGTATTAATACAAGATGCAAAAAAGAAAAAATGCTGGAAGAAAATAAAATGCCCACACATTGAAGAGTTATGGACAATTTGTTTCCTACCTTTCCAAAGTGCCTGTTATTTTGTTATATGTGTTTTTAATTATTTTAAATTTTTATGTACAAATGAAGTACACAACTTACCACAACCAAGGCCAGAATGTACCAGCCTTCCCTCCTGACAAGCTCCAGTGAGAAGGAGTACATAGAGGCATGTAGAAGTCCCTAACCATTACAGGACAGCAGCAGAGGGGGCAGTCCCGCCTGCCCCGGGGTCCCGGTGCCTGTCAGAGATGTTCTCACGCAACTGGACCGCAGGGCTGATCTCGAATTGCTTATTGCTCTCAAATAAGCAAGGTGGCCTCTTTGGGTCTCTGTTCCATGCCTTGGGAGGAATTATGCCTTTAGTTCTTCCTATGACCCTACATGCATGATTTAGCCTTTTCTTCCTCAACCCCGTTTCCAGGCCCTGCCGGCCCAGCTGGTCTCCCAGGACATCAAGGTATGTCACACCCTGCAAGAATGCAAAGCGATGGGCCCAGTCGGGAGGACTTTCCTCTCAGGGTGGACATGGGCCTCTCTGTTCTAGATGACGTGAAAGGTGTGTTTTGGAAAAGGAGGACAGGGCCAGGGCTCTTCACCGGGGTCTTGCAAGGTGATTCCCTGGGGCTTGGGGCAGCTGTCAGAGAAGTTCTGGGATTACAAGAGGACCAGGGGCAGACTTGGCCTTGAAGATGAGTATCTGGCAGGAGTGTACAGCTGACCCAGAGAGCAATGACAACCGTCTGTGGGTTCTCGGCTGCAGGCCCAGGCTGAGAGGACTCACTCCCGGGTCCTTTAAGGAGCCCAGGTGGAGACTGCCGGGCCTCCCACCTGGACATCTGGAGTGCAGAACAGCAGAGGCTTCAGCCCACCCGGTCCAGCGCTCACTCTGAGCTATCACTGTGTTAGGAGCTTGGTCTTCAGTGTTTCACCGAGTCTTCCCAACACCCCCGTGATGTAGATCTTTTTGACCTTGGTTTACAGAGGAGGAAACTGAGGCTGAAAGAGGTTGAGAACTTGCCCAAAGTCACCAGCTAGACGTGTGGGAGCAGGGGTTTGAACTCAGACTTTCTGACACCGAAATCCAATGTATCCCCATCATTCCACATGCTCTTATCAGCTGTCAGGGAGCTTGACTATGGTCCTGCCCTGCCTCTGAGTGAGGGGCACCCTTAGCAGATGAGGTGCTGCAGGCTCTTGTGCCATGACACAGGGCCTGGTGTCTGGGCTGTGAGGGTAGCCTGGAGTGCCTGGAACTGCAGATCCAGTGAGAGGTGAGAAGTGTGGCAGAGAGCAGCCTCGTGACAGCTTTTGCTCATTTCTATTTTCTTCTCTCTATAGAAGTTCTTAATTTACAAGGTCCCCCAGGCCCACCCGGCCCACGCGGGCCACCAGGTGAGTATCTTGGAGACCTTTGGAAGGTGGGGAGTTTGGGGGACAGGAGATTCAATGCACTTAGTGAGGAAGCCAAGATCCTCAGGGGTGGCATCAGCTCCCTGAGCTCAGCATGGCCTCTTCCTTGCTCTCTTCTGCAGGGCCTTCCATTCCAGGCCCACCAGGACCCCGAGGCCCACCAGGTGAGAGCCGAGCTTACCACTGGGAGGTGGGAGGGGGAGGTGAGAGGTGGGTAGCAATGGGACCCTGAGCCCAGGGCCCTCTGGGCTGGCTTATAGGAAAGAGCTTCCCTGCTGCCTCCTCCTGAGCAGAGGGTTCCTGGCTCCCCTCTTGGCACTAATAAGTCTTGGGGGTTCTCTTTCCTAGGGGAGGGTTTGCCAGGCCCACCAGGCCCACCAGGATCGTTCCTGTCCAACTCAGGTAATGTCAGGGAGTCAAGTCGCACCTGTTCTCCACCTCAGCCCTTGTCCTGCCACAGACTGTGGCCGTAGCCTTGTGGTCACAACCTACTCACCAGGCTTCCTGCTCCTGACTTCCATGGGGATATGTTTATATAATCTTCCTGCTTGCTGCACATGGAGGGAATAACCATGTCAACCCAACCACCCTGGTAGTCTGGCCTGAGGGAGGGAGCCAGCTCTGCCCTTGGGGAGCTTCTGGCCTAACCAGGGAGACCTGGTTCCTATCCTTGGGGAGCCCAGGTCTGATAAAGTAGGCAGGATACATGCGCGTGAAGTAAGTGCCGACCGTACAACATAGAAACTTGTGGAAATAACTTTAAAGCAAACATTAGGCCAGAACCTGTTCCTAGTGGAAAATCCATCCACCCATCCATTTATCCATCCATCTACCCATCCACCTATCCATCCATCCATCCATCCACCTATCCATCCATCCATCCATCCATCCATCCACCCACCCGCCCATTCATCCACCCACCCATTCATCCATCCATCCACCCATCCAACTATTTGACAAGTATTGATTGAGCATCTATGTTGTCAGGTGCTGTGCAAAGTGCTGCTTCTTCACAAACATCAGTGTCCATACTCAAACTATTTCCTTCCTCTGCAGAAACCTTCCTCTCCGGCCCCCCAGGCCCACCTGGCCCCCCAGGTCCCAAGGGAGACCAAGGTGAGAACAGTGTATCAGGGAACCCAGAAGCCAGTATGTGTCCTCTGTTTACCTGCTGGTTGCCAGGAGGGTTTGGATGAAGCTGAATGAGCTGGGGCATTTTTGCATCCTTCTGCCTTATCCCATTAGGAACTCAGCAGCCTGGAGCAAAGGTAGAGGGGGAGGCACAATAGTCAGAAACTCTACAAAGGATAGCCACCCAACATTGGCCTAGTGAGAGGAGAGGCACAAGGAACCCCAAGTTCTATATCTGCTCTAGCATTGGAGCCCCTATCCCCTCCTCCATGGGCCCATTGAAACCACAACACCTGGTTGGTACCTGTCTCATAGCTCTCTGCCTTTTTCCCTCAGGTCCCCCAGGCCCCAGAGGACACCAAGGTACAGTAGAGCCGGCATCAAACAAAACCTGGGGTAGGGGTGGGGATGGCAAAAGCTCACCTCCCAAGAGCTTTGAGCTTGATAGAAAGGCACCTGGTGCAAATAAGCAAGAGTAGAGCAGTGTTTCTCTAGGAATGGTTGAGTGTGTGCATGGGTGTAGTGCAAGTGTGCGTGTGCGTGTGTGTGTGTGTGTGTGTGTGTGTGTGGCATCTCTAGGTACTGCCCAAAGGGCAACGCAGCCCCAGCAATCATGGATCTTGGGGAGGCTCTACAGGGCTGTTAGTGGGTGAGAAAAGTGAGGCTGACTGTCCCTCCCTTGGTGTGTTCCTCAGGCGAGCAAGGCCTCCCAGGTTTCTCAACCTCAGGTAAGGGCTGAACCCCGCCCCATTCTGGCTCTGGCCAGAGCCTCTCCAAACCCTGGCTGACTGCACTGTGTGTGTTGTTGGCTTCCAGGGTCCAGTTCTTTCGGACTCAACCTTCAGGGACCACCAGGCCCACCTGGCCCCCAGGGACCCAAAGGTGACAAAGGTCAGTGAGGGAGCAGTGAGAAGGTGGTGAGGAGTAGGGGTGAGCCTGGTGCCCAGAGCCCAGAGCCTGAAGAGATGGCAGCAAGTACTCATCAGTGTAAAGTCTTGGGAGAGAGAAGAGGCTGGAGGAAGGAAAGGCCAGAGGGTGGAAGGGACAAGGACATGGTGATATAGCCTCTGTACAAGGGAGCTGTGGTATTATTACAAAAAGGAGGCCAAGAGACATGGGACGATTGTTGAGACACACACTAATAAGTGTGGTTTGGCTTAACCAGGGAAGGCTTCCTGGAGGAGGTGAGGCAAACTTCTCATTTTGGATTCCAGGTGATCCAGGTGTTCCAGGGGCTCTTGGCATTCCTAGTGGTCCTTCTGAAGGTAAGAACTGAAAGTGACCAAAGTTCCTCTCCACTTCTTCTGGTGAAGGCTGATCATTCCAGTGAGGATGTTGCTCTATTCGTTCATTCATTTCTCCATGATTCGTTGTTGATTGGCTGTCTTCTCCATGTGCTAGGACCTATGAGCTGCCTTTAAGGAGGTTACGAGTTATTGGGTTGAGGGGAAGGACCCAGGTACATATAATGATACCTAACAATGCAGACACCGCATGATGGAGAACAGACAGACCCAGGGTGCTGGGGAGTTGAGAGAAGGGGGATGCGATGTTGGGGGTCCTTCAGCAGGTTGCAGAAGGAAAGGGCGGTTTGGCCTGGGGCAGCTTCCTAGCTCTGTGCCACTTTCAGACAGTGGCTGTTACAGGCTGTCCTTTCTTCTCTTCTCGGGGACCCTTCTCCTTGCCACTATCCTATTTCTCCTCCTGAGAAGACCCTCCCTCCTCAGACCATGGAAGCTATTCCTGGGCCCGTTTGTCTGACCCTAGGGTGGAGAAACCGACACAGGACGCTTTCTCTTTGCTGCAGGGGGATCATCAAGTACCATGTACGTGTCAGGCCCGCCAGGGCCCCCTGGGCCCCCTGGGCCTCCGGGCTCTATCAGCAGCTCTGGCCAGGAGATTCAGCAGTACATCTCTGAGTACATGCAGAGTGAGTAGCTGGCCGCCGCAAGCCGTGGGGACAAGAACATGGAGATACAGTCTCTTTGCAAGGGAGCTGTGGTATCATCACAGAAATGAGGCTAAGAGACATGGGACGATGTAGGGCAGTGGGAGTGTGTGTGTGTGTGTGTGTGTGTGTGTGTGTGTGTGTGTGTGTGTGTGTATGTGTGTCTATGTGTCCAGGCCCAGGTCTTCCCCCTGCAGAGCCAGGCCTACAGGCCTATGAGCTCCCCAACACCAGCCTTCTCATAGCTGCCCCCGACACAGCCTCACCTCGCCCACACCCTGGGGAGGAGGCTGGCGCACGTGCTCATCCCCTACACGCACATGCTTTCACACCACACCTTGCATGTGCTCATTTGTCAAATGGGTGGCTGGCTGGAGTCTTGCTGGCCCACAGCCCTCATGGGCCACTTGACCCAGCTCAGGCCTCTGCCTCAGTTTCTCCATCTGTAATTTAGGGGAAGGACAGTGAGGGGAAGTCTAGGCTCCCTCCTGGCCCAGCCTTGGGCCCATGTGTGGGGCGGGGCAGGCATGTTATCATGTGCTTCAGGTCACCTCCGTGGGGAGAACATGTCCTCTTGGGACAGGCTTGACTTTGCTTTGTTCCTTGGTCGGCAGGTGACAGTATTAGATCTTACCTATCCGGAGTTCAGGGTCCCCCAGGCCCACCTGGTCCCCCAGGACCTGTCACCACCATCACAGGCGAGACTTTCGACTACTCAGAGCTGGCAAGCCACGTTGTGAGCTACTTACGGAGTAAGCCCTTCCCCACGCCCTGCACCTGGCACCTTCCTCCTGTGGGTCTGCTTTTGCTCCCAGAGCCTCATCTCCTCGTTTGCTGTTTGCTTTGCCCTTCTCTGGAACATGAGTTTTAATTCCGAATTCATAATAATCGGGCCACTGGGATACAGTGTCAACAAGGGTCTGTCCAGATTCAGGGCGGCCACGCTGGAGAGACACCGAGTGAGCCTTCCGGCAATTGACTAATGTGTTCCTAATTATAGGTTCTTCCCACCTGTGCATGAAGGTTGGCAGCATCTGGCAGGCATTAGGCTAAAGCATGTTCTCAAAAATAAACTTCCTTTCTTACAAAAAAAAAAAAAATCCCAACAACAGTATTTGACTTTGTTATGCTTTCAAAATAGCCTCGTAATACTCCATTCATCCACTTCCCCCAAAGACAAACAGCTCGGTGACCGGGCCTTTCAGATTCTGGAATAGTGAGGGTGTTGCTTCAGTACCTGCTAAGCAGGTAACCTGAGGTTTTCTTCCCGACAGCTTCGGGGTACGGTGTCAGCTTGTTCTCGTCCTCCATCTCTTCTGAAGACATTCTGGCTGTGCTGCAGCGTGAGTCACCTGTGGGGGGATCGAGGGTGGGACTATCTTTGCTTTCTCCTGGCCTCACTCGTCATGCAAACCTTGTCCTCGTCTGAGCCTTGGAAGGGCTGCAAGAGGGAGGCAGAGTCCTTTGGACAAAGAGCCACTTACTGCTCTGATCTGCTTGCTGAGTCAGCAAACCGGCTGGAAAGGGGGCAGGAAATGTCCTCCCAAGCCCCCATGCCAGACAAGCTGGCAGGTGTCCCTTTGGGAACCTGGCAGCTTGCTGGTGTCCCCCCTGAACACCGTGGTCCTGCGGACCCAGAACTCACAAATGTCACGCAGGAGCCAGTTTGTGCAGGGGAGCCCAGGCTGTGGCTGGATCATGGCTGCGACCCCCATGGCCTGGGTGGGTCCTGCTAGTGCATCCTCTCCTCTCCAGGGGATGACGTGCGTCAGTACCTACGTCAGTACTTGATGGGCCCTCGGGGTCCGCCAGGGCCACCAGGAGCCAGTGGAGATGGGTCCCTCCTGTCTTTGGACTATGCAGAGCTGAGTAGTCGCATTCTCAGCTACATGTCGAGTAAGTGTCTGCAGGAGGGGTGGTTGGGAAGGGCCTGGGATGACTGGGATGAGGACTCGCAGCGTGAACTTCCCTGTGATTGCCCCACTGACCCCCACCTGCCAGACTGCACCAACCCCAGCAATGAGCAGTGCTCAGAGCCGTTCAAACCTGTGAGCCTGGAGCAGGTCAAGAAGCATGGCAAGGAAAGCCAAAACGGGGGTCTCAGGCACTGTCTCGTGTGGAGTCTACATACAACTCTCTCTCTCTCACACACACTCCCATACACACACACCCATACTCACACTCCCATACACACACACACTCACTTCCATACACACACACCCATACTCACACTCCCATACACCCATACACACACATATACACACACTCCCATACACACACACTCCCATACACACACACTCCCATACACACTCCCATACACATACTCCCATACACACACTCCTATACACACACTTCCATACTCAGACACACCCATACACACTCACATATGCATACACACACGCATTCCCATAAACACACTCCCATACTCCTGTACTCACACTCCCATACACTCCCATACACACACACTCATACACACTCCCATACACACGCTCCCATACACTCCAGTACTCACGCACACTCCCATACACTCCCATACGCACACTCCGATACACTCCCATACACACACACACTCACTCCCATACACACATACTCATACACACACACACACAGAATGAAGCACACAGGCACACTGGACCTGCTTCTCCGGCCCCGTGGGCCCCTCCGTTCCTCCTTTGGGCTCCTCCTCTCTGCCTCTCTTCCTGCCACCATCTCTTTTCTTTCTTGGACCCCACTTCTGTCCAAACCTCTTCTGTATCCGACCTCCTCTCTGACAGGTGTTTCCATCTGCCTCCCCCTGCCTGATCTGAATCCATCACCTCCCTAGGTTCTGGGATCAGCATTGGGCTTCCTGGTCCCCCGGGGCCCCCTGGCTTGCCGGGAACCTCCTATGAGGAGCTCCTCTCCTTGCTGCGAGGTAAGGCCCAGCAGGGGACATCTGTCCAACTGGTTGGGGAGGAAGCAGAGTCCCTTGGCCCAGGCCAGGACTGACTCCGTGCCCTCCCTTGGTGTCTCAGGGTCTGAATTCAGAGGCATCGTTGGACCCCCAGGTCCCCCGGGTCCACCAGGGATCCCAGGCAATGTGTGGTCCAGCATCAGCGTGGAGGACCTCTCGTCTTACTTACATAGTAGGGCACTGTGGAGTGGGATGGGGAGGGCAGGGGATGCAGCCGGGCCTTGGGGGCTCCCATGGGCTTTAGCAAGGGCAGTCTAAGTGCTCCTGGAGCCTGTACAGTGCTGGGTGCAGGGCCCTGGAGAGCGCCACATGTGCTGGCAAGGGGCCTTCAGCCGTGGCAGGGACAGAGGTGGGGAGAGATGGCTTTCCCAGGCGCAGCCCGGTGTGTGATTAGGGCCGACCTGGGGCTCCACCTCTCAGTGACTGGAGGGCTGAGTTGAATGAGGCTCAGAATTGGGAGTGGGAGAGCCTGACGGGAACAGCCATTCCTGGATGATGTCAGGAAACAGCAGGCTCTGGCCTCCTGCTTTTCTCTCCTCCCATCACCCGGGAGGCCCAGCCTCATCCCCTCCTTTCAGGTGGGGCCCACAGCGCCCCGAGCACAGGCTGGGAATTCAGCTTCCTCCGCAGCACTACCCCGACCTTTCTTTCTCTTCCTTCTGCCCAGCTGCCGGCTTGTCATTCATCCCAGGCCCTCCAGGACCTCCTGGTCCCCCAGGGCCTCGAGGGCCCCCGGGTGTCTCAGGAGCCCTGGCAACCTATGCAGCTGAAAACAGCGACAGCTTCCGGAGCGAGCTGATCAGCTACCTCACAAGTAGGTGCCCCGACGGTGATGCCCCACCAGGCACCCCGCAGGCCTTGCTTTTCCCTGTAAGTGGGGCAGGGAGGCACTTAAAGGGACAGGAAGGCCACACGAGAGCCACTGGTGGGGTAAGCCCGGTTTCCTTCCACACCAAAATTCTCCCACTCGGGTACAAGAACCCTGAAGTTCACTTCTGGTCTCTCAGGGGCATTGACACCCTGGGAGAGACTCCCTAACTCCCAAGTCTTTCTCTCCACCGAGATCTGAGCTCCCACTCATGCAGCTTCTCACCCTGCAGGTCCTGATGTGCGCAGCTTCATTGTTGGCCCCCCAGGCCCTCCTGGGCCGCAGGGACCCCCTGGGGACAGCCGCCTCCTGTCCACGGATGCCTCCCACAGTCGGGGTAGCAGCTCCTCCTCACACAGCTCATCTGTCAGGCGGGGCAGCTCCTACAGCTCTTCCATGAGCACAGGAGGAGGTGGTGCAGGCTCCCTGGGTGCAGGCGGTGCCTTTGGTGAAGCTGCAGGAGACAGGGGTCCCTATGGCACTGACATCGGCCCAGGCGGAGGCTATGGGGCAGCAGCAGAAGGCGGCATGTATGCTGGCAATGGCGGACTATTGGGAGCTGACTTTGCTGGAGATCTGGATTACAATGAGCTGGCTGTGAGGGTGTCAGAGAGCATGCAGCGTAAGTGGGGACATTTAGGCCTTGGTGCTGGGGGGAAGGAGCGTGGGAGCATCTCCAGACTGGCTTTCTTGTTTGTGGAACCCCCAGGCTGTGAAGACAGAATCAAGCAGGCAGGGGCTGGAGGGGACAGGCAGCCCCAGCCTAGCTCTCAGCCTACTCAGCTTAAGGAGCCCCAGTCCTGGGACCCGAGCTGTGGGGAACAGAGCACGCTGGGGGCTTTGTACTTTGTTTTCCCAACACCTAGCTCGTTCTGGGTCCCAGATGAGTCATATGACCATGCTGGATTTTCTGCTGGGGCCGAGAGAAGGATGTTGGCTAAGAGTCCTTTCCCCGCGCAGCTTAACGGCACAGTTACGCAGTCAACAAGCTTTTGATGCCGGCCCACAGCAGGAAGAGACCTGTGCCAGTCACACAGTGGAATACAAAGGAAGTTGGAGGGCTTCACCCTTGCTGCGGCTTGATCTAGTTCAACTGCTTTGGGAGTTTGACACTCGGAGGGCACTGTGCTCCTGCTGAAGAGGGTACTGGGAGATCCCTGCTTCCTGTGCCCAAGCTCTGGTGTTTTACAGGTCAGGGCCTACTGCAAGGGATGGCCTACACTGTCCAGGGCCCACCAGGCCAGCCTGGGCCACAGGGGCCACCCGGCATCAGCAAGGTCTTCTCTGCCTACAGCAACGTGACTGCGGACCTCATGGACTTCTTCCAAAGTAAGGGCATCCAACTGCTTTCCCAGCACCTGCCTCACTGCATAGGTTCCCACGGGTCTGCTCCAGAGACACCAGTCTCATGAGAAATCTCCAGTTATTAACATTTGAGATGCTCAAAATTAGACAAATTCTATAAATTCTGAACTTTGTTTCCTCTTACACGTCCAAACTCCATCACTATCTCTCTGTGTTACTCTGAACAAATGACTTGATGTCCCAAGCTTCCAGGTGATCAAGACTCTAAGGCCAGTGTTTCCTTGCTTTTGCAGCTTATGGAGCCATTCAAGGACCCCCTGGGCAAAAAGGAGAGATGGGCACTCCAGGACCCAAAGGTAAGTGGTGGCAGAGAGCCAGTCCCTGGATCCTGTGTTAACACCCACCTCGTACTGAAAAGCAGCTCCTGTGCTGGTGCCACACCGGCTACCTGTGCCCTCAGTCCCCAGACTCATGTATTACTTAGTTACGCCCCATTTTTCCTTCCAGGTGACAGGGGCCCTGCTGGGCCACCAGGTCATCCTGGGCCACCTGGCCCTCGAGGACACAAGGGAGAAAAAGGAGACAAAGGTAAGTGTTGACTGCTCCACGTTTTGCATGTTCTGGAGGGCTGCAAGGCTGACGCTCATTAGAGAAGCAGGTGATTTGTTCCAGAGCAAGCCTGAGAAATTCAGGCAAATGCCAATTACTCCAGGCAGACACTGCCAAAAGCAGAATTTGCATAACAATCCCATTCACAGTGAGGAAGAAAAGGAGAGTGTCAAAGCAGGGAGGAAAAGGAGAACCAAGCTGGTGTTGAAATGGGGCAAACAAGTTAAATAAATGTAGTCTTACAAAAGATTTCACCTTTGAAGCCATCTTTGCAGTAGTCACGGTTGCCATAATTGCCCAAGCCAAGATCCCCACAGGCCACAAGATATGTTTTAACTTCCTACTGATCTTCTAACTTTCAGGTGACCAAGTCTATGCTGGGCGGAGAAGGAGAAGAAGTATTGCTGTCAAGCCGTGAGCTAGCCATGGCAGGACAGCTCCTGGACCAGGTCTCATAATGCATGTGGCACTTAGGTCCAAGGTCTCCAGAGGGTGAAAGCTGGAGTCTGTCAATGTCCTACTGAGACAGCACAGCCAACCTAGCTAGCAACATTTGTTTTAGTCTGAACAATATATACTTATAGAATTCAGTCAAAGATACACAATCTGAAACAGCTTCATGGGGTGGACTCTAACAGTAGTTGCAATGTTTTAGAATGAGACTTACTTCTCTGCTATCTAGATCTGAACTCCTTGGCTTCTTTACTTAGTTCAAGCCCCAGCCTAGGAAAGCCAGTTACATAAAAGTTGGCTCAGGAGTCTTAGAGCTTTACCTAAATATGAGCCCAGAAAACGGAGGATGGGGGTGGGGCGCCTTCCTGGAGGTGACACTTGATGGGGGTGTGTTCTGGTTACTGTTCTAAGGCTGTGCCATCAGCTCCTTCCTCCCCTGTTCATTCTGCATTCTCTAGTCAGTTGGCTAAGAAGTGACTCTTGCAACTAAAAAAATTAAGAAATTCACTTCCCCTCTAGGAGGTGATGATAGGGTTTCTAATGGTTATATGTATATCACATTCCCATTTGCTTAGAAAGTCTGATTGTAGCTATGATTGTCCGTAGGCCCATACTAGAGTTCATGGATATGTTATACTGAACCAGGCCAGAGCAAACAGAAAAAGAAGGTTGAGGGCAATGGACAAGGAAGGAATAAAGGGAGAAGAGGGAAAACAGAAAACCTGATGCTGGGGACACAGCATCAGCTCAAGACGTCACCCTCCATTCTGCACTCAGAAAATGGCACTTGGGGGACTGGGCGCAGTTGGTCTTTAACCACTTTTCAATGTCTAAAAACATTTGTTTGTGGTCTATAAGATGAAACATCATTTCAATCGTAAAATTTCCCATTAAAGAAGTTTTTTTTTCTAATATCATGTTTAATGTGATTCGTCTGACCAAAGAAAGATTAAAAAATAGTCTGGGTTAATTGGGTCTGATTCTAACACTGTTTATTACAAACACAAGAAAACAAAAGTGGTTGTATTTTGGGGCATAGCTTCTGGTATTTCATTCAATCCCTGAGGTCTTCAAAGGCAAATCTTTAGATACCTGCAACTATGAACTCAATCTGGGGATTTTACAAAGCACATGAAAGTTTTCCCCAAGCATAAGTTATTTGAAATAAACATGCAACAAATGAGCAAGAAGATTACTTGCAATTAGGTAGTGCTTTATCCTGGGGCAATGGAATTATGATTGTAGGGCAAGTAATATATGGAATATAGAAACTTCTATTAAAGAAAAATGTACAAATCTCAAATGCCCCAAAGAAATGCACAGTAAAATCAGACACTCCAATTGAGAAGAGACTCTACTTAGCCACTTTGTGAATTTGTTACAAGTTGTGACTCTCAAATTGCTGGATAATTAAAAATGGGATTAAATTGCATCTATTTCTACACCACTACTCTTCTAAAAAGACTTTATTTTCCATAAGGTCTCTGCTGAGTATCTCATATTATCCCAGAAAAAACACTCCACTTGTTTCCTCTATATCAAACAACCGCTAACGGCAACAACCAGTCAAGCACTACACACTCTACGTGGTCTTTTTGCCTCTTTTATTATATCCTGATAATTGCCTGCTATGAATTAATGAGAATTTTTTAAAAATAAGGCTGGGCGCGGTGGCTCATGCCTGTAATCCCAGAATTTCGGGAGGCCGAGGCGGGCAGATTGCTTAAGCCCAGGAGTTCGAGACCAGCCTGAGCAACATGGCAAAACCCCATCTCTACTAAAAATACAAAAAAATTAGCCGGCATGGTGGCGGGCACCTGTGATCCCAGCTACTCGGGAGGCTGAGGCTGAAGAATCACTTGAACCCAGGAGGTGAAGGTTGCAGTGAGCTGAGAACGTGCCACTGCACTCCAGCCGGCAAGACTCCATCTCAAAAAATAAAACAAAAATAAAATAAAAATTAGTTCATACAGCCTCCAGATTTCAAACAACTTGAGTTTTACTAAGCAAAACTATTGTGTATAATAAAGGAATTGTGCTTTTTAAATAATTTTTTTTCAAAAGAATTCATTAGTTTTACCCAAAGGCTGAATTTTTTACTTTTTAATTGTAGCTTTTACACTTATTAAAAGTAACTTCCAAAAAAAGGGGGGAAAAAGATGTTTTGACCCTTTAAAAAAAAGTAGCTTTAGGGGTTCAAGTATTATATCCCCTTTAATAGTGATCCTTATCTTGATTAATCAAGACATAGGAGTTTTTTCCTTGTTACTAGATCTACCTAAGATACCCAAAGTCTTCATCAAGTTTTAGCTCAAGTAAAATAGGGTACAAGTCCAAACTTACTACCTTCTCTGGACAAAACTCAGAAAGAGGATGGGCAGATATGAGGTTATGTCCTCAGCTGGATGGCAATGGATGTTAGCCTCTTTTGTTTCATTTTTTTTTTTTAAGTCAAGAATGAGCTCAATAGTGCACAACGCTCCCAGATTAGAAAATGACACTCCATGCCTCCCTCCAGCTGGACACGTGCCGAGTGATGCTGCCTAGCGTCTACTGAATCTTGCATGAACGTTATCAATGACGAAGAGACTATTTTTGCAGAAGTGAGGTCATATGATTTGTGAAATGCTTGGTGAGAAAAATCATCCATCCCAAGAGGAAAAGAAATTAAAAACATACACATATATACATAGGCTGATAGAAATATTTTAAGCACCTCCCAAAGGAGGGGTTTGCATTCTGAAAGACAACCCCCAGCAAGTTATCACTAAAAACTACATTTGAGTGTGTGTGTGTTTGCGTGTATGCTGTGGACTACACACAGCTAGGAATACTAACTCTGGAAGGGTCAGAAGACCTGCGGGGACTGCAAGTTTTACAATATAACTAGGACCAACAACTGCAAAGTGTTCTCAGGCAGGACACTCCAGTTTCAAAGATTCTCAATAAAAGACTGCTTCCCAAAATTGATTAAGAAATAACTTTATTTTTCATGTGTCAATCCCATGATTGAAAAGACATGTTGCTCTCAAGTAGATAAGAGGCATAATCTTAAACAAAATTCTTTCTGAAAATTTAGCTTATGAACTCATTACACTGCAAACCAGAGAAGGAGCACAAAAAGCTGCAGCCCACATTGAAACCTGGCAAACACTCTCCGCCAAAATTAGTAGCAGGAATGTTAAAGCTTTATCAAAAACATGTCAGCAACGGAATAGCAACAATACAGCCATTAACTGTTGTGCCTTCAACTTAAGAAAAGCATTTAAAGAATCACCCCATTTCTTATAAAAATCATTTCTCAGAAAAGAATTGTTAATCAAAAGACTATTAGAACTGGAACTCTCTTCTTTCACTTCAGTTCTAGATTTTCTTTAATCAACAATATCTCTAGTTAATACTTGGACAGAATTTGGCTTCTCAGAAGAGTCTTTGTCATTTAAGCACAGTGTGGAATGGGAAAAAGTGTATAGTTACAAGGAAACTAGAAGAGTACAAAAAAATAGTCACTTCTGAAACTCGCTGATGCTCAAGAAATCAGAGACCCTTCATTAAGGTGGGTCTCATATGCCTGAGAGCTTTGTGCTTGAGGAAGTATGACTTAGAGGTAGCTCTGGTTCTGGTAATTTATATTTAATTATAATTTGCTGTATCCTGTCACAAGAGAGTTCTAATATTTTCAGCAAAGTAAAAGCATTCAACATTTTTTCCTTACCCACCCTATAGCTTCCCCATAGAAAAAGATAAGAAAAAGCTTAATGTGACTCCACATAGAATAGCAGCTAATTCAGCAATTCGCACTGTATGGTTGTTGACAGGACTAGGAAAGGCAGCCTAGTGCCCCAAGCTGTAGGAGCTGGATCTGCAGAAGTGTGCAGGTCTGCTGTGTTCACAGCACTCAGGGAAAGAGGGGAGGAGGTGGCTGATGAGGGTGCACGTTCGGAGAAGTCTGTATGTGTTTCATGGCATATTCTGCCACAGCAACAAAACAACCAAATCAGCAGTAGATTTGACTGTACCCTTCGATTTCAAAGAAGTCTGCGCCCCTCGCCCACTCGCCACCTACACTTCATGCAGGAAAGATAGATCACTATCATCTATTTGAATACAGGGCCTCAGAAGAGGTGGGCTGGTATGGGTACAAACAGCGTATTTTATAACAAAACACTTTTTGAAAAGATTTATATAACTTTAAGTATTAAAATGAATGCTTTACCTCTACATATGTATCACTGTACAGTCTTGCACCCACACGATTATGGTCATATTTGAAAGCGAACTCAAGCACAAACACTGAATCCAAAAGGCAGTTTTAAGGGAGATCCAACCTTACCCACAGCGCCAACCATTCCACTCTGAGCCTCTCTCCTTGAGTCAATAATCTGAATGTCAAGTTGAAAGGAACAGAAAGAATCAAATATTCAGACCAAATTAATCAGGCACCACACACTATTTAGCGCACAGGGTATCAATTAAATGATACTAGAAAAAAAATGTCTACTGCCTGAGGTATTCATTTTTTAAAAGTCAATAAACTGAAAATTTCAAAGGAGAAAGTGGTATGAAGACGTTCCTTCCCAATCCCTCTTCAAATAAATCATTAAATACACTGGGCAACATTATACTGTCATTTTTATCATAACAATATAAACAATTTTTATCATCATCCTGAATATTACTTTATAAAGATATATATTTTAAAAGGCTTTCAAAACATTTTTCAACCCAGCATTTGAGAATAAAGCATTAAGAGTTTTGTATACAGTAACACATTCATGTGATAAGTGTATGAATTTACAACCATACATAATATGTATATATGTATATATATTTATATAAAAAACAAACTTGGCCAGAAGTTAAGGCTACCTACGAAGTTGTCCAAGTAAATTATGCTTGTCAAAACAATTATAAAATTCAAATCACACATGCATTTTTAAATCATCTAAATCACTGACAAACAAGGTTCAGCATCCAAAGTTTTCAAATTAACTGCAAGAAAGTGCTACAGACATTTACATTTTCTAAATATGAATCAGTGTTCCCACAAAGTTACATTTAAATTTTTCACCAGCCTCAAAAGTAATATAACTGAAAACAAACTTTCACAATTTGGTACCTAGCACTCTTAAGAGAGAATAGGTTGAAAATGGCAGGCAGCAAGCATCATTCACAAATGTGCTGTCTCAGACAGCAAAGTACAGTTTATAATACTGTCTGACCTGACACGTGGTTGAAATTCTAAGCCTCATAAGGGACTAGGAGTGAACATTTCATTAATAATTACACACACCAGCAACCACATGATAAAGGCTTCAGGCTTTTCCCACTCAAATCAAAGTGAATGATTTAAACATGGAACAAAATAAAACCAAGACATAAGTAGCCTCATTTCAAAATAAGGAAAAGTAATTCCTGACGTGCCTAAATATTTAATTTAAACTTTTAAAAAAGTATTCTGAACTAATGCCTCTTTTAAGATTAATTTCTGAAGATATATTTATAAATATAACTCACAGCCTGCAGGCCTCTGACAGAGTTTTAAACAGAATTAGCTAAGATGGAGAGAAATCATTTAACCAGCTCAGGTATTATTTTAGAAAATAAACACAGATAGCTAAACCTATATTGCTTAAATTTCATGAGTTTTACATTTCCAGTTTGCAATCTAAAAGCTACCTCTTTTTTTCATCTTTCCAAACTTTGTACATGTATTTTAGGATGAAAATTTCTATCAAACGGTAAGAGAAGCAAAAATTCCAAAACAACCATGTTTTTAATTCTAAAGATGTTTTTGTCCCTGTTGATCAAAAAGAAAATCCTACTTACGACTTGACTGAAATTTAGTGTTTTAGGCACTATCTTAAGAAAATTAGCACCCTCAATTATTAGCTCATGCCAAAAGAGGTAATTCGTTTTGACAAATCACTGAAATAATTTTTCTCTTTTAAAAGAGGTTGTTCCTATTTAAAGAAAAAAATATATTCATTTACTGAGTCAACAGCATATTTGAGCAAATCATAGCTTTTTTATGAGAGCTGATCCACCAAAAGAAAATTATCCCAACTCTCTGCAGCAGAGCTTCAACTACAGAATTTAGGCATTGAGAAGTTACGTCAGGTAAGAAGAATTTATTAATACTTAGTGATGTAACAGTTTTTCTTAAATAACTTTAAACATTATTTCTCCAACAGTTTTCAGGTAGCAGTGTCTAAAGAACATAATTTTTAAGATGAATATACAAAGTCACCTTAGTCACCAAGATGCTACTTTGCCAACATGGCCTAGCGTCTGTCTTAGTTCGTTTTCCCTTCATCTTTGCTTAAAAACAAAACAAAACAAAAAAAACAAAAAAGGAAAACACCTAGAAGGTGAGGCAGGTGATTGTCTTCATGAGCTATCTGAGAGACTGTGGCAGAAGATGAGAACAGAATGACATACTGAAAGAGCCAAACCCACGCACAGAATGCTTCCCTTTGTTATGATCCGGTGGAATGCAAGCTGGGAATAGGATAAAATTTGGAAATCCGGCTCTGTGTTGATGGGTTAAGGCATTCAGACTCCCCAGTCATTTTAAAGAATACTTCCTGTTCCTGTAGTTTCCTGGCAAACTCTTCTTCCAGTGTCTTAAAAAGAAAGGGAAAAAGAAATTGCTATGTGCTGGTATTATATATAGAATTTATGCTGACAGCCAAGATAAAACTACTTGTCCAAAACACTTTCTTTGTATATAATCCTCAAGAAGACACGCCTGCTCAATTTTTTAAGATCATAAGCTTTGTACAGCCCTATGTGCAAGTCCAGCTCAGCCACATAAATGGACAATTTGGGTCCATTACTTAACTTCCCTATATTAGAGAACCATTTAATTCCTCAATTCCTCTGCTGTAAAAATAGGGATAATTTGCTATGTGAAGTATAAATGTGATAATGATGTACTTACACATACTATGCACTCTAATATATGGTACCTATTATTAACTATTATGTGTTTCTCCCACATGGCACTTACCCCTGCCTACTTGTTATTTTAGTTACGATGCGCCTGTATTTTCTTTCACACTAGACTATAATATAAGCTGTTTAAAGGTACAACTTAAATCAGAATCATTTTTATCCCCATAATACAGAGCAAAAATAAGTGCTTGAGAAATGTAAGAGGCACCATTGTGATGTGAATGTCTGTGCCCCCCAAATCCATATAAAAACCTAATCCCTAATGTGCGGATACTATGCATAGAAGGTGGGACCTCTGAGAAGGGATGAGGTCATGAGGTAGAGCCCTCCAAATGGGATGAGTGCCTTCATGAGGGGCTAAAGAGAGTTGTTATTCCGCCCTGTGAGGACACGGTGAGAAGTCGGCAGTCTGTAACCCAAATGAGGGCCCTCATCAAAGCGTGACCGTGTTGGCACCCTGGTCTCAGACTCCCCAGCCTCCAGTTTATGGCATTTTGTTACAGGTATCAATGACTTTGTGGAGAAGTGATTCAGGGATAAGTGGTGCTGTAGAGGTACAAAGCACAGGAAAAGAAGGAAGGATATAGGAGGGGTTCTCAAAAGAGGTGAAACATGAGCTTAGTGCTGAAGGAAAGATAAGAATTTGATAGGGAGCATAGGGAAGGCATGCCAGAAACAGAGCCGAAACACAGCACAAAGGCAGGAAGCCGAGGAGCTGGTATGAGGAGTGGCCATTATACCCAAGGCTGGAACCTGGACTGGGAACAAAGTGGCTAGTGGGAGAGGAAGCTAGAAAGGGTGACTGTGACTCAGGTGTGGCACTATGAAGGCTTCACAGTCAAACTGAGGCATTAATTTACATTTTACTCTGATGGAACTGAAGATTTCTCAACATCAGTATGACAGTGTCAAGAGATGTCCTTGAGGATAAATCCTCCGGTGATGGCAGGCGAGTGGGAAGAAAGGAAAGGGAACTAGAAATTAGAAGGCCCATTAGGAAATTCCTGAATAATTTAAACAAGCACCAGGATAGCAGTGAGAAAGAAAGGAGACACATTATGAAAAAGAGTCCAAATTAATTGGCGCCTGATTGAATGTAGGGTGTGACAGAAATGAAAAATAATTCTGGTTTCTAGCGTAGATGTCAGTTAAGAGAACAGGAATGCAGAAAAGAACATCTGATGGTGAGTGGCCTGCAGTGAGCGCGGAAACGTGAGATGGAGATGAAGGAACATCTGGCAGTGAGTGGGCCTGCAGTGAGTGGGGAAAGGTGAGATGGAGATGAAGGAAAAGGATGCTGAGTTTGGTTTTCTCTCTACTGAGTTTATACTCTTTAGTCAACACTGAACAGGTATGTAGTCATCTGTACAATGTGCCAGGAACTGTTCTAGAAACTGGGTACATATCAATAAATGAAGCGATCATGGCATGCTTTTAAGGAGTTTATATTCTCACTCGCAAGAGGGGACAATAAACAAATGTGTCTGGTGGTGATGAATTGTTACAAAGAAAAACAAAGAAAGGAGAGCAGATACAGAATGTTTGGGGTTCAGTATAGGTGCTACTGAGATACAGTGACCAAAAAAGGTCACAAGGCCTAGGTGAAATGAGGAGGAGCATAACACCCAGATGGAAAATGGGCGCTTACTGCCCAAACTGATAATAAAAACAAGAAACAATAATAGCAACAGCAACCATTCACTGAACCATTACTATAGCTCAGGTACTAGATAACTGCTATATAAACAACACCAAATAGGTAGTATCACTCTCATTTTACAAATTAGGAAAACTAGGCCTAGAAATGGTAAGTGAGAAAATTAATCAGTAAGTGTCAGTACTGAGATCTGAACACACACCTGTATGACTTTACAATTCATGCTCTATACAACTGCTACCATTTAAGTTTTGGAGTTGTCTATCTGCAACAGTTGAAGCCATGACTAGCAATAAAATCATCAAGGTAAAGACTGTTCTTTACTACAGGGGCAAAACTGAGAAATGTCTACATTTCAGGAGACAAAAGGGGATAAAGAACACAGAGAATGAGCAGAGCTGTGTCACAAAAGCCAGGTGAGAGGAGAATTTTAAGAAACAAGACTTTTAAGGAGAACAGTTAGATAAGGCCATAGGATTTGACTATTAGCAACTCACTTGTGACCACTGTCAACTAGTTCAACTAGGGTGTTTGAAGCAGATGCTAGGCTGCAAGTAGGTAAAGGAGATTTTACACCGTTTACAATTCTGTACCTTTTGAATTCTAAACTACATGAATGCATTACCTATTCAAAAAGTTTAACAATAAAGAAAATTTAAATTAAAAAGCCACACTATGGGCCGGGCATGGTGGCTCACGCCTATAATCCCAGCACTTCGAGAGGCCCAAGTGGGTGGATCACCTAAGGTTTGGAGTTTGAGACCAGCCTGGCCAACATGGCGAAGCCCCGTCTCTACTGAAAATACAAAAATTAGCCAGGTGTGGTGGTGGATGCCTGTAATCCCAGCTACCTGGGGGGCTGAGGCAGAGGAATTGCTTGAACCCAGGAGGCGGAGGTTGCAGTGAGCCGAGATCGCACCATTGCACTCCAGCCTGGGCGACAGAGTGAGACTCTGTCTAAACAAACAAACAAAAAGCCACACTATGAACTCATTTAGTCATTTCACTTCCTTTGGCACATAGCTAAATACATATTTCCTTGACTGATTGTATGGATGGAAGAAAGGAATGGTGGAAATGTACAGTAGGCAGGAAGCTCCCCCCAAAACAAAGGTTTAAGTTTGAGTAACGAAGGGTCAGAGATCATATAGTGATAGCAAAAACTCAGGTGAAATGGTTAGCCAGTAAGACCAGGTGAATAGGGTGTCAAGCACAAACAAGGGAAAGGGGTGAGACAGAGAAGACACCATCCCTATTTTACCAGATTTCAAGTTTACGTAGAATAACAGGGCCTTTTAATATGGCTCCAGTTGACCTGTTCAGACTCAGCTGTCATCGCTTCCTTCCTTCCTTCCTTTTCTTCCTCCCTAATGACTACACACTGGCACACACCCCCTCTCATACTCCAATGTCAGAGAACGATCTACAATTCTCTGTACGCTTCCTTTTCACTCATTCTCTTCTCCCTACTCAAATCATCCCATTCCACTCCAATCAGCCCATCCGCTTAGCAAGTTCTTACTCACCCTTCAAGACTCACTTGGCTTGCAAGGCATCTCCTCTTGAAGACCCTCCCTGACTTACCCAGGCAGATTTAAGCTCTCCTCCTCCTCTGCTTACAAAATCTGTTCCTTTCCCTTGTATCCTGTACTCACCTCCTTCAGAGCAATGACCCTACCAATTCCTAACTGCTTGTCACTAGATTCCAAAACTTCTGGGGACAAAAACTTTGTCTTTTCATCTCTATGTTTCCTGCCCCTGACACTGTACCTGACACAGTAGGTAAAGAGCCAATAGCTGGGTAGACGGACGAGTACACACATATCATTTTAATTAAAGCTTTTAAAATTACCTTTTTCCTAGGTCTCAATTTCTCTCTCCACTCCTTTAATTCTTGGCTATGTTCCTCATCTAACTCCTTCAGTTTCTGAGTCTCATGCTCAACCAACAAGTGGCATTTTTCATTCTGAAAATAAAGTTGGGATTTAAAAAAATTTCAGATCAACTAAGCAATTTTTCACAAATACAATTATCTTCCATAATAATAAATTACTCATCAAATATCATGCTATTACTGAGATTCAAGTTTTCCTCTATAAAAACCAAGGGCCATGAATTAGGAAATGAATCATAGCTTCATTTTTACAAGTTTAGAAGCTAGAACTATTACATACCATATAAAAAGAACTTAAAAAGAACTAGCTTGAGCTTTTGTTTTTCCTTTCTAAGAAGATTTGCTCATAAAACTGACACTTCAGAAGGCAGCCTGCATACATTTTACCCGTGAGTACAGAATGTGGGATCTGGTACTAAAGGGTTGGCCTAATAGATCTATTCCTGTAAAAGATCTATTGGCCCATTAGGCCAATCTATTAGGATCTGTTCTACTATAGTAAATTAAGCAAATATATAGATACCCACATTTATACACTACTCTGAAATCTTAAACATTTTAGATGGGCTGTACATTCTATGTAAGGTCCTAAATCAGCCCTCTCTCGAATAACTTTTAAATTTCCTAGGAGAAAAATTCCCATATATTTAACTTATCACTTATTTCAAAAACCTAGAAGAAAATAAACTATTTCCCTCTAAATGGAAAAGAAATTTTAAATTTAGAATCTGACAAAAAATTCAGAATATGACAACAAAACTGTCTACATCATTTTGAAACTCTCCACATCTTCTTGCAAAATATACTAAAAACCATACTCAATACTGCTTTTGAAAGACTCAATTTCGTAGGTTACAATTTAGCTTTATGTTTACATTAATCATGGTTATATATAATCTACACAAGTGCCTATGATACCAAACTGATCTTCATTTGGATCTGTACAAAAAACAGAACCTCTCAAACCCAGCATGTTCGTGTATGATGCAGTTGACTTTGGCTAGCTACTGTTCTCTCAAAAGCAGCCACTTGTGCTGCCGCATCCTATGGGCTTTGCTGTCAGGCTTCTGTATCTGACCTGCAGCTGATGCAGTTCGCGGACATTGGCTTCACACTGCAACTGAAGATCTCGCATTTGATTCTCATGTTTCTGATGCTGAGCCATTCTCTCATTTTTCTGCCTCTTTTCTTCTTGTGCAGCAAACTATAAATAAGAAAAAAAGATAAACTATAGTTCAGAAGCATGTGATTTCTATATATTCTGAAGATATAAAGGAATTTAACAAAACAAGGCACAATAAACTGAAGCTACAAGTAATAATATGCTGAGACTCAAACCTGGAGTCCACATCACAGCTTCAGAGAAGAGCAGGAACTTCTGATTAAAACCTTGATCCTCCTATCTGCTTAGTGATCTGAGTTAATTTGTGTGTGTGACCATGACTACAGAAGTATCACAGTGAGGCCATATATCTTGACTTGAAAAGTTGTCCGAGTCATCTCATTCCCAGGGCTGGTCTTAGGACCAGTCTAGCTCAGGAGCTGGTATGGGGTATAGGAGGAAGGGCTTTGCTCTCTGTGACCACCATCCTGGGGAAGACTAATTGGTATATGCCATGTATCTATAGTCCCAGCCCACAGAATTAAAGTGAACATCAACAAGCCTAAGGTGGCTCTAATTGTTTAGAAAGAAAGGAATTTTGTAGAACTTCTAATGGTCATTCAAAAATTTTAAACCTAAAAGAGAAGAGACTAACTTGCATATTTACCTGTTTAATTTTATCACGGTCCTGATCTGGTGTGGCTGTTGAGTTAATTCTCAAACTCTTCTTAAACATGGCCATTCGAGTCTTGGCTTCACTGCGCTGAATCTTGGGCAGTCTTGCTCTTTCTTGAGTCTGTCTGTTTTTCAATTCCTCAATAAGTCTTTGATTGTAACGCTGCATTTGCTCTGTTTCCTATGAAAGTTTTAAATAGAATCCAGTGACGCAGAAACAATAGTCAGTACCCACATGCATATTCAAATATGTCATTTTGTTATTGTTGTTTCCTATAATTACCCTCTCCCTTGTTGCAGTGACCAGCAAAATACTAGGCACAAAATAACTTGTAAGAAGTTAGGCTAGGTCTGGTGGCTGACACCTGTAATCCCAGCACTTTGGGAGGCTGACATAGGAGGATCACTTGAGCCTAGGAGTTTGAGACCAGCCTGTGAAACATAGTGAGACCCTGTCTCCACACACAAAATTTTTTTTTTTAATTAGCAGGGTGTGGTGGTGCATGAATGTACTTGGGAGGCTGAGGTAGGAGGATCCCTTGAACCCAGGAGTTCGAGGTTAAGTGAGCTATGACTGAGTGCCACTGCACTCCAGCCCAGGTGACAGAGCGAGACTCTGTCTCAAAAGAATAAAAAGAAAAGAAAGTTATTAGTGATGAGAGTTTTATACTGCAACTCTTAATAAGTACAAGGAGTCCATACTTTAAGATACTTGAACCACAAATAGAGCCAAAATAGCTACCTTTGAGAGCCGAGATGAAGATTACAAGGTGTAAAACGTCTTTAAGCATTGTAATTAGTTACTTTCCTTATAATTTGTAGAAAAGAAGTTTGCAATCATGATCAAGATACAATTAATTACTCCAAACTTCATCCAAGAAATTGTAGGATAAAAGACAGAAAGGAAATCTAAAATTCATTATCTAAGAAACTTAAGTTTCAAAACTAAATAGCTTTGCAAACTTTAAAACGAACAAAAAAATGAAGAAATTTTCCTTTCATTAACCTTCTCGTGGCGCTTAAGTAGCTGATGTCTTTGCATGAAATACTGATCTTTAAGCTGCTGTTTGAGCAGCTGGTGTTTTTCTTGTAAGTGTCGTTCTTCGAGCTCCCAAATTGCAGCTTCTCGAGCTAGAAGACAGCAGTTTTCAAAATGTCACTTTGCTCTTTTTTTACTAATGTACTTTGCTCTTCATTTTAATATTTACATAGAAGTATTCTAAATACACTAACTCGTACACACATGTTGACATTCTGAGCTGTCCAAGTGCAACTGTAACCAATGTAAGGCAATATCTATTACCTCTTTCCAGACTGTTCTAATGTCGTATAAACAGAGAATGTCCTACTCCGAACACCAAAATCCTATTTAATCATCTTAATAAGAAAGAAAAAAAAATCTAAGCTAATTTGTTAGGGAAGATAAGTACTTTAAATCCCATTCTAACACACGACCATTAGGTATACTAACAACTATAAGGCATAATGAGTACACAAAATTATTCAGATATATTTCCAGCATCATCAGGGCAAGAAGAAATTTTAAGGGTTATATGTTTACATTCACTTCTACTGTCATAAGGAATTCTACATTTTGCAGTATTTCTTAATTTTAAAAAAATTACCTCTCATGAGCTGTTGCTTGTTATTCAGGCACTCTCTCTCAATATTAGCTAACTCTGCCTTCTGCTGCTGGATGATCTTTTTCAGAGAGCCATCTAATTCTTGCTGTTGTTTCTGAACAAACTCTTGTTCCTATTAAAAACAGTTAATTGTCAGTTAATAAGTATCTAATGAACTAAACATCCATTTATCTATATGGCTGTATATATTAGTGGTTAACAAGATTTCCAAACCAAGTTTGCAAAGTTAGCTGGATTTTAAAATCACTAAAATTATATAGTACAAATGTATTTAGTCACCCAATTCAGTCTAAGAAAAAAGCATTAGAATACATAATATTCTCAACTCACTAAGAAGGATACATACAGAATAAGCATATAGCCCACTCATAATTAAAGTGCCCTATTACACTAGCATCTTTGAGAGAATGGTAAATTTGCAGCTTCTAAAACTGATTACTCATTCCACTATGGTGTGACTAAAACAAGGATAAATAAGAAATGCCCTTTAAGTGTCGGGTGTGGTGGCTCATGCCTGTAATCCCAGCACTCTGGAAGGCCAACACGGGTGGTTCTCTTGAGGTCAGGAGTTCGAGACCAGCCTGGCCAACATGGTGAAACCCCATCTCTACTAAATATACAAAAATTAGCCAGATGTGGTAGCGGGTGCCTGTAATCCCAGCTACTAGGGAGGCTGAGGCAGGAGAATTGCTTGAATCTAGAGGGTGGAGGTGGCAGTGAGCTGAGATCATGCCACTGCATTCCAACCTGGGTGACAGAGTGAGACTCCATCTCAAAATAAAAAAGAAAGGCCCTCTAGGAAAAAAGGCAATTAAGAGCTAATAGGTAAAACAGATATCAGAATTTGGGGAACTAAAGAGGAAGAATTTTAGGAAGAAATATCATGGCTATCCTAACAGAAGAAGATAGTTTCTGTATCTACAGCATGTGCCTAAAAAGAAGAACAATAGTTTGAGAAATTAATGAGAATGCATTGCTAGAGAAATGCAAACTGGAGATAGGAAAGTGAGTTACATACTATAAATCTATCAAGAAAATTTGTATAATCACAGAATTCTATAAACATGTTTCGGATTCACTAATTCATTCAACAAATATTTATTGAGTACATACTATCTACCCGAATGCCAAATTTCTGCTTTAGAAAAACATCCTTCAATTATTGTGCAAAAAAAGGAAATGTTAAAGTGACTTATGGTCTTTCTGCTAGAATCATACATTTACAGAAGAAAAGGAACAGCATCCAAATTAAAGAAATGTAAATTTGGATCTGTCCATCCCTCTCTTGGCAGTTACAGCAGGTGGTGATTGGCTCATGGACTATTCAATCAATTTTTGTGTGGATTTAGAATTTAAAATTGAAGCAGAATTTCACTTGCAATCCCCCCTCTTGCACATCCTCGAGAACATCAAAACCTAAGATGCATTTTGGAACTATTCTTGAGGCCTCAGAGTCTGATGAGGTCTGGATCACTGCCAGGCAGCTCCTCAAATGCACAGAGAGTCTCACTCCACTCCTCAGGATGGTTGGCTTGCTACCATCCTGAATCTCTGGAGGTGACACAGTTCATGTCAGAGAGTGAACTAATTTGGTGTTGTAAATGCTGCTGTTTCATCTGCATCATCATTTGCATTTTAGCATAAATACATATATAGTAGAGAAAGAAAAGACTAATGAATGCCTCTATAAAATGCAATTACCAACTTGGCTACAGTCACCTGTAAAACTTTATCATTAAGAAAATTATCATTGAAAAAATTTTCAATGAATATTTAAATTCAACTATCTAGAATATAAGGGCTTCTGAGTTTTAATTAAGAGATGCAAAATCTCCAAGCCTATCTTTTAAGTAGTTATAACAAAGTTGTTCAAGCTTTTCTTTTTCCTACTATTTGTAACAAAATTAAACTGTTTCTCTAATTTCAATTGTAAAATTTTTCTTTTTTTTTTTTGAAAGAGAGTCTTGCTCTGTCACCCAGGCTGGAATGCAGTGGCACGGTCTCGGCTCACTGCAAGCTCCGCCTCCCGGGTTCATGCCATTCTCCTGCCTCAGCCTCCTGAGTAGCCGGGACTACAGGCGCCCACCACCACGCCCAGCTAATTTTTTGTATTTTCTAGTAGAGACGGGGTTTCACCGTGGTAGCCAGGATGGTCTTGATCTCCTGACCTTGTGATTCGCCCACCTCGGCCTCCCAAAGTGCTGGGATTACAAGCGTGAGCCAACGCGCCCAGCCTCAACTGTAAAATTTCTATATACAAACTTGTTCAATAAACAACATAACCTGCAAAAATATCAAAGGGTTTTCTTTTGTTCAACATTTTTATCATTGGTTTACATACAGGATTAAAAAAAAAATCTGTGTAGACAGAAACAATGGGTCTAAATTAACTAGCATAAATATAAATCTTACATTTAGGCACAAAAAAATCAAACACAAAAGTAAAGGATGGGGTGAATAAATACTTATGGGAAAATAAAAAAGGTAAATATAAGCCAGTGCCACTAAAACAGTAAATGTAATTTCTCATCTATGCAATTTTTGTTCATATTACTGTATTTATGTCTAAATTAAACACAGTAAGAGTTCAATTCAAAGAAAACCTTTATTAAGCACTTAGTAAATGGTGGACACTATACTACTTAGAAGGTTACTAAAATTAATGAAAGAGAGTTCTGCCTTCAAGGAGCTTCCACTCAATTGGTCCCAAGTATCAACAGTCTTGGTCTCAGTCCACATAAAGAGTAGTGGGTCCCTTCCCTTAGTATCACATTTTTAAAAGTTCAAAAGTAAACCACAGAAAACTCAAAGCTGGGAATAAAGGGTTCAGAAACCATGCCTCACAATGACTGCCTGAAAGAACTAGAGAAGTGTTCCTTAAAGCAGCTAACTCCTAAAGGGTAAAGAGGAGCTATGACTGTTTATATACTGAAGCAGGCAGAACTAGCACTGTGTGGCTCCAGAAGTAAGATAGGGATCAACAGGTAAAAGTGAAGATAGGCAGATATAAGTCCAGTGTATACAAGTCCTAACAATTAGAGTTAGCAAAGAACCCAGCTGCCTTACAGAGCTGTAGACTTGAAAAATTAAGCAGAATCTGGATGACTATGTAGTCGGACACTGTATAAAGGATTTTTTATATTAAAGCTAAAAATTATCTGAAAAGGTCCCTTACACACTAATCAATATATTTCATTACCTCAAAACAAACAAAATGTTAATGTTATTACACATTCACTAAATTCCCTAACTTCAAAAGCCAAATACAATAACATTCACATGGAATTTATAATTAGAAATTACTTTCAGGTATGAAAAGAGCACTCACATTTCAAATAGATTACACAAACACACCTTAAAAAAAAAAAGATGAACTTAATCACTTGGATTAACAAATAAAAGACAACAACAAAAGAACCCAAATTATTAAGGCCAAAAATCATTTTTTAAAGTAAACACATAAATTGTAAAATGAGTGCCCTTTAAAAGTACAAGTTTAAATGTGGATAAACAATTTTATCATATTAATCAGATAACTATAAACATTAAAAATATAACTTTGGGGTCTAGAAAACTGTAAGAAAGGGTTATGATATATTGGGCTATTTGTATAGAATTTGATCATTTTAAATGAAAACAAAGGCTAAAAATGGTAATGATCAGAAAAGTGATCGTAATTCATAATTTCTCCCTCTCCTTTTAAAAATCAATGTTTTACTTACTCTCTTAGAAAACAGTAAAAAGTCAAACAGCTGCCAATAATAAAAAACAAGTCTAATTTCAGGAGAGGAAAAAGGAGGGGTTGAAATCAAGCTGTATTCTATCTACTCCTGTTGTATATATCAGACGTCACAAACAAAAATTACAGTGTTAAATGAGCTAGTTATTTCCCTATAGAAACTGCAAGAAAGAATACAGCTTGGAATTTCCAACTTAACTTAAAACTACAATAAGGAGAATAGAAACTCACTATTCATTATTGACTACTTGAATAAATGGAAAATAGAGTTAAACGGAATGAAAATCACTACTTTTAACATGGCTTTTCTGACCATATCCATAATTAAAACATCTACATAAACATATATGCAATCAAAATGTCACTTCACACGAAAATAAAAATCTAATCACAGCATTCAATTTCTCACATGTGCAAAGCTTATACTATTGAGAGGGTATTTTATTTTCTTGAGAAACATGAAAATCCCAAATTAGAATTTGTGGCGGGGTAGACAGAACACCGTGTTAAAAGTGCTCTAGTTCCAGCTCTACCGTTAATCTCTTATGTGACTTGAGGCAGATCACAGTCTTCTGTGCCTCAATTTCTTCATCTGTAAAATGGTTATATGACTCCATCCCTATATTAGGGTGGTGGCAATGAGAACCAAATGTGAAAACTCTGAAGAATACTGAAGTCTAAAGTCAGGTTATCACTATTATTGTCATTACAAACATTATCATGTATCAATCATCTAGATTTTGGCAAATGAAGCCAACAATGAAAAGGCACATGTGAAAAGGCAGGTAAAACAGGAGAAGCCATCCTCCCACAGGCACGTGGGACTTACGTCCTGCATTTGGGCGTTGAAGACTGCACAAGATGACAACTGAAAAGACTGAATCATGATCTGAGCAACACCCTGTGGATCAGAATAGAATGCACCTCCCAGGTGAGAATATATCTGAATGACTTTTTGTAAACGAAAAGAATAATTATACAAATGTTGAGTTTCTTGAGGCCTGGAACAAGTCACTTAACAGATGGACCTCTTTCTCATCTGTAAAATGAAGGATTTGAACTAGATCAGTGGTTTCCAAACTCTAGTGTGTTGCTGTTGTTTTTTAAGCTAGTAGAACCCCCTTTTTTAAAATTCACCCCCAAAAATCCCAGTTTATAAACCACAGCAAAAGTGGTGTTGCTTGAGTTGAAGCAGAAGCAGGGGCTCACAGCCCAGAGTTCTTGCCGTCTTAGGGACTCCCATAGTTGCTTCTTTCAAAGTCAAAATTCCTGTTAGTATAGTTTGAAAACCACTGGACTTAAATGATCAAATATGTTCTAGCTCCATGACTGTATGACCATTACTTATGAATTCTCAAAAAAAGTTTGAAATAGACTGTAAAGTTATAAAGCTTTTGTACCTTCGCTTAAAGCAGTAGATAGAAATACTTTTAATATTTGTTAGATTACTAAATTCCTCATTAGATTTACTGAAGGAATTTATGATTACTTTCAGCTCTACTCAGAAAATACTGGCCTGTTACCAAAATTATATGAAAAATCACCAACAAAGTCTTATTAAAACATAGTATTACCTAATTCATTCAACATTAATTCTCAGTTTTGACTTTAGAATTTGATACATGGCCTTTTGGAATTAATAAAAATCTATATTCCTTTATAAGGCAAAAACCATATTATTCTAATCTGGTTTGAAATCCAAATTAACCAAAAGTACATGTGTGGCCAGCAAGGACTTCCTCTTCACTTGGTAACAAGACATGGCCAAGAACCACTGAGTCAAGCTGACGAGAGTTTAAGTTGCAGCACAAGTAGGTAGCTTAAATATGAGAGGCAGCATGGTGCAGCGAATCAGTGTGTGAAACATGTACCCAAACTTATCTGGATGAGAATCCTGGCTCTACCACTACCCAGGTGTGTGACCTTGGGAGGGTCACTCAGCCTTCCTGTGCTTGAGTTCCCTCAACTGTAAACTGGGGGTAATAAGACTACCTCAAGGATAATTAACTCAGATTAAATAAGTTCATACACATAAAGCATTTAGAACAATGCCTGACATATAGTAAATGCTGCGTTTGCTATTAACCACCTTAAACTAGGAATACCCACACCAGGCCAAGAAAAAATGTTTCAATGGCTCATAGCAAGAAAAAAACAAAAGCAAACTAAATTTATTCAGACAAGCTAGTTTTATTTAATTTTTAAATTCTAAGATTATATTTTCCTTATTTTTCATGGTGTTAAAAATATTCTCTCCTTTGAAATGATGGTGACAAGTAAATGGCAGTTTTAAAATATCTTTACTTAGCAAAATTTAAAAAAAAATTTTTTTAATGGCAGCCCATGTCATGGTCCCCAGTGGTTTTTATTGTTTCTATGTTTCTTTTTATGGGTCTATAAAATCCACAAGTCTGGGAACCACTTGTTAAATCACATAAAACAACAAATTAAAAAGATAATTCAAAGGATCGATTAAATACACGATCCACATCTCTTCTTCCTTTCACTGACTTATGTAATGGAAAATTGAGCTCATTTATCCTTGCCTCCAGGCTTAGCATAAATTTAATCAGAAGATTCATCTTCCTTCATATGAAAGACTTGTCATGTGAGATAATTCTAGAAAATTCTGTTACAAATACTAATTTATCTCACTTCGTAAAGAATTCACCAAGCCGGTGGTGGTGGCTCACGCCTGTAATCCTAGCACTTTGGGAGGCTGAGGCGGGCAGATCACGAGGTCAAGAGATCGAGACCATCCTGACCAACATGGTGAAACCCCATCTCTACTAAAAATACAAAATATTAGCTGGGCGTGGTGGTGCATGCCTGTAGTCCCAGCTACTCGGGAGGCTGAGGCAGGAGAATCGCTTGAACCCAGGAGGCGGAGGCTGCAGTGAGCCGAGATCACACCACTGCACTCCAGCCTGGAGACAGAGCGAGACTCCAATTCACCAAAAAAAAAAAAAAGAATTCACCCATCTTATGACAAGGCTTAACTTTATCATAACCTAGATTGGGTTGCTTTAAACTCTATATAGGTAAAAATAGTCTATTTGTTTAACTGCTGGATTGTGAACCAAAAAGAAAAACAAGGTACTTAATATTTAAAATCCAGTTTTAAAGTTGCTTATGTTGTCAAGCTTAAAAGCAATACATGTTTGAACTACCATTTAAAGTTACCATTTGCTATTTTTCTTCTAACTGCACTTTATAGAAATAATAGCGTTTTAATGGGCATACTTTTTGTAAGCACAAAGCTTATATACCATCCTCTATTTTTATGTCCTAAAAGTTTTCTAACAAACATTGGCATTACTACTTAAAACTATAAGCTCCCATCAAGATTAAAATCAGATAACAGTGGATTATACATTCATATACTTGTTTATTTCATCTGGAGTCAACTTTCCAAACATTCCACTTAACTTCATATTAGCAACTTAAATGTCACCATTAGTAGGAATTTAGTATTAAATAAAGAAGATTCCAGGAGTTTTTGAATGGGGAGAAGTCAACATCATATAATAATAACACTTAAAATTTACCCTTTCAACCATGGTTTATCAAGCTGTGAGAAAATGGTGCTTTCTGGTTTTAGTAGCATTAAGCTGCTGCTGTTACCTGAGCATGCTGGCTTTGTGCAAGCTCCTCTTTCCTGCGTTTCATGAGCTCTTTTCTCAGCTCTTTGGGTGCTTTCTCCACTTCATTTATAACCTACAGTGTATAAGCATGCAGGAGGTGGGGAAATGATACTTTCTCCACAGCAAGCATTTATGAGAGCAGATAAGCTACAAGTCAAATATTAAAGTTGTTAAAAAGTTCCTTTCAACATGCATTAGCATAGGTGTTAGTCTGGTGAAAAAGAATGAAAGAAGAGAACATGCATAATCTCAGTGCAGAAAGGGACATTACACCACACAAAGGTTAATTAGTTGCTTAATAACCCTATGTATCATTCTCTTTCTTAAAGGTCCAAAGACAACCAGCGAAGAATTACTTGCAGCACTGATGCTGAACTACAGGTGATAAACTCAACTGACCTTGTTGAAAGATCATAAAATTATAAACGTATCTATTGACATAGTTGGAAATATTGAACATAAGGAAAGCTAATGCCATTTATAAAAGTGCAAAATTTCATAATTGGCTTGATCATACTAAAGAAATAATGCTAAATAAAATCTACTTAATGAGGCCAAAAACAAAAAAGGAAAGCAAGTCTTAGAATACACAAAGGAGAAATAAATGGATACTAAGTTTTTTCATAAACACACCATTTTATACACGGTGTGGTAAAAATGAATGTATCTGATGATCTTGAATAGGATTAGAATATTCCCCTTTGCTGACAAGTTAAGCTAAGCCTGTCAACTTAAAAATTGGTAATATAAGCACTCTTAAAAGTAAGTTTAGTAAGCTATGATTTATTATAGCAGATAAAATACAGAATGAAGTACATTTTAGAGCTCCTTCTTTTAATCATTTCAAAATACTAGAAGTATATTCCATCTAACAATAGATCTGTAATCCAACTATGAAAAACAATCATGTGTTTACAAGTAGAAGCACCAAAAGAAACCAGATTCCAAATCACCACATGCTATTGATGGTCCGTGAAAGAGACTGATTTTGATTTAACATCGTGTATTTAAAATTTCCCATCAGTAATCCCTCATGAAACCAAATCACCATTAAAAGGAAGAGACTCCCCAAATGCAAGAAGTTTAGCAATAAGGAAAAAAAAATACATAATGTAATTATTTAAAATATGCATATCACGATCTCAAACATGTTCGTGGCTGAAACTCTCCTACCCCCAAACAAAAACAATAACTGAGACTTTTATATTTAGGATTAAACCATATATTTATCTGTAAAATTTTTTAAATTTCACTGAGATAAAGAATATCTCAAAAACTACTTGAGAGAAAATTAACATGTAGCCCCAGTAATGTCATACCTCACAGTATATACAGCAATTCTACATAAAACATCAGAAATAGTAATAAAATAGTGATTTTTAGAAATGGAAGCCACATCAAATAAAATCACATACCATTTCATTCATCTTTATCTAAAGAAATCATAAAATCACTGTATTTATTAATGTTTGACTCTACCCTTTTTAAAGCAAATCCTTAAGATTCAGCAGTATGACATTCAATTTTCTTCTCAATTTAAATGTTAAAGTCAATGAATCTGGGTATTTGAGATGTGTAACAAAAGTGAAAATGCATTTATTAGTTTGGCTGAGGTTTCTGTTTGTTCCAACCCTAATAAAATTGATCACAATCATTGTCTCTGGTGTCTTTTATATCATGAAAAGGCAAATCGTCTTCCTATACTGAAGATGTTAATAAATTATAAAATTATCTCTGAAAATTACCTACATGTAAAGCTCTTTTAGTTTTAATTTGGGACAAAAAAAGATGCTAATATAATAAGTAAATCTTCCTTCTGAAGCAATGACAATCTTTTATACTGCAAACAGATTCTATAACAATATGAAACAGTTTCAGGAAACAATGAAAAAACTCATTCTCATCAAATGACTTTACAGATATGTTCCACTTCTAGTTCTTCGAAGTACCTCACAATTTGATGAGTTATAGATAGCATGTCAAATTTCAGGTTATTCAGCTTTTGTTTGGCACAATACCCATGAAAGGCAATAAAGCTAATCAACAAACAAAATCGTTAAAAGTATGAATTAAAGATGAAAAATAACTTATAAATAATAAAATGAATCACTGCTGCCACTGGCAAACACAACATAGTAAGTTTTCTAAAAAATACTTTTATATAAGGACTTAAATGTGTTGCATTAAGGACAATGGTAGACCTTAAGATGGATTAAACTCAATTTGAAGACCTGATTCAAGGTTTAGCTGGATATTTAGGGGTAGTCTGTGAACAGGTCATTAAAACCTCTCTTGAGGTGAACTTAAACAGGTCACTAAAACCTCTCTTACTCCAGTTTTCTTGGCAGTAAAATGGGAATAATGATTGACCTTATGACAACTCTATATGACTGTTGAGAAGACCGAATGAAAGAATGAATAGGTGCTATTTAACTCTCAAGTATTATTAGTATTCCTAAATCCTTAGATAGTCTTAAAACAATTTTTTTAAAAAAAAAGCTTTAGTAATTAAAAACAGTAGTTTACACTTACCTCCTTCTTTCGGTTCTTCAGCATATTCTGAAATTTGGACAACTCTTTCTCTTGTTCTCCTTTGATGCGTTTGGCTTCATCTCGCAAGCGATTTGTGTGCTCTTGTTCCAGGCGTTCGATAGTCTGTTTCTGCTGTTTTTCTAGATTCTCAATTTCCTGGTCATATTGTCGCTTTTTACTCTGTAAAACAATATAGCTCAAGATGATAACTTTTCCATCACCCATATTAATACCTTATAGTAAAGATGTTTCCTAAGAGAACATAACTAGTATTTAAATTTAGTAATGTACTATAACCTTCACAATACTGAAAAAGTCAAATGCACTAAAATATGTTATGAAAATTCTCAAAAAAATGAGTTCTTTTTTTCTAACATGGAAATTTTTTTTCTATTTTATTTATTAGAGACAGGGTCTCACTCTGTCACCCAGGCTGGAGTGCAGTTGCACAATCACAGTTCACTGCAGCCTCGGCCTCCTGGGCTCAAACTATCCTCCTGCTTCAGCCTCCCAAGTAGCTGGGACTACAGTGCATGCCACCATGACCAACTTATCTTTTTATTTATTTATTTATTTATTTATTTATTTGGAGAGATAGGGCTATCACTATGTTGCCTAGGCTGGTCTTAAACTTCTGCGCTCAAGCAATCCTCCTGCTTCGGCCTCCCAAAATACTGGTATTACAGGCATGAACCACTGGGCCTGGTCTTTTTTTTTTTCTTTTCTGTTTTTGTTTGTTTTTTCTTTTTGAGACAGGATCTCCCTCTGTCGCCCAGGCTGGAGTGCAGTGGCACAATCTCTGCTCACTACAACCTCCGCCTCCCAGATTCAAATGATTCTCATGCCTCAGCCGCCTGAGTAGCTGGAATTACAGGCATGTGACATCCTGCCTAGCTAATTTTTCTGTATTTTTAGTAGAGACGGGGTTTTACCATGTTTGCCAGGTTGGTCTCGAACTCCTGCCCTCAAGTGATCTGCCCACTTCAGCCTCCCAAAGTGCTAGGATTACAGGAATAAGGCACTGCGCCCGACCCAAAATTTGTTTTCTATTATACTAGTAGAATGTTCAAAGTTTTTAGATTATCCAGAAGAATAGCTAATTGTTGTGAAGTAGTAAGGCAAATCAGAAAAATTTCAATATTTATCCAATAAAATTTTTGATAAATCAAAGAGCTTATTTGAGGTCTACTTTAATAAAATAATATTATTAATAATATCGCCATTATTTAATAATAAGATTGTCATTTTCAGATTCAATCTTCCACATTAAGATTCTTAAAATAAACACCTTATTCTATTGGAACAGATCTTTTGGAATTATAAATCTACTCTTGCAACAAGACTCCTGTTTATATAACACTCAGTAACACTGTTTTTGAATACAGGTATAGTTACTTATTTGTAATGGATGTTTTCTTTTTAAAAAAATTGAAAAGTAAAACATTTTAGAAAGTATGATGGGGGAGAAATACAGATTTTATAAGGTTTTGGAAAACAATATAAGTACTATAAAAATACTCAATGAGAACAAAAGTTCACTATTTTCTTAGGAAATCTCAGTTATGATCCAACTCATGTAATCAACAATCCACAGTTCACACAAAACAATCTTTATCAATTAAAATTACAAGTCAACACAAGGACTATATTCAAAACATGAGTACTGTAACATTTCAAATGATACTTTTTCTAACCTACATTAAGGCAGATAGTCAACATAAATTACAAAAATTTTATATTACATTACTAATTCCTTTTCCAACTTTGGACACAAGGCAAAAACTGAAGGACTCAGTGACAGCTACCCAGGACTAGTCAGCACTATTTCCTCTAGCAGCAGGAAATAGAGATGTGGAGGCTTAACTGTAGAAGCCAGAGAATAAAGCACATTTTTAAAAAGCCCCTGAGGAGTCCTACTGCTCAGCTAGGTTTGAAGGCAATTGCTCTAAACTGGCTTAAAATCTTGGATTCCAAATCTGAAAGATCGAATTAGAGCACTGAAAAATTACCCAGCAATAGGCAAATCTAGGAACTTTGTTTACTGGCTTCATAAGTTTTCATGAGAGAAAAAACAACCCATCACACCATAAACCAGCTTAAGGTAGACTGGGATAGAAAATCCTTTCAAGAAAAAAGAATAAATCAATAAAAGGCATCCAGAACACCAAAAGGGTAAAAATGCCAGAAATAAATCACAAAGCTAGAGAAATCTGGCAATCAGAGAACAAGTTCTACAACCTTTTTTGTTTGTCTGTTTTTAATGCAGTAAATGTCATTATTAACACAAAATGATATAAAATGGTATAACAATCAGACTTTACCATCATTTCCTGCTCAAAGCGCCGGAAAATTTGTTCTCGTTGTTGCTGTAGTTTGCTATTGAGCTGTTGTTGGGCTCTTTGCTCTTCTTTCTGAAGAAATCTTAATTCCCGAAGTTCCTGACGTCTGATAAAATTTAATGGTAATGATAGAGAAGACAGCAAAAATTACACTTCTGAAATACGTTTTTTTTTAAAGCTTTAAAAATTTTCTTTCGAGTGGAACGGTAGTAAAAGAATAAAAAAAAATTAGCCAATAATTTACCCTTGTTTCTCTATTCTTCTGACTTTTCAGAGACTGAAAAGAAGTCACAAACCAGTTTTAATTACGTTGTTTCTCTACTCACCTAAGAAACCGCAATTCTTCAGTTTTGGAATCACTATCTGTAACTATCTTTGATGTTGTTACACTCACTTCTACACCATCAACAATAAATTTGCGTGTTTTCTTCAATGTTTTCTTTTGTCTTCTTGTTTCCTGAGTGAGATTTTATTTTAGTTAGGCTTTGTACAAGGAATACTGGAGGTAGAAAACATTTTCTTCTTCCTTAAACATTTCTTTCTTTTTTAAAACAAAACAACTGAACAGCCATGCAGACTACACATAGAAAGTATAAATATAAAGCAATAGACTCATCTGTGGAACCAGTTATAACACCTTAAACGTCATCTGACTTACACGTCTTTACAGATGAAATCAAATTTTTTCAAAGTATGCATTTTGATCATCTTCATGTATAGCTTTTATGACACATTATAATTAGGCATAAGTGATGAGCAGTTCACATAGCTAATCAGTAGAACTTTACATGTTATCCTTTTTTTTCATCTTTTCAATTTGTAGTTTCTCAGATACCTCTGCTTTTTCACTGACAAAACAATTAAAAATGAATTTGTGGGGCTCATCTCTTAAAAAAAAACTAAATTGACAGGTCTGAGGGTAGCTGGAAATCTCTTTTTTTTGAAAAAGCTCTCAGGTAATTTTTAAACACTGCCAGCACTGGGGATCAAAATCTACTTAATCAGTAACAATAATATCGACAGCCCCTCCCTCCATCTCAGGGCCAGAGATATATGTATGATTTTAGGGTTACTAGAAAGACAGTGCCTCTGCTGCACCCAAAAGTACCAGATTTGGCTGCTAGCTATGACCTAAAATTCTTTATTAAGACTAAACTCTTCATTCCTCAACTGGTATCCAAAAACATTTAAATGCAAACAGAAATAACAGACATATAAGACTCCTACAAATACATTTTGGTAAACTAAGTGTTCAGGGCAGATACTTACTGGGTGTTGATATGGAAGAAAGGGTTAGAAGGCAGAGGAAGCAAAAATGGAATGTGAAAATGCTAAACTCAAAATGCATCCAAATTTTAAACAGTTTCTCTTTGGCACCTTCCAATCACCTTTCTGCATCCTCTCCTCTTACTGTTCTCTTCTCCAAGCTTCCAGGATCCTCATGCTCTTCTTCCAAAGTCCAGGACTATGGTACCCTACCCAGGATTCCTCTAAAATCTAAAGTTGGCAGACTCCAAAAAATACACCTATCTACACCTTAACCTCCAAACTTCACATTTCTTCAGCTCCTACTAAAAGTTCAATAATTAATATCTTCTTCATTCTTATACAAGTTATTTGCATTTTTAAAAGAGGCTATTAAGTCAGTGAATGAATTTCAGAGTGGTGGTTATTTCAGTCAGTGAAAGAAAGTAAACTGAAAAAAGAAGAAAATCCTAGGAATACATGTAAGAAAATCCTAGGAATTTGGGGCAGATAGGCAGACTAATCACTCATGCCCTAGAGATCCATCTATGTCAGTTTTCTTAGGTTGTTCCTGCTTTTCTGTCTTCTCTTCTGCTACTATCAACCCAGAGGGTCTAGGAAGTATTTTCCAAGGGGCAGCCCATGGATCACCTGCATCAGAACTCTGTGGGATCTTTTTTTTTTACAAATAGTGATCCTTGGGACCCACTCCAGACTTCTACATAGCCGCTAGTAACTCCTAAGCACACTAAAATTTGAGAATTACACTCAAAGCTCCAAGTGTTCTGGGCTTTAGTGTTTGTTTTGTTTTCCCCACAATGGTTCTCATGGCAGTAGCAATGTCTGTGACTGTATGGGCCAATGGTAAATCAAGGATTGTTTACACCCTAAATGTGCTTAAAAAGACATCATTCTTTCAATTTCTAATTCTCTCATACATTGTTGATTCTTGCTAATGTTGCATCTAGATATGTCCAATAAAGGAACCTAATCACACCAAGCAACCATATTACACTGTTTATCTGCATCAGGTCTGCAAAAATAGGTAGATCCTACCACAAAATTTAAAGATTAGATCCACAATCTCCTTAGTTCTTTTTAATTGCTTTCATAGGCTGTAAGAATTTATATTGTTAATACTACATTAATTTAATGCTGTTTTATTTTCAAGACATCAATTTCACATAAACTCTGAATTGAGAAAATGGCAAAGGAAAACCCAAACAATGACTCATGTACACTTACTTGTAAAGATATCGATCCACTGTCTTTAGTTTTACTTAGAAAGCTAGAGATGGATAAATTCAAGTCAATACTGCTAGTATCAGCAGTGGAACCAGTGCCTGAATCATTATCATTTTCCTTTGGATTCTCAGATTCTGGTGGCAGAATAGTTTCAGTTTTTGATAAAGAACCTATTTCTTCTTTATTTTCTCCACTGTCAGAGTTGATATTAATACTGGGTATTAGAACAGGCTGAGGTTCAGTGGGCTGTGAAACTACAGTAACTTCAGGCTCTTTTTTAATTGACACTGGAATTTCTTTTTTCTCTTTATCTATCTGAGTAGTGACTTTAGAAGCATCCTGAACTTCACTTCCTAAAGCCTTTTGGTCAGTATCAGCCACCACACTTCTGACCTCCATTTCTTCAGTGCTACTTGACTCAGTGATTTCTTCACCTTCAGTTGTTCCTGGTTCCTCATTGATGTCCATTATGTTCTCTGAACTGTTTATTGCTTGTTCCTTATTTTTACCTTCTTCTATTTCATTCATTTCAACTATTTCTTTAATAGGAACTTCCTTAGTACCACCAGCCTCAGGACCCACCATGGGCTTATTAATTAATTTCTGGCCTACTTCGACCACTTCTTTCCCATCATTACTCTGCGTATCCTCAGCACTGTCTTCATCCACTTTCTGAGCCACATCTGCTGCCTCACATGTTCCTATCACATCACTTGTATTGCTGATCACATCTTTTTGAGTTTTGTCGTCTTCCCCCAATTTCTCTTGGGTGTCTTCCTTTGTAAGCCCAACTTCACTATCAACTGCCTGAATATTTGCCTCTTTTTCTCCAGTCTCTTGAGAAACTAAATCTACTGTTTGCAAAATAGTATCTTTAATTTCTTCAGATTTTATAAGCTTATTTTCAAACATCTGTTGCTTTTCCTGATCCTTTTCTTCCTCAGATTTTAGATTATGTTCAATATTTGTTTCTAAGGTTATCATTATATTATTCTCTTTTCCTTCACTGACTGAATTAATGTCCACAGTTTCTTGGTCTTCTGTGTCAGGCAGATTTTCAAGCTTGGGCCTCTTCTCTCTTTCATTCTCCTTGATTACTGCTGTTCTGTCATGGAGTTCAGTCATTGCTTCTAACTGAGCATCGGTAATATGTTCATTAATATCCTCCACAGCCTTTTCAGGTTCATCAGTGGTGGGTTTTTCATTAAGAATTTTGCTGTTGAGTTTATCTTCAGAGTTACTACGTTCTGTTTTTTCTGAGACAGACTCCAAAATACAAGCATTTTGTGAAAGTTTATCTTCTTCAGAGCTGGCGATACTAAGGTCAGAAGATGCACGCTTACTTGCAGGTATTGGCTAAAAAAGATTTAATGTATTTTTAGTGTTAAAACATGACCTTAGAGTGACCAAAACAATGTTTACAGACCTACAGTGATTTCAGATCTTTATTCAGTAAATGTTGCTGAATTTAAAGAATTAACAATTCTTCTCACAAGAAATATAACAAAAATGGGCCGGGTGCGGTGGCACACACCTGTAATCCCAGCACTTTGGGAGACCGAGGAGGGAAGATCACTTGAGGTCAGGAGTTCGAGACTAGCCTGGCCAACATGGTGAAACCCCATCTCTACTAAAAATACAAAAATTAGTTGGGTGTGGTGGCGCATGCCTGTAGTCCCAGCTACTCGGGAGGCTGAGGCCCAAGAACCACCTGACACCGGGAGGCAGAGGTTGTAGTGACCACTGCACTCCAACCTGGGTGACAGAGTGAGACTCCATCTCAAAAAAAAGGGAAATATAACAAAAATGTGCAGCGACGAGCAACCTTGCTACTAATCTTCAGGTCTAAATTTAAAGGTTTTGCGTTGCCACCCATCAATCCTTAGATACAGGAGCAACTACACCTCAAAACCGAACTCTATTCACTAAATGAAATTTCTTTCCTAAATACTGACCAGAGAATTTTCTGTTTCCTCCTCTTCATCTTCCTCTTTGCCATCTTCAACTTCTTCTGTTACTTCAGCCTTCGCCTCTGCAATCAATTCTCGGATGGGTTTGTTGGAATCAACAGTAACAAAGGGATGCTGTTGATCATTAAAAAGAACATACTCAACAACTGGAATACTACTAAACTAAGTTTCAAACACACACAACACACATTCTTATGTGGTAAAAAATATGAACATGTGGGCAGGAAAATGACAGAAAACTTCAGATAATGCTACATCTGAGAAAGAAAGAGGGGAGAGGGCTTGAGCAAAAGCAGGGACTACCTGCAACTGGATCTGTACATTTTTAAGAATCTGAAGCAAATTTATCAAAAATGATAAGAATTGTTATATCTGGGTAGTAGGTACATGTACTTTCTGTGTGTTTGAAAACTTCGTAATAAAAAATTTTAATTGAAATTTAAAGCAAATGTCAGGTCACTACATTATTACTTTTTTTTTTTTTTTTTTTTTTTTTTTTGAGACGGAGTCTCACTCTATCACTCAGGCTAGAAGGCAGTGGCACGATTTCAACTTACTGCAATCTCCATCTCCCAGGTTCAAGAGATTCTCCTGCCTCAGCCTCCCGAGTAGCTAAGATTACAGGCATGTGCCACCATGCCCGGCTGATTTTTTGTATTTTTAGTAGAGACAGGGTTTCACTATATTGGCCAGGCTGGTCTGGAACTCCTGACCTCAGGTGATCCACCCGCCTCGGCCTCCCAAAGTGCTGGGATTACAGGCATGAGCCACTACACCTGGCCTCATTATTACTTCTTAAAAAGTAACCATCTCTATAAACCCTATCAAAGCCTCAAAATTATAAAAAGCTTTAGAATTCTGTTAGAAGTATCTATAAACACCTGTATTTTTGACATGGTTCTAAAATTCTTGAGAATGAGAAGCCATTTTACTCATCTTTGTATACTCAACATTTAACAGTGTCTGTCGCAGACTAAGGGCTTCAAGTGTGGGGGTAACAAAATAATAATAGAAAGTGTGTTCCAGGGGTATACTTGCTGCACACAACAAAGCAATTTTTTCCTGCTTTATTCCCCCAGATAAATAGGTCAACCTAAAACACTATGATGGAGTTACATAATAACCTAACAGTAATTGCCTCAAGATTTGTCATTTTATTTGCCCACCTATAAAATTGACAATTTTTAATTAATATATTACAAGTAGTCCTTCTATAAAGCAAAATTAAATTTACCCAATCGCTTTAACAACATTTTTTTAAGTCAACAATATTTACTATTTACCCTCACTGTAAGACATTTTTTAATTAATTAGTTCACGGCCCCTGTCCCCAAGGAGCTTGCTTTCTAGTAACTGGAGAGACATAATGGAAATAACTACCAAAATGAAAAGAACATAATTAAACTGAATCAAAAAAGCACAGGAGGAATAACGTTTAAGCTAAATGCCTGATGGTAACAGCAGCATTTATTTTGTAAAGCAAATGTTAACTACTGCCATTTTGACTCTCCACAGGGAAATTTAAGTGGAAAGAAAGCACACTGAATATGAAATTACATTCTTAGATGTTAAAATAATTATATTATTTGCTGTTGTCATACTCTCTTACCTGCAGCAGCTGAGATGTAGTCCACCTGGCATCCACATTCTTTTCTAAGCATTTCTTTAGAAAGTCCTTAAAATTTGAAGACCTTTAAAATAAATTTTAACAACATTCTATTTTACTTTCTTGTTAATCAAATTAAACAAAACTCTTTGATAAGTTATGCTTAAGTTTCATTATGTATGTAATAGTATTAATTCAACATTTAAATAACTAGTTAATGAGACTATTAAGATTTTGTAAAACTTATTCATCTGTAAATACATGTTAGACATATATGTAAGTAGGTACATAATCACTGAGACAGCCATATACTCACAAGTATGCCAAAAAGCACAAAATTTCTAATAAATTTCACAAATATAGATCAATCTATATACCTCACTTCCTCATAGTACAGAAAATACCTTTCTCATGCAAAACTCAAATCATTCATATTTTCAGATATATGGGAAAAGTGAGCTCGAAGAGTTTTAATGGTCTTTAAGAGAAATATACCAAAAATCACTTTTCTAATTCATATAGTCTTCGAACCATGTATCCAATTTTAAATACTCTTGGAAAATTGTGAGAATATAACATCAAGTTCTGCTTCCTAGTATCATTTGTTTCTTATTAAGCTTTTTTAAGAATATTTTTACCATCTGGATGGCTGTGCTAATGTAGGTGGCTCAGATTTTGCTATTTTTAGCAGCACTCGCATTGGATTTAATTCATGATGAGGTGGTTCTATCTCAGCCATTTCTATTAAAGTGATACCCAGGGACCAAACATCAGCTTTGTAGTCATAGGGTCTGTCCTTAGATGTTTCACACATGACTACTTCAGGAGCCATCCTATGAAGACAGATAATTAAAAGTTAACATGTTTAAGAACAGTGATTGCAAAACACATGGTATAATCAATTATGTGGACAAAAATTCATGAGTAATTATAACTGCTGACATGACTAATACTATAAATTCATAAAACTGAATACATACCAATATGGTGTACCAATAAAGGAATCTCTTCTTTGAATTGTCCTCGTGTTTTTAGCTGATACTCCAAAATCCGCTTGAAATAATCACACAAAAGCATTAATGAGAACTTTTAAGCATTGTTCATTGTATTCAATGGGGAGAAAAAGCATTTTAAGTCTTTAATAAGGCTAATCTTATTATAAAAAGTAAGTTAAACAGAAAGAAAAAGATGTCTCTCCCATCTTAATCTTGACCATCTCTTTCTACCATCTCCCAAAAAAACCTGCTAAAGATCCCATTATCAATACATTTAATACCACCTTATCTTCAGATGACAAATCCTCCAAAATTGAAAATAAAAAATGGTAACTCTAAAAGCAGACCAGTCTATCCACTTCAAAATAAATGCCAACTAGTGCTATGTGGCACAATTAAACTAAGAGTCATTAACATTTTTTCTATAGTGTGAAAAATAGAAATTATACTAAAGCAACCTTTAGGACAGTGTATGTCTTGCTAAATTCCTCATAAAATTATATTGTCAAGAAAAAATTGGGAACCTTATGTTTTCTGATTTAAATTATACAGAACAGTAACATTATAGCTTTTTCAGTTGTTAATCCCACCTTTTCAGCCTGGAGTTCACACAACATTAACAGCAACATAAAACTGCTATTGCTGCATAATTCACCTCATGCTATAAATGCACGAATTTTTAAGTTTCACATTTGATGCGACAATTCTCAAAGTTGAATAAGTACCAAAAATTCAGTATTTGATGCTCATGCCTACCACAGAGTATACACTCAATAAATGGTAGCTATTATTAGCCATATTCACAATTCTAACCTTTGTTGTTTTTGTTGTAGAACTCTTAAAGGTCATGCAATTCTGCCTGAATTACTTTTATCTATTATATGGTTCTTGGGGATAAGATTGTTCTATATATCTGTGTTGCAGAAATGGAAGGTTCTCTGGAAGTATTTGTAAATTAAACAGAAATTACAAATATTTTAATTGTCAACTAACTAAATATTATTTTACAATTCCTAAACCTTCAGTATATTGATAAGGTACACATTATTTTACACAAGTATGTCCCTATATTCAAATAAAATTTCAATATATTTACAAAAAAAATGCCCCCAAAATTGATCAAAACTGTAACATCCTATTTCAAAATAAGCTAGGACACTTTTAAAAATGATGAAAAACATAAAAGAGCCATGTAAGTCAGAATTAGAAAAATTCTGAAAGGCGACAGAGCTCCAGAAAAAATTTAAAATAAAAAAGAAAAACTTTAGAAACAAAGGCTAAACTAGGGAAAGCAAGAGCAAATAATACAACAAATTCATACCCATTACCGCTTCACACCCAGTAGGATGGATGTAGCATAGAAAAAAAAAAAGTGTTGACAAGCATGCGGAGAAACTGGAAGCCTTGTACATTTCCGTTAGAAATGTAAAATGGTGCAGTTGCTATGGAGAACAGCATGGTGGTCCCTCAAAAAAATTAAACATAGAATTACCATATGATTCAGCAATTCCACTTCTGGGTGCATACTCAAAAGAATTAAAAGCAGGGAGTAGGACAGACATTTGTACACCAACATTCATAGCAGTATTATTCACAATAGCCAAAAAGTGAAAGCAACCCAAGTGCCCACTGATGGATGAACGGATAAACAAAATGTGTTATATACATACAATGGCATATTATTCAATCTTAAAAGGGGAAGACTTGAAATACGCTACAACGTGGATGAACCTTGAGAACGTTATGGTAAGTAAAATACGCCAGTCACAAAAGGACAAATGTTGTATGATTCCACATACGTATATACCTAGAGTGGTCAAAATCATAGAAACTGAAAGCAGAATGGTGGTTGCCAGAAGCTGGGAGGAGTGGAAAATGGGGACTAACTGTTTAATGGGTATAGACTTTAACTGCTGCAAGATGAAAAGAGGTATGGAGATAGGTGATGGTAATGGTTGTATAATAATGGGAATGTACTTAATACCACAGAAATGTACACTTAAAAATGATCAAAAAGGTAAATTTTATGTTGTATATATTTTCCTACGATAAAAAAGAAAGCAAGCTAAAAAAGGACTTGAGAAAAAGTTACAAACATGGACAACAGGCAAAGATCCAACAAACAAATACTAAAAGTCTCTAAAGAAGCAAGTCAATGCAAGGGAACAAACAAATGCTCAGATCTATAACTCCAGAAAACTTTCCTGTCGGGGGCGGGGAAGAAAGCACTCGAATATTGTACGAGCATAATATTTATTAGAAGGCCGGGCACGGTGGCTCACACCAATCCCAGCACTTTGGGAGGCTGAGGCGGGTGGATCACGAGGTCAGGAGATCAAGACCATCTTGGCTAACACGGTGAAACCCCGTCTCTACGAAAAATACAAAAAATTAGCTGGGCGTGGTGACGGGCGCCTGTAGTCCCAGCTACTCGGGAGGCTGAGGCAGGAGAATGGCGTGAACCCGGGAGGCAGAGCTTGCAGTGAGCCGAGATAGCGCCACTGCAGTCCGGCCTGGGTGAAAGAGCAAGACTCCGTCTCAAAAAAAAAAAAAAAAGAAAAGAAAAAAAATATTTATTAGAAAAGACTGGTCAAACTACTGGTCTTAAAAAAAAAAAAAAACTTTTAGCATCTAAGCAAAAAGAGCACATGACTTACAATGAAGAAATTCAGATTATCAGACTTTTCAACAACAACACTTCATGACTGAAGAAAACAGAGTAACATATTTCAGATGCTGAAGGAAAGAAATTTGTGCCAAGGATTTGTTATCCAGCAAAACTAACCTTCAACTATAAGGGTACAACTGTTATCACTATGTAAGAATTCAGAGAGCCCTTTCAGAGGAATCTACCAAAAGCTGAGCTTCAGATAACCAACATCACCAAAGACACATCAACATAAGGAGTGGTGGTGAGCATTAAATATAGAAATGAGGGTTAAAATGAATTATGAGGTATCCTAAACCTATCAATGTCCTTGAGAACCAGAACTCTCAACATAGAAGAAAGGAGATGCACATTTATTACAGAGGTTAGATTTTAAAAACCTTTATCCTGAATTTGAATAGGAAATATATATGAACTCATGAGGGTTCTAGCTCTGTCCTTTGAAAAGTCCTAGAACAATGGCCAATATAGAAAACTGCAAGCATCTCTTACACCAGACTGTGGTCTTGAAATACTATATTCTACTAAAAGAAACCAGGGCTTCTTAAAGAAATGGCTAATTACACTGGGTGCAGTGGCTCACACCTGTAATTCCAGCACTTTGGGAGGCTGAAGTGGGCAGATCACTTCTGGCCAGGAGTTCCAGACCAGCCCGGTCAACATGGTGAAACCCCATCTCTACTAAAAAACAAAAATTAGCTGGGCATGGTGGTACATGCCTGTAATCCTAGCTACTCAGGAGGCTGAGGCACAAGAATCCCTTGAACCCAGGAGGTGGGGGTTGCAGTGAGCTGAGATCAGCCACTGCACTCCAACCTGGGCAACAGAGCAAGACTTTGACTCAAAAAAAAAAAAAAAAAAAAAAGAAAAGAAAGAAAAGAAAAAAGAAATGGTTAATTACAGGTCTGACACAGGAAATACACAGATGAGCCTGAAACATCTCAGAACTGTCAAGTAAGCTATCAAAGATTACTAGTGCTGTCAAGAAGACCAACAAGCAGACACGAGGAAGACCCCACTGACTAAAGATGGAACAACATGAGCTTCAATAAGAATAAAAACTGCAATGGATTTGAAACCAACCAAATAAAATTAAATCCATGAACTAACAATATTTTTTAAAACACTGGTCATCAATTGAGGATAAGAGACAGCCAAGTCATTATCTTCATTACTAATTTTATAATGAATGAAAATAATGAAATAATTGGTGTTTATATCAAAATCATTATCGAAAATAATGAAAACAAAATAATGGAATTCGTTTTGCAACCCCAAAAGACAGAGGTGTAGGCATTAAGCCTCAATAGATGCAACATCAAAAAAGGGCACAAAGCAGACACGGTGTGCCTCCCAATGAAAGAATGCAAAACCACCTGTAAGTCTTGCCAAAGGATCAGGCTTGAGACTGATCAAGCCTTTGGATTCATCTGCCAAACTGAAGGAAATACAGAAAGGAACTTCAATCATCAGGAGTATGCAATAGCAAAATGCAGTTTGAGGGAAACACAACAGGCCAAACAGCCCAGGTTCCATGGATCAGTGTTTCATTACTAGCCCCTCTAAGGAGTCATTTTAAACATTTTTTTCACATCATCCCTCCTCCCATAAAATTTTAATGCCATAGATACAGTGTTATATCTCTTCATGTACTGGGGCCTTTGGAAGGTCACAAACCATTGTAATGCATAAGGTTTTTTTTTGGCCCTAAAGAACTAATTTTTGCACCCATGTGGGTGATATTGCCCTCATCCCCCATTACACATGCCATAATATAAAGAAAAGAAAGGAATGGGGGAAGGCCTGTAAGTTAAGAGACTTTAAAAACCCAAGTTTTATATGAGCAAGTTTAAACCCTAACATCTAGAGATGAATACTGGGTGACTAAGCCATAAAGAAACACAAGGAAGGAAATAATATAAAAGTCAGGATAAAATGTGGAGAAGAGAAGGGCAGTGGCTGAGATGGGCATACGGAAGAGCTTCTGGGATGCCTGTCAAAGTTCTACTTTTTGATCTAGGTAGTGATTACAAAGCTATGTCTACAAAGTACTAAACTTAAGCTACACAATTTCTGGTGTGGTTTTCTATATCTGTAATTTTTCACAATCAAAAGGTTAAAATTCACTTCAGGAGGCCCAAGGCAGAAGAATCACTTGCACCCAGGAATTCAAGACCAGTCTGGTCAACAGAGCAAGACCTCATCTCTACAAAAAAATTTTTAAAAATTCGCCAGGCGTGGTGGTGCATGCCTGCAGTTCCAGCTACTAGGGAGGATAAGGTGGAAGGATCCCTGGAGCCCAGGGGTTCAAGGCTGCAGTAAACTATGATCACATCACTGCACTCCAGCCTAAGCAACAGAGCAAGACTCCGTTAAAAAAAAATTAAAAAGAATAAAATTTAGTACACCATCTGTTTAAATGTCTTGACAAAGTAAAGTGAAATGACTATAGTCACTGGTATCAACTTGACTTCTGAATATATTTTGTCCTTTGAATAGCCTTCCAAAATATACAAATTTGGACTTCATCTCTAGACTTTTTAAATAATTCCTATCTTGGGTAAAGAGCGCTATAACTTTCATAAGACCTACATCTAATTCTTCTTATGAAGGTAACATTTCTTCCCTCAGTATAAAGAGTAAAATTAAAAATTCTAGTCCTTACGTTTAGGTATTCTCTTCAGAACTAAGATTACTTTGTTAGTTTAGTCAACGTACCATATCAATAAAATAGAATATAAAACTAAACATGGGGAAAAACTCACTAGACATGAACTTTGGAAATAAAGAAAAAACTGAGTTAGCAGTTTTACATACTATATTATATTCTAAACATAAAACATTTACAAGTATTAAGTCTACGTACAAAAATTTAAGGGTACAAACTTGAAATTGGTCTTTAAAAAGCATGCCTTTTTGAAAATAAAAATTCATTCTTTCTTATCTTCTTTTTAAAGCATTCAATTAGGTGCTGATATTTAGAAATTATAGAAAAATGAGTATTTACCTAAAAAAGTGTTTTTTAAAAACCAGCATGGAGTTAGTTCTCCATGTTTCACATATTTAAGTAGTAATAAAACCACATTAAGTCACATACATAAAGATGGAAATTTCAGAGTAAAAATTCTAATGTTTTATTTAAGTGAATAACTTACCCAATTTGATATCTCCATCTAAGGTAAAGAGAATGTTGCCAGCCTTCAGATCTCTGTGGATGATCTTATTATCATGTAAGTAGTTCAATGCATCTAAAGTCTGCTTGCAAACTACTTGTATTTGGGACTCAGTTAATGGTCTCTCAAGTTCTATAAGGAGAAAGTAAAAAAAAAAATCTGCTTTTTATACAGTGAAAACATATTAGCAGGCTATATACCTTTCTGTATATATCATCACTGTCAAAGATCATATGCAGGGAATTTATTTTAAAAGAACTATATCTACAAAGATCACATTCTTGACACACTCAACATTTCATTTTAGAATTTTACTATAATTATCCAAGAATATAAAAACATACTTGAGTTAACTTACTGAACTTTACTCGATACTTACATATTTGAATATATTTATATATGGTTGAAATTCTTTCATCTTATCAAGTATAATTTAAGATATGAACAGAAAGAACAAAAAGGTATTTACCAAGCATCACAGCATCTACTGCTCCACCTGCACAAAATTCAATGAGGATCTGCATGCAAAAAAAAAAAAAAAAGCGTGTGTCTAAAACTACATGGAGTTTTGAGTTTCAGTATTTTTTCTTCAGCTTAGCAAAAAAGATAAAGAAATAGCTATCAAATAATCTGGTTATGGAAACGATATACTAAACGAAGATTTTGTCAAAAGAGTTACAAATCTCAAACAATATGCATTTGATAAAGCCCACTGTGAAAGCATGGGCATTTTTGTTAATTGCCATGTTTACTGTCCCTGCTTCTCTACAACTACCAGGTACAGAACTTTTTCATTTGGTATTGTACTGCACAGCTATTTGGTCACCAATGAAAGATTTTATTACTTATATTTTTAAGGCAACTTGTGCTTTAAGTGAACAAATATACATTTGTTTTTTTAAACTGTATTAAATAGGAATAAATCCTGAAAATATTTATACAGAGACTTCTTTTAGAAAAAAAAAAAAAAAAAACAGAAGAAATACCCACAAAAGCTTCAGATCCGAGCTCAATTATTACCTGCTGATAGGTGCTTATCTTGACTTCCCTGGTAAGACATAACACCATGTACCTTTCCTTCTTAACCCTTACCACAGTTGTAATTTTATATTTATTGTGATTATTTGATTAATTAACATTTATGTCTCCCACTAAACTTCCCCTCACAGTTGTCTAAATTTTTATTGTGCAATAGTCCCAAGTAAAGGTCTTATCTGTTTATTAACTAGTCTATGGGTTCATTTGCATTATAATCTTTGGAAACATTCTGCGACAGCCCTGAACAATAATTTCAGAAAACACCACATTAATAATAACTATAATTTTAAAAAATAACATATTTTTAACTAATTAGGTAGCTTCCTGCCTTTTTTCCCTCAGCATAATGCTTTATTTTTTTTTACAAGTGCTTGCCAATTAGAAATTGTTTTCAAATTCATTACATTATTCAGAAAATAATTTGGGAGGTAGATCATTACTCATCCTACAGATGAGTAAACAGACTCATAAAAGTTAACTGACTTATCCAAGTTCCGTAAGTGGCAGCACTGGGATAAAAAAATATAGACCTTTAGGCATCCAGTCAGGTATTCCTTATACTACTTACTCTTCTCTCTCATAAAACTTTGCTTCTTCCTTCAGGAAGAAAGACTGAAGCTGCATTTTAAAAAGTCCTCTTGATTAAACTAATGTTGGTACAGAACAAGTGATTGACAGATTATTATAATGAATATGAAAGTTTTATTTCTATATCTACTTGTACCTTAATATTTTCTGAAAATGAATAAAATTTATACATACAGCTTTAGCCATCACATCATGCACTAAAGTTGAACCTGATAATACGATAAATATTTAACATTTCTAGTATTTTACAGTTTATTACAAGATTTACAAAAAGTTTAGGATAAAAAATTATAAACAATTTCTAAGAGAAACTTTTAAAACTTTTAAATGATTAAATTTAAATTATAAACAAGGACATCTAATTTCATATTTTAGGAAATTTATTATTCTTAACCAAATTTTTCCACCTGGATCCAATGTCAAACAATCATGATGAAACTGTACAATCTGAAACATAAATCTGAACATCTGTTGAAGCTGAGAATAACTTTGTTATTACTCTCTTATCAGCAGATCAACTCTCATTCAAGTGACACAAGTAACTAAATAGAAGAGATAAGACATAAAATAGGTTTTAATAATTCATAAACATCTCTTTAGGACAATTAACTCATTTTGGCTACTCCTTTAGATCAACAGAAAATACTTACCCAAAGATTGTTCTCATAATAGAAGGCATCTAGAAGCTTGACTATATTTGGGTGATCACAAGATGCTAATATGTCAATCTCTACCATGTAATCTTCAAGTTCTTCTTCAGATTTAGTGTCAATCACTTTTGCAGCAGCTAAAACACTGGTCTCTTTATTCTGGGCCTGAAAATGAAAGTATCAGAAGTGTCACATTTCAAATGCATCATTTTCTAATTTTTTATTATTTTAATAGATTTTAAGTTTTAATTCATATTTAATTCATATTTACGTTTAGGCTGTCTTTTAAAAATAGTGTGTCAAGAGAATGAGAAGACAAGCCACAGACTGAGAAAATATTTGCAAGACACATATTTGATAAAGGAAAGTTTTAGGTTCACAGCAAAATTGCGTGGAAAGTACAGAAAGTTCCCTCGTGCTCCATGCATAACCACCCCCCCATCAACACTGCACACCAGAGTGATACATCTGTTGCTATGATGAACCTACATTAACACATCATTATCACCCAAGTCCAAAGTTTACATTACAGTTTGCTCTTGCATCTATGGGTTTCAACAAATGTATAATGACATGTAGCCCTCGTTATAATATCATACAGAATAGTTTCACTGCCCTAAAAATCCTCTGTGCTCTGCCTACTCATCCCCTCCTTCCTCCAACCCCTGGCAACCACTGATCTTTTTACTGCATCCATAGTTTTGCTTTTGCTTTTTCTGGAATGTCATATACTTGGAATCAGAGTATGTATAGACCTTTCTGTTTAGCTTCTTTCACTTAGTAATATGTATTTACAGTTCCTTAATGTTTTCATGGCTTAATAACTCATTTCTTTTTAGCACTGAATAATATTCTATTGTCTAGTTATACCACAGTTTATCCATTGACTTACTTAAGGATATGTTGGTTGTTTCCAAGTTTTGGCAATTATGGATAAAGCTTCTATAAACATGTATGTGCGGGTTTCTGTGTAGACATGTTTTTCAACTCATTTGGGTAATAAACAAGGAGTACAACTGCTGGATCATATCGTAAGAGTATGTTTAGTTTTTTAAGAAACTGCCAAATTGTTGGCCGGGCGCGGTGGCTCACGCCTGTAATCCCAGCACTTTGGGAGGCCGAGGCAGGCAGATCACGAAGTCAGGAGATCGAGACCATCCTGGCTAACATGGTGAAACCCCGTCTCTACTAAAAATACAAAAAATTAGCCAGGCGTGGTGTCGGGCACCTGTAGTCCCAGCTACTCGGGAGGCTGAGGCAGGAGAATGGCATGAACCTGGGAGGTGGAGCTTGCAGTGAGCCGAAATTGCGCCACTGCACTCCAGTCTGGGTGACAGAGCAAGACTCTGTCTCCAAAAAAAAAAAAAAAAAAAAAGAAACTGCCACACTGTCTTCCAAAATGGCTGAAAGAGTCTGCATACACACCAGCAATGAATGAGTTCCTGTTGCTCCACATCCTCACCAGCATTTGGGGTTGCCAGCAAGCATGGGTTTCACCAGTCTAACAGCTACATAGTAGTACTTGTATCTTTTCAATTTACAATTCCCTGATGACATATGATGTCGAGCATCTTTTCATATACTTATTTGTCAAATCTTTGGTGAGATGTCTGTTCAAATCTTTTGACCATTTTTTAACTGGGCTGTTCATTTTCTAATTGTTAAGTTTTAGGAGTTATTTGCATATTCTGGATAACTTTCCTTTATCAAATATGTGTCTTGCAAATATTTTCTCAGTCTGTGGCTTGTCTTCTCATTCTCTTGACACACTATTTATAAAAGACAGCCTAAACATAAATATGAATTAATGCATGCTATGGCTATGCACTGTGCTAAGGGCTTCATATACATAGGGGACAGCATTTCAAATCACAGCCTCTGGTGGGTCAGACTGCTGGATTTAAATTCTGGTTTTGCCACTTATTAGCTGTGTTGCTTGGGGCAATTTACAAAATCCCTCTTTTAGTCTCCTCATCAGTAAAAATTATCTACATCTCACAAGTTCATGAGAATTAAGATAACATATATCTGCCAAGTAAAAAAAAAAACCACATATAAACATTTAATATACTATCTGGCATATATAGAAGGATTCAAAAATGTTAGCTGTAATTACTATTACTATTTAATCTTCACAACAACCCCATGATATATTATTACCTCTACTTTAAAGGAGGATATAAATGAGCTTTGAGGGGTTAAAAGGCTTTCCCAGGTCATGTAGCTAGTAAGAAGCAGAAACAGAATTTAAATCCAGGTCTGTTTCCAAAGCCCTTTCTGCTGGAGGTTGAAACCCATTTATGCCGGAGGTTGCAAATTTTTGTGTGTGAAATTAACCCATTTATGCTAGAGGTTGCAAATTTTTTTTGTGAAAAATCAGACCTTGGCAATTACCTTGGGCAGTAGGATATAAATAACCCCCACAAGCTTAGCGTTCCGTTAATGGAACACTAGGCATAATCATTACCCGTGAAGGGTGGCAGAATACACCACTTCAAACATGCCACTCTGACATAAGGATCACTTTGAGTTTGAAAGGCACTTGAAAAATAGCAGATGCAAGAAGGGCATTCTAATCTTCCACCTTTTCTTCCTGAAACTAGGAGATGAAAATGTTCCTGTAAAAGACGTCTTCTCTATCCCAGGAGAAAAGAAACATTCTTTGATAGGGAGTCACAGTCAAGAGAATTGTGTACAAACAGACCTTGTTAAATTAAACATCTTCCTTTAGCCTCCCCATATAACATATCTACTTTTCTACAATCGCCTCTCTTCTTTCAACCTAACACAAAAGCATGTAGGTTTTGCCATTTCTCTATGACTTCATTTTCTTTTGAGGGCTCCCATGTCACATAAAACTTATATTAAATGTCTATGCTTTTCTCCTCTACTCTATCTTGTGTCAGTTTAATTCTCGGGCCCAGCAGGGACGCTAAGAGGGTGGAGGCAAAGTTTTGCCTCCTCTATACCCTTTCCAGTCTCCCCATATTTCTATCATTTGGTCATTTTTCCTTGTTCTTAGTACTTTAACTTTCTCGTTTTCCTTCTTTGGTTAACTTCTCACCATCATTTATTATAAATGAAAGGTTTCCAAATATGTAGTAGATACTAGGATCATTTTTAACGTTAGGAATCAGATCTTAAAATGCTAACTAGGTTGTTTTTATAAGACATTTCACTATGATGTATATTAACATCACTTCAGCAAAACTCCACTTATTACATTAAAAACAGATACTAAATTTTTTAAAGTTAATAAATGTTTCAATAAATAAATGTCTAAATCTCACTTTTAAGAATTTATCAGAAGGAGATAATTTCATAAAATAAAATTCATGCACATACAAAAATACTCATCAAAGCACCATTTGCAATAGTGAAAAAGTGAATCAGCCTAAATGTCACTTAACAGGAACCTGCTTAAATCATGCAGTACAGTTCTACAATGAAAAATGACGCAGCCACTAAAATTAATTGACTGATGTCCTGGAGATTTTAAAGATGTATCTTTTATACTTGTGAATGGGCTGGCATGAAGGAAGAAAAATAACTCACACTAGATAACCTCTAAAATTCCTCACAGTAACAAATTCTGTCATATATTGATTATACCAACAATGATATCATTTGGTTTAATATAAATAATAAAAGTTACATTAAAAGAATAGTGCCTCAAATTATTGCTTGAAAATAACATGATTACTCATCAGGATCTAGTTCTAAAAAACTTTAAAAAAACAAAACTGAAATAAATATTTACAAGTGTGTGACACTATTCTCTACACTAATATAACTGGGACATAAAGTATTTTTAAAAAAGAGCTTATCTACCTAATATCTAAAGGCATAAAAACTCTTCACATAGGCCAGGCGTGGTGGCTCATGCCTGTAATCCCAGCACTTTGGGAGGCCAAGGCGGGCGGATCACAAGGTCAGGAGTTCAAGACCAGCCTGGCCAACATGGTGAAACCCCATTCCTACTAAAAATACAAAATTAACCAGGCATGGTGGCGGATGCCTGTAATCCCAACTACTTGGGAGCCTGAGGCAGCAGAATTGCTTGAACCCAGGAGATAGAGGTTGCAGTGAGCCGAGATCGTGCCATTGCACTCCAGCCTGGGCAACAGACCAAGACTCTGTCTCAGGGAAAAAAAAAAAAAAAAAAAAAAAACTCTTCACATAAAGGCTTAATGAAATAACTAAACCCGGGGTTCCCCAACCACAGGGCCACAAACCAGTACCAGTCCACGGCCTGTTAGGAACCAGGCCGCATAGCAGGAGATGAGCAGCAGGCAAGTAAGCAAAGCTTCATCTGTATTCAGAGCCACTCCCCATTGCTCACAATACCACCTGAGCTCTGTCTCCTGTCAGATGAGCAGCAGCATTAGCTTCTCAGAGGAGCATGAACTCTATCGTGAACTGTGAACCCTATTGTGAACTGCGTATGTGAGGGATCTAGGTTGTGTGCTCCTTATGAGAATCTAACGCCTGATGATCTGTCACTGTCTCCCATCAGCCCAAGATGGGAACATTTAGTTGCAGGAAAACAAGCTCAGAGCTCCCACTAATTCTATATTATGGTGAGTTGTGTAATTATTTCATTATATATTACAATGTAGTAATAATACAAACAAAGTATACAATAAACATAACACACTTGAATTATCCCCAAAACATCCCCGCATCCAGTCTGTGGAAAAGTTGTCTTCCATGAAACCAGTCCCTGGTGCCAAAGAGGATGGGCACTACTGAACTAAACAAATGTTAAAAACAAAAATGGAATAACAAATCCCAATCTTAATTTAAAAATATAACTTCTGTTGATAAAAAGATTTCAAATATCAGTCATGATCACCTAAAATCACTGTTTTTATTTTCATGAATCATCAGTAGAGCTTGGCCACATTACATAAACAAATGAGGGATACTGGGAAACATAAGTTGTCTGAAAGTTCCATACTGGTTTCATATTCTAAAAAAATTACACCCTCATATTACTCTTGTTTGAACAGAAGGTATTCCCTGGGTGGTGAGTACAGGAATAATTTTTAAATCTTCATTTATTTTCTTTCTATATTTTTACATTTTCTAACATTATATAGTATTTCATAGTGAAGAATATATTTTAATAAAATTTTTAGCTGGAAACTGAAAGACCAGCACAGAAAACAGAGATGATTTCAGTCCCACAGAGGTGTTAGTCAATCAAAGGCAAACAAACAAACAAACAAAAAATATGTAAGATAAATACAAAAGGAATCTAAAAAACAAGGAATAAAAAGAAAAAATAATCACTGGGACTGATTCTATCAATCTGGTTGATTTCATCTCAAGGCTGAGGTATTCTTCCCCCCACCAAAAGAAGAAGAGCCTAATTGTCCAGTGTGTAAGAACATTTAACCATAAAATGTAAAAACTAAACAACTCAAATTGTTCACGAACAACTCAAAATGTTCATGAACATCCACTACAAGGCACTGGTCCAAGCTGCAGAAAACACAAAGACAAACAACACCCCAGCGAAATGTGCTCTAGAAAAGAAACGTAATACAGCCGTCCCCTCTATCCCCAGGGAATACATCCCAAGACCCCCAGAGGATGCTGGAAACCTTGGATAGTACTAAACCCTATGTATACTATGTTTTTTCCTTGCATACATACTTATGATAAAGTTTAATTTATAAATTAGGCACGGTAAGAGACTAACAACAATAATAATAAAATAGAACAACTGTAACAATATACTATCATAAAAATTATGTGAATGATGTCTCTCAATACATCTTACTGTACTGTACTCACCTATTTTCAGACTGCAGGTAAATAAAACCATGGAAAGTGAAACCTCGGATAAGGGGGAACTACTGCATAAAAATCTATTAAAAATCTTGGTCAAATCTTGACCAAAAGAGTTGATCTGCTGAAATCCATTCATTCTTCCAACAAATACTTACTGAGTGCCTTCTATATGTTAGGTTACTGTTCTAGATGCTGACAATGTGCAAATATGCAAAATCTCTCTGTGCTGGGGTACTTACAATTTTGGGGAGTGGACAGTCAACAAATAAATCAGTATATTAGCAATTAGTACTGTGGGAAAAAGTAAACTAATAAGAAAGATGAGAAGGCTGAGCGCGGTGGCTCATGCCTGGAATCCCAGCACTTTGGAAGGACGAGGTGGGCAGATCACTTGGGCCCAAGAGTTCGAGACCAGCATGGACAAATGGCGAAATACTGTCTCTACCAAAAAATACAAAAATTAGCACGGTGTGGTGGTGCACGCCTGTAATCCCAGCTACTCAGGAGGCTCAGGCACAAGAATCACTTGAACCCAGGAGGGAGAGGTTGCAGTGAGCCAAGATTGCACCATTGCGCTCCAGCATGGTTGACAGACTGAGACTCTGTCTCAAAAAACATAAAATAAGATGAGGAAATGGGGTATGAGAGCACACAGGCCAGAGTTTACAACTTAAATAGGGTAGTTAAGTTAGGTCTAACCGAGGTGATATTTGAGCATATTAATATCAATAAAATTCAATGATTATTTTAATGTTTTTACCTATATAAATTGGAAATATTAGTATTTTGCAAAGAAATCAGTAAGAAAAATCTCAAATTATTTCAAGTATGTTATCGTATATAGTAATATCCATCGTGCTATTAGAAGAGGCACTGTTCTCTGCACTTTCCATTTAGTAACTTATTTAATCCTTGTATCAGTTAGGGTCCAGACAGGAGGAAAATCACATTGATTATTTTAATAGAGAAATTTAATAAAAACAATGACTAACTCTGTTGCCAACTGAAAAAATAATACAAAGGATCAGGGAGGTAACAACTACAGGCAAAAGCTACCACCCCTAGGACTATGGGAACAAAGGGAAAAGATTGGAATTATTAAAATTCAGAAGCTTGGAGGAAGGGTTCCACAGAGCTGAAACTCAGACGGACCTCTGAGGACAGAGTGCTGCTCAGCTGGTGCTGTTGTCTCTGAAGAGGGGTCCTGTGAGACTGCGACCCAAACTTTTGAGGAACAGGGTACCAGCCAACTGGTGCTGGTGTTATGAAGGGTTATGATGAGGTTAGTTCTGTGAGTGTTGGAAAAACTACAAACTGTATTCAACAGCTGCTACAGAAAGAAACTGCTGATGCTGGAGCAAAAAAAAAAAAAACCTCTACAAGGGTGATGGTCAAAGTAACAAGCAGACAGGAAGTTCACAGGAAACAAGACAAAGGTGTAAGTCATTTCTTCCTCCTTCTCCTTGCAGCCTCCCTCTAGTGCCCTATACTTTTGAAACAGAAATGAGCTGCTAGCAAGGCAGAAATGTGATCTGCAGTCTTTGAACCAGCATCACAAAGCATAGAAGGGCGTATTTGGAACTGAGATTAAGAACTGGCATAATCCTTCAAAACCTATGAGCAACACAGATGGGAGAGCTAAGGTACAGAGTAGAGTAAACGTTTGGGTAATAAATATCCAAAGTTCCAAAAAGCTATTAAGTGAAGAGAGAGGAAACCGCACTGAAGGAAGCATATACTTTTAGACTGTTCATACTGTTATCTGTTTTAAATTACATGCAAATTATGGTGATCTTTTCAGTCCTGCTAAGATTTTGGTAGGAACAAGTATCAATATTAAAAAAGAATAAAATCATTCATCATCATTTAGCAAACACACAGAGTTAATTCTCATTATTTGTGGTAGTTATGTTTTATAAAATCACTGCAAGCACTGAATTAGCGACTACTGAAACATTGTTCATAGGGAAAACCATGCACATACACACACCCCTCACATAGATTATTATATTCTTAAATCCTGAAAACAATTCATCCAGGGAGATTCTCCTTTCTTTATTTTACAAAAGAGAAATGAGGTGTATAAGTGTTAAGTGACTTGCGGAAGGCCATCCCAAAAACAGATGTCAGACTTGGGATTCAAACCCTATCCAACTGGCCCCCACAGCCAGACCTTCTTGCACTTCACTACACTGCCCTCTGCTGTCTCCGTCCTCTGGTCATCTCTTCATGAGAGGTGAAATCAAGGCAGTGTCACCTTGTTCAAGTTTAGCTGGGAATGTGCTTGCTAGAGGAGTCAAATTTTTTTGCAGCTTTGCGCATACACACAAATAACCAAGTAAGTGCCGCAAGTATAGATTTTAGGACTACAAGTAAACTTTAACAAGTAGGCAAATTCACAAATACAAAATCTGCAAATAATGAGGATCGACTGTACATATTCTTTCTGTAATTTCTGTAAAATATTACAGAAATTCCAAGGATTATGTCATTTCCTGAAATCTGCAAAAGAGAAAGAAATATACTTTATATTCTCCTTATATTTTCTTCACATTCCCAAACTCTATTTTATTTATATTGTTCTGGTTAGGTATTCAAAATTTAGTCACTGGTCAGTCAAAATATAGCAACAAAATGGTGTCAGTAATAAGTTAAATTTGGCTAAGTCTGCAGTTTCCAAAATGTTTTACCAATTCTCAGATCACACAGTTTTCCTGCTTATTGCAAGGACTTATTGACTCTGAGCAGCATGAATATGCAGAAACAAACACAACTGTGTAATAAAGAAGCTGAGGAAATGTGCATAGATTGCATAGTTGGAAAAGATGAAAAACAGAACACAAAAAGACAATTTCAAAAATATATTTTAAAATAAGACAAAAAATGTACCACGTCTGGAAATTAATTCAAGAAAAATAAAGACTTTTAAATAGTAAGGAAAACAATCCCATTTACGATAGCATCAAAGAGAATAAAACACTTGGGAATTAACTTAACCAAGGAGATGAAAGACTTGTACAATGAAAACTAAAAAATCAATGCTGGAAGAAATCAAAGACATAAATAAAAACACATCCCATGTTCATATATTGGAGGCCTAATATTGTTAAAATGTCAATACTACCCAAAGCAATCTACAGATTCAATGCAATCCCTATCAAAATCTCAATGACATTTTTTGCAGTAATAGAAAACCCTATCCCAAAATTCACATGGAATCTCAATGGACCCTGAATAGCCAAAATAATCTTGAAAAAGAACAAAGCTTGAAGACTCACACTTCCTGATTTCAAACTTACTACGAAGCTACAGTAATCAAAACAGTGCAGTCCTGAAATATAAACCAATGGAATAGAGACCAGAAAAAAAAAAACTGGCATATATATGGTCTAATGATTTTTGGCAAGGGTTCCAAGACCAGTCAATGAGAAAAGGACAGTCTTTTCAAAAAATGGTACTGGGAAATCTGAATATCCACATGTGAAACAGTGAAGTTGGACCCTTACCTAACACCATAAACAAAAATTAACTCAAAATGGACCAAAGAAAAACCTAAATGTAAGACCTAAAACTATAAAACTCTCAGAAGACAGCATGAGGCAAAAGCTTTATGATACTGGACTTGACAATGAATTCTGAGATATGACACTAAAGCACAGGCAACAAAAGAAAACACGGAACTGGACTTGATGAAAATTGTAAAATGTTATACATTTTAAAAGACAATATTACAGTAAAATGGCAACCTATAAAGTGACAGAAAATATTTACAAATCATGTATCTGATGAGGATTAATATCCAGAATATACAGACAACTCCTAAAACTCAACAACAACAACAACAACAACAAAAAAAACCCACAACTAGCCCAATTCAAAAATAGGCAAAGGAGCCGAACAGGTATTTCTCCCAGGAAGATATACAAATGGCCAATAAGCACATGAAAAGATGCTCAACGTCACTAATATTAGAGATATATAAGTCAAAACTATATAAGTACCACCTTACACCCACTAGGATGACTATTACTTTAAAAAAGAATGAAAAGAACAAGTATAGGTAAAGATGTGGAGAAATTAGAACTCTTGTGCACAAATCGATGGAAATGTAAAATTGGTACAGCTACAGAAAACAATATGGCAGTTCCCCCAAAAAATTAAAAATAGATTCCTACAAGATCCAGGAATCCCACTCCTGGGTATATACCCTAAAAAACTGAAAGCAGGGTCTCAAAGAGATACTTGTACACCCACGTTCGTAGCTAAATACACAACAGCTAAAACATGCAAGCAATCCAAGTGACATCAATAGATGAGTGGATAAGAAAAATGTGTATATACATACCACAAATATTATTCAGCCTTAAAAAGGAAGGAAATTCTAACATATGCTATGACATGGATGAACCTTAAGGCTCATTACGCTAAAGGAACTAAGTCACAAAATGATAAATACTGTATGATTCCATTTAATGAGGTACTTAGGATAGTCAAAATCATGGTATCAAAAAGTAGAAGAACAGTTGCCTAGGGCAGGAGGAAGGAAGAAATAGGAAGTTACTGTTTAACACGGTAGAGTTTCATTTTAAAAGATAAGAGGCATGATGGACAGACAGTGGTGACAGTTGCACATTACGAATGTATTTAATACCACTGAACTAGACATTTAAAAATCATGACGATGGTGAATCTTCACAGGATATAAAAAATAGTCAAGACAGTAAATTTTATGTGTATTTTACTACAATTAAAAAATTGAAAAATAAATGTGCACAAATTTTGTAATTTCAAAATAAGCATTAATAAATAATCATTTGTTTTGCTCTAACAATTCTCCTAAAAATTTAACCTAAGAGAATGTCATGGAAATATACTATGTGCGTACGGACATCCATTATATGATGGAAGCATTGCAAAGCAGTAAGAAAAGGACGGTCTTTAAAGTACATGGTGCTGGGACAACTGGGTATCTACATAGAAAAAATAAAATTCGGTCCTTACCTCACTCTATAAGCAAAAATCAACACCAGTTTAATTACACACCTAATGTAGAAGGCAATACCATAAAACTTTACAAAGATAACACAGCAGGATATCTTCACCATCTTGGTTAGGAAAGAATTTCTTAAGACAAAAACATTAGCCATGTAGGGAAAAGTTAATAAATTGGACTATATTAAAACTTAAAATGTCTACACAAAAAAAGAAAATCCTAAAGAGAGTGAAAAGATAAACCACAATGCAAAAGAAAATATGTGCCTCATATATAACGGACAAAGGATAAGTATCCAAAATGTATAATGACCCCCATAAATCAATAAGAAAAAGAAAGAGAGCCCAAAAGACTTTAACAATCACTTCAGAGAACAGGAAATCCAAATGGCCAATAAACATATGAAAATGAGCTCAACCTCATTAGTAATCAGGGACGATATTACTTCACATCCATCAGGGCACAGACCAAAAAAAAGCAGGCCAGAAAAAAGATTCTATCAAGGTTAATTTAAAGATCCAAAATCAGATATGGTATGCTAGTTTCTTGGCCATTCTTTATAAAACTTTGGCAGGATACTCTGAAATAAATTATGTAATATTACTTTATCTTTAAATGTGAATAAGCCATATCACAGATCTTTAAAATTTTAAGAGACTTTATAAAGCTCATGCCATACAACATACCAACTGGAAATAAAACATGCTTTACAAGCAAAAATAAAATATCTTGGCTGGATACGGTGGCTCACGCCTATAATCCCAGCACTTTGGGAGGCCAAGGCAGGCGGATAGCTTAAGCCCAGGAGTTGGGGACCAGCCTGGCCAACAAGGCGAAACCCCATCTCTACTAAAAAATACAAAAATTAGCTGGGTGTGGTGGCGGGCGCCTGTAATCCCAGCTACTCCAGAGGCTGAGGCATGAGAATCACTTGAACGTGGGAAGCGGAGGTTGCAGTGAGCCAAGATCGCGGCACTGCACTCCTGCCTGGGCGACAGAGTGAGACCCTGTCTCAAAAAAATATTAAAATTAAAATTAATAAAATATCTTGATTTCCAGTACATTTCTTTAAAATTGAGATGCTAAAATGACAACATACAAAGAGAAATGAAATTTATTAACTTTGCTCACACTTTCCAAGAAAGGAGGAAGGGATGGAAGGAGGGATGATTCAAATACCTTCCCTTTCTAAAGAAAGCACTCAAATTAACTAATATTTCAGCATTGATTTATAGGAAGAAATGTGAGCTGATAAGCTGGTAAATTGGAAAAGTTGATCATCTTATAAATTAAAAGAACAATAAAATATTGTTTTTATACTCCATATGTACATTCAGTAGTTATATCCTTACAGATAAAAAACACGTTAGTAAGAAACACAGGGATATAAAATAAATGCCCTGGTCTTGACATTTTTCTTCCCATTATCTTGAGATGAGATTATCACTTAAAAACTACTTCTGAAAATGATTGCTCTTTAAGGAAAAAAAATATATATTCACTGAATCGATTAGTTCTTTTGTTAAAATTTTTTCTGAAATTTCAAAACCATCTCAGTTCTCATTTTGGTACATAAAAGTGACAGATTTTTATAATAAAAAGGCAACATTTCATACAGTAACAGCAATAGCATCTTATATTCAAGCAGAAGTGTACCTTGACATAGAGACACTGGCAAAATAAGAATTAACTGCTTCTGTTACAGAGTTATGTTAAAGATCTGTGTGAATTTAAATACAGATTTACAAATAAGAAACATGGGAATAAAGTAATATGCCACTTTATCTAGAAGTCTATGTCAGCACATAAACAATAACTTTCTGGTAGAAAACAGAAAACTAAGAAGGAAAGTTTAAAACTTTAAAATTGTGCCAGAAAATATATTATAAAATAATTCACTAAATTACTAACATTTCCAATGTCGAATTATTTAGAATTGTTCAGGAAGGATTAATCAACATAATTAGACAAGTGAAAAAAACAAAGGTACAAATACTTGAAAGAAGAGAAAATCCTTAAGAAAATGAAAAAGAGAAACAGATAATGAATGGATAAATGGATGAATGGATGGATAGACGTGTGTAATAAAGTCAGTATAGCAAAATATGAACAGCTGTAGAATCTAGGTAGTTGATATGTGTATGTTCTCTATACAACTTTTTTTACATATCAACATTTTTATAGGATTGAAAAACTTCAATGTTGAGGGGAAAATAAACAATAAGAGCACTCAATAAGGTTAAGATATTATAGAATAGTAATTAATAGCTTTCTTATATCCAAACAATAATTGCAAAACATAATGGAAGAACTATCCCATTCAAAATAGTAGCTGGAAAGATAAACTATCAAGGCAAAAATTTAACAAGGAAATGCAGAACTTATATGAAAAAATATTAAAATTTTAAGAGATAATAGTTGTTTGCTGTTGTTGTTTGAGACGAGGTCTTGCTCTGTCACCAAGGCTGGAGTGCAGTGGCACAATCACAGCTCACTGCAGCCTCCACCAAGTTCAAGGGATCCTCCCACTTCAGCCTCTCCAGCAGCTGTGACCACAGGTGAGTGCCATCATGCCCAGCTAAGTTTTTTTACTACTTTCCGTAGACATGGGGTCTCGCTATGTTGCCCAGGCTGTTCTTGAATTCCTGGGCTCAAGCAATCCTACTGCCTCAAACTTATAAAGTGCTGGGATTACAGGCATGAGTCACTGCACCTGGCCAGATAACAGTTTTTATTGAGGTTTTGGGGCAAGCAAAAATAGAGTTTGTTCATTCTGTTTATTTTCAACCTTTGTTTTCTAATAAATTTATTTTCTAATTTAAAAATACCTCTATGGATCAGGAAAAAGAATTAAATAAATGAAAAGCAATCTACATTGTGGAAAAAGGACCTCATATCCTACAAATCATTAAGGAAAATATAAATAACCAAAAATTTTAATAGACAAATGAATAACACAGATGAATCCTGAAAAATTACACTCAACCAGTGGTGCTGATTTTGCCATCCAGGAGACATTTGGCAATGTCTGGAAGTATTTTAGGTTGTCACAAAGGGGTAGGGTCAGGGATGCATCCTACAGTGCATAGGACAGCCCTCCACAAAAAAGGATTATCCTGTCCAAAACGGCTGTAGTGCCAACACTGAGAAACCCTGTGCTAAGTGCAAAAAGCCATACATATTAAGAATACATATTGTATGTTTCCACTTATTAAAAAATTCTAGAAAAGGCAAAATTACAGAGCCATTCCGAAAGCAAGTAAGGGCTATCTTGAGCTTGGTGTGGGAATAGAGACAGACTGCAAAATAGGCACATGAGAACTTTCGGGGGGTGACAGAAAGCTTCCAAAGCTGGATTGTAGTAATGGCTGCAAAACTATACAGATTTACTAAAACTCACAAAATTATATGGGTGAATTTTGTGGTATATAAATTATACCTCAAAATAGAGCTTTTTTTTTTTAATTGGGCAAATAACCAGGAATTCCACCAAAAAAAGATACCCAAATATTGAATAAGCACATAAAAAGGCACTCAACTTCATTAGTCATCAGGAAAATGTAAATAAAACCACTTATACTCAACAGAATGGCTAACAAAAAACATTAAAGATAATATTAATAACAATACCAAGTGTAAGTGAAGACACAGAGCAACTGGGAAAACTCCCATACCCTACTGATGGGAGTGTAAATTGGTACAACCGCTTTGGAAGATATGTATAACCTATGACCTAGAAAATTCCTTCCCGGTATATATCCAACAGAAATAATGGCACATGTGCACCAAAAGGCACAAGAATATTCATGAATCGTATTTTTTGGTTTTTAATTTAAAAAATTTAAGGCTGGACATGGTGGCTCACACCTGTAATCTTAGCAATTTGGGAGGCCGAGGTGGGCAGATCACTTGAGCCTAAGAATTTGAGACCAGCCTGGGCAACATGGCAAAATCCCGTCTCTACAAAAAATATAAAAATTAGCTGGGCATGGTAGCAGGTGCCTACAGTCCCAGCTACTTGGGAGGCTGGGGTGGGAGGATCACCTGAGCCTGGGGAGTTGATCGCGCCACTGCACTCCGGCCTGGATGACAGAGGTGAGACTCTGTCTCAAGAAAAAATAATAATAATAAAACAAATAAAGATGGGGTCTCCCTATGTTGCCCAGGCTGGTCTTGAACTCCTGGGCTCAAGTGACCCTCCCACCTTGGCATCCCAAAGTGCTGGGATTACAGGCGTGAGCCCCTGCACCGGGCCGTGAATCATATTTTTAACATACAAAAAGTGAAAACAATCCAAATACTACAGAATGGATAAACTATAATATTTCATAAAATACCATAAAGCAAAGAAAAAGATCAAATTACTACTACATGCAACAACATGGATGAAACTCATTCATATAATGTTTGGCAAAAGAAGCCCAACACAAAGGAATATATTAAATGATTACAGGATTAAAAGAATCATGTAAATGATTATATGAAGCCCAAAAACATACCAATAAGACTGCAGTAGTCTAAGAGATGATAGCAGCTTTGACTAGTGAAATGACAGTGAAGAAAGAAAGAAGTATTTTTGAGAAATATTTAGTAGGTAGAATTAACAGGCCTTGGTGTTTAATTAGGTTTGGCGGGGAAGGCAGCAACAGGTGTTAAAAATGACCTCTAGGTCTCTGGCCTATGCAACTGGTAGATGGAAGTGGTAATTACTGAGTGGGAAGACAGAAGGAGCAAATTTGTGACTGACATCATGAGCTGAATTAGTTCATGTTTTGGACTTGCAGTTTAAGGTATCTGTGAGACATCCAAGCAGAAATCTCTAATAGACAGTTGGATGTGTGGATCTGGAGTTCAAAAGGGAGGTCTTAGGGTAAAGATAGAAATTGCACTTAGATGGTAATTGAAGCCATGGGAGAAGACCGGTTCTCTTAAGAAAAGGAGAAGGTGGCCTATACCCAAGCCCTGTGGAATTCCCACACCTTAAAGTCAGAAAGAGGAAGAACCAGCAAAGGAGTGTGACGAACAGACACAGAGGTGGAAGGAAAATCAAGAGTATGGTGACTTAAAAGCCAAAAGACGGGCCAGGTGAGATGGCTCACACCTGTAATCCCAGCACTTTGGGAGGCCGAGGCGGGTGGATCATGAGGTCAAGAGATCGCGACCATCCTGGCCAACATGGTGAAACCCTGTCTCTACTAAAAAAAAAAAAAAAAAAAAAAAATAGAAAAAATTAGCCGGGCGTGGTAGCAGGCACCTGTAGTCCCACCTACTCGGGAGGCTGAGGCAGGAGAATGGCGTGAACCCGGGAGGCAGAGCTTGCAGTGAGCCGAGATCGCGCCACTGCACTCCAGCCTGGGCGACAGAGCGAGACTCCATCTCAAAAAAAAAAAAAGGCCAAAAGATGAACTTTTTTTTTTTTTTTTTTTTTTTTTTGAGACGGAGTCTCGCTCTGTGGCCCAGGCGGGAGTGCAGTGGCGCAATCTCGGCTCACTGCAAGCTCCGCCTCCCGGGTTCACGCCATTCTCCTGCCTCAGCCTCCCGAGTAGCTGGGACTACAGGCGCCCGCCATCACGCCCGGCTAATTTTTTTTTTGTATTTTTAGTAGAGACGGGGTTTCACCGTGTTAGCCAGGATGGTCTCGATCTCCTGACCTCGTGATCCACCCGCCTCGGCCTCCCAAAGTGCTGGGATTACAAGCGTGAGCCACCGCGCCCGGCCAAGATGAACTTTTTAAAGGAAAGAATGGCCAAGTATCTCAAATGGTAATGACAGGTCAAGTAAGATGGTAAGTGTCCCCTGAATTTAGGGACATGAAGAATCTTAAGACCATGGCAAGAGTCATTATTGGGGGAAGTGGTGGGTGGAGGCTGTCAAATAAATAATACAAGAAAATGTCACAGAACTGAAGGACATAAGTCTTTGGATTGAAAGGACCAACCAAGAGCACAGCAAAACGAAAGAAGAAGAAAAGACCTATATCAAAGTACATCACCACGAACAGAGGATAAAAGAAAATCCTAAAGGCTATTAAGAGAAAAAGATGGCAAAGGATCCAGGAAGCCAAATGGCATCAGACATTCAACAGCAACTCTTGCAGCCAAAAGATAATGAATGGAAGAAAGTCTTCAAAACTAACAAATTCTAAATCTTAAAAATTCTTTAAAAACTTACTTTTGAACTAGAATTATATATATTAAGTTGTGACCTTATAATAAAGACATATTTAGACAGGCAAGTTCTTAAAAAATATGTTTTCCATGGATCCTTTCTCAGAAGGCTACTAAAGGTTGTACACAACAAAAACAAGGAGGAAATTCTAACAGGAAAAACAAAGTATTTAAAACATCCTTGAAGTAGTTTGTGTTCCCACTTCTAGGGAAAAAAACTGTAACTCATTATTAAGATAGTAAAAAAGACCTAAACAGAGATAAAACATGCACAGGTGGGAAGACTCAATATCAAAGAGAGGTTAATTTTTCCAAAACTGATTTATAAATTCAATGAAATCTCTCCAAAAAAACACAGATTTTTTGTGGCACTCAACCAGGCTAACTGGAAAATGTACATAGAAGCCCTAAGGGCCAACAATACTACTAAACTATGTTGAAGAAGCAGCAGAAATTTATTTTAATTCTTTCCTAATTAAGACAGTGGGATACTGGTATAGGAATAGACAAATAGATCAATGAAGAGAACGGAGAATGCAGAAACAGACACATGCTACATAACAGGGCACTGCAGAGCAGTGGGGAATTATTTTTCTTCCCAGCAAATAGTTCTGGGACAATTGTGTATCCATATGGGGAAAAAAATGAAACTGGACCCCTACCTCATACCATTTACAAACATCTATTCTAGGTAGATTATAGATCTAATTGTTAAAGAAAAGCAAAATCATAAAGCTTTTAGAAGATAATATAGAAGATTATCTTCATGATCACACATTAGGAAGAAATGTCTTAAACATAACACAAAAAGCATCAACTGTAAAGGAAAAAACTAACAAATTGGACCATGTTAAAGAATTCATAAAAAGACACTACAGTGAGAATGAAAAGACAGGTCTCAGAATGAGACTATATTAGCAATAACTATCACCAGCAAATGGTTAAAATTCAAAACACATATATTGTACACACACACAATCAACATACAAACAAAGACTTCAAGAGAAAAATGGATAAGAGACTTGAACACAAAAGAAGAAATTCAAATTACCAAAAACATATTAAAAGAATTACTTTTAGTAATCTGTGAAAGGTGAATTAAATGCACAATGAGAAATGTAACACATTATCAGCCTGTCAAAACTTTAAAATTCTGACAATATTAAATGTTAGCAAAGATGCAGAGCAAGGAAATTTTTTTTTTTTTTTGAGACGGAGTCTTGCTCTTTCGCCCAGGCTGGAGTGCAGTGGTGCGATCCCGGCTCACTGCAAGCTCCTCCTCCCGGGTTCACGCCATTCTCCTGCCTCAGCCTCCCGAGTAGCTGGGACTACAGGCTCCTGCCACCACGCCCGGCTAATTTTTTGTATTTTTAGTAGAGACGGGGTTTCACCGTGTTAGCCAGGATGGTCTCGATCTCCTGACTTCGTGATCCGCCCGCCTCGGCCTCCCAAAGTGCTGGGAATACAGGCATGAGCCACCGCGCCTGGCAGGGCAAGGAAATTCTTCAACTGCTGGTGGGAATGTAAACTTGTATAATTAGTTTGGCATCATCTGGTAAAATTAAAGATACACTACCCTATAACCTAGCAATTCCATTCCTGGATTAACTCTTAGTGAAACTCATGTATATGTGCAACTACCGTTTTGTGTAAGAGCCAAAAACTGGAAGCAACCAATATATCCATTAATTGTACAATAGTAAATAATTGGTGATATCATCATATAATAGAATACAATGCTACAACGAAAAAGAACTACAGCTCTATGTGATAAAGATGAACCTCACAAACACAATACTGACTTTGAAAGAGGCAAGACACAAAAGAATATGTTCAATATGATTCCATTCATATAAAGTTCAAGTGCATACAAAACTAAATTTATAACATTTAGGGATATAATCCTAGATAGTAAATGATTAAGAAAAGCAAATAAATGAATAACTTAAAGATAGGATAGTGGTTTCCTTTAGGGAGAGAGAAGATATTAGATACAGAAAGGAGGCAAGAGGGATTCTCGGATGTTAGCAGAATTCCTTGACACTGACAGTTGTTAATAATAATTCACTTTATTATCTGCTAAATGTATATGTTTCCATACTTTTTAATACAAAGATTATATATTTTACTATTTTTTAAAAGGCACACAGCCATCAGTTGTCATATAAAAACTACTTTCATCCAGCACACAGCCAAGAGTTTAGTTTCAACTGGTTTAATAGATAAAATAGCTTTCTAGAAATGCAATTCAATTCATAATCTTATGTCATTCTTTTTTTTCTGTTAAAAACAAGAGAAATCCAGCAGGGGGTGAGGGGCAGTGGCTCATGCCTCTAATCCCAACACTTTGGGAGGCCAAGGCAGGCGGATCACCTGAGGTCAGGAAAGACCACCCTGGCAAACATGGTGAAACCCCGTCTCTACTAAAAATACAAAAAATTAGCCCGGCACGGTGGTGCGTGCCTGTAATCCCAACTACTCCGGAGGCTGAGGCAGGAGAATTGCTTGAACCTGGGAGGCGGAGGTTGCAGTGAGCCGAGATTGCGCCACAGCACTGCAGCCTGGGCGACAGAGAGGGACTCCATCTCAAAACAAAACAAAACACAAACAAAACAACAACAACAAAAAAAGAGAAACCCAAAGATAAAATATTGTGAAGGATATTACATATCTTCATTTATATGTCAAATAATACTATTTTTAAAAGAGAAAATAAATTTAAAGTAGTGAAGCTTTTTCAGGCAAGGAAGTAACTGTTAAATGTGTACAGTGCTGGACTGAGTGGAAGGAATACAACAAGTACACGATGGAAGAATGACTCAGACTAAATACACAACATGATTACCTATAGGTTACACATCCCAAATCTGAAAATCTAATCTGAAATGCTCCAAAATCTGAAACTTTCTGAGTGCTAACATGACATGATGTTCAAAGGAAATGATCACTAGAGCATTTTCAATTTCAGATGTTCAATAACTAAGTATAATGCAAATATTCCAAAATCCAAAAAATTCCAAAATCCAAAACACTTCTGGTCCCAAGCATTTGGGAAATGGGATACTCAACCTCATCTCTATTTACAATATAATCTTTGTAACAGTTACTAATTTCTGTAAGCAAATGATAGTTAGAATCAAGTTTATAAACAGTTTTCTACTACATACTACTACGTACTATGTTAAGGTTCCATAGCTTTTTCTTCCAAATATAAGGAAGTTTATAAATCCTCAATTTCTATGGAATCTTGAAAAACAAAAACTTTTAGAAAAAAGAGGCCATAAGAAGACAGATAAGTTTTAATTTCAAATTTTATTTTTTAAAAAACTCATACCCTACTCCTTAGAAGCAGAGAGTAGTGAAATGAAAAAAGAAAAAATAGTGCCAGCCCGTGCTCTTCAAATATCATACTAAAATACAGTCATCAAGATCACAGAAATTCTCCTTGACACAATTTTATAGTGCTCAAATAACTACATGAAATAAGACTCTTGTTCTTCAGAAATTTTTCAATTAATGTCTCAGTACAGGAAGATAGATCACATTTTGCAGAAAGTGTCATGAAAGAATAACACAGGGCTTTAGTATCTCCACACAGTCTGCCCATGCCATTAGAAACCAACAAAATGGTTTATTATCTTCTTGGTTCCTTTCCCTATCTCATCCCAAAGTTTGCATCTATGAGCTCTAAATGTAATAACAGTAATTTCTACCATTTACTGAGCCCTTTCCATGTGCCTTATATTATCTTTTTCAATCCTCACACTGAGGATGTCTTATGGATGAGCAAAGTTAGGCACAGGACAAATAAGAAACTTGCTCAAGGTCATATGCTGCTATTGAGTGAGAGAGCTAAGTTATATTCCAACTCCAGAGCCAGTGCTCTTACTACTAAGCTGTTTATATTCGATAAAACTTATTTACACCATGAAAACTGCCCATAATCACCTACCACCTTCTAACTACAAGATTCTAGGTGCCTTGAGCATTTATTTTTGCCTTTCCAGGCTAATTACATACTCACAGAACTTTAATGGGTGAAAGAATCTAAACTCCTAAGAAAGTTAATATTATGGCTAAGAAAACGGAGGTCCAGAGAAGTTAAGTGTTTTGTCCAGGATTACAACGCTGGTTTGTGACAGCCAGCACTAAAACACAACTCTTGATTCCCAGGAGTGATCTTCCCACTACAATGAAGCCTTGCATCTTATGAAGCTCTTGCTGAAGCCCATACTCTACCCTCCACACAAATAACAAAGCTTATTTTGCCAACTTCCACAGCCTATGATAGCTTCCACGACAGCATTCATATGCAGACAAAACACATTCTTTCATTTCAACAAATAAACAGACACATCACTATACGCTAAGGCAGTGAATGAACCCAAATATGTATCATAATTTTGGCCCTTAATTTTATTATAGAAACATAAACATATTAATTGTAATAAGTGACAAGTGCTATAATAGCCATGTGAACAACGTGTTCTGAAAGCACACAGAGAGGAGTAGATATTTTAGCCTGGATAAAGAATGAGGACTGGGGTTTTGACAAGATGCATTTGAGGCAGGGCAGAGGCAGAAGTGTAATGGTGCTTAGAAAGTAGTAGGCAGCCGGGGACGGTGGCTCACGCCTGTAATCCTAGCACTTTGGGAGGCCGAGGCGGGCGGATCACCTGAGGTCGGGAGTTCAAGACCAGCCTGACCAACATGGAGAAACCCTGTCTCTACTAAAAATACAAAATTAGCCGGGCATGGTGGCGTATGCCTGTAAACCCAGCTACTACGGGAGGCTGAGGCAGGAGAATCGCTTGAACCCGGGAGGGGGAGGTTGCAGTGAGCCGAGATCGCGCTATTGCACTCCAGCCTGGGCAAAAGGGGCGAAACTCCGTCTCAAAAAAAAAAGAAAGTAGTAGGCAAAATGCTCTCATTTCTACCAGTGACTGTTAAAATAAAAAACAATACTAAATATGGGCTCAGAAGACCTGAGTTCAAGTCTAGGCTGAGACTCATGTGACTGTGAACAATTTCAATATCTTCATCTGTGAAATGTGGATACTAATACTGACCTGCCTACCTCACAAGATTTTTGTGGGGGCCAAATTATTTGAAAGTACTTAAAAACTTCAAAGTCCTGTATAAACATAAGTTATTTTCTTACGTTTTCACTTCTAGGCAACCCTGTGGGTCCTTCCCCTAAACGCTGTCTCATAAAAAATTCGCCCTTCAGGATGAAAATACTCCAATGACATCATTCATATGTTCCTTAGGAGATATTAAATAGTTAACATTAATGCCTTCAGGTTGAAACGCCAAGCCTCTTTCTATTGAAATAAATACATGCGTGTGTGTTTTTAACTGCTTAAGCGCTGATACTGACTTCTAGTCAATGCTTACCATAAATATATTTAAAACTAGTACCACATGAAGGTTTTTTGGAAATTTTGTCAGAAATTCCATTCTATTTTATAGTATGCTGTCAAGCAACTAACTCAAGAAGAGACTGCAAGTAGCAATCACTTTGATCCCAACTAGTTCTGTATTAGCTCTAGATACAACCAAATATATATACTGGACCCTAAAAACAGAACTGTTGGAGTACAAGCATGCACGCGAATGCAGTCAGTAGACAAATCCACTGCAAAGTGCAATGAGTTTCTCATTCTAAAATACTTGAAGGGCACAACCAGACCCCTCCTATAAATTAAAGAACACTCTCATTTCCTTTGAAGTTTGAAAGAGTAGACTTTATAACCCTGTCTCCTTTTCCAATCGCTCTTTAAACTCCATCCAGGCCCCATTTTGTTCCACCGTAAACCCGACTTCTTAGCTACTCCTTGGATGATCAGCCAAGTAAAGTTGCATCGAACCGTAACAGTCAAAAGAAGGACAGGATAAGGACCAGGGGAGCAGAAGTCCTCCCGCCACTCCAGGCCAGTGGCTGTTTTACCTTCGCAGTACAACTTCCCGTTTTCCCCCTCTTACCTTGTACACTTTCCCAAAGGCTCCGTCGCCCAGTTCTCCTATAATCTCCCAAAAGTCTTCGGGGTTCAGGTCCCTCTTCACGTGTTCGTACTGCTTCTTCTTCTTCTCGCTCCCCAACTTGAAGATCTTACGGAAATTGAAGAAGGACATTTTTCCTCCCAACACAGAGTTCCTTGCACTTAAGGACTAAAAACAATAAAAGGCAAAGTTTCTCTTCCCTGCTCTCCCGCGCGAGCCCGGCTGGCGGCGGCGGGCGCGGCGTCCCTCGGCCCCCGCAGCTCCGGCCGGGCGGTCCCGGGAGAAGGCGGGGCGGCGACCCGGGCTCCGGCCCGCGGTGGGGGTGCTGCGCGAGCGGCCCCTCCGCCGAGCCCGGCCCGCGAGCCGCGCGGTGGGCGCCTCGCCTCCGGCCCACCCTCCGGGAGCGGCACCTGCCCGCAAGCTCGCTCCCACCCGGCCTGATCCGACGGGTCCGAGCGGTCAGGACTCCCGCGGCGGCGGCTTAGGCCCGTGTCACGGCGAGTCTCCAGGGGCGGCGGCCACTCTGGGAGAGAGAAGCGGCCGGCGGCCTCGGAGGCGGGCAGTCGAGAAGCCGAGCCCTCCCGCCTCGGGCCGCGAGCCTAGGGTCTCCTCCGCCGCCGTCCGCTCCCGCGGCGCAAGGCCCGCGCGTCCCCTCGGGTCTGGGGCGCCGCCGCCGCCGCCTGTCTCCCTCCCCAGCCCACACAGCCTCGGCCTGGAGCGCGCGCCGACGCCGACTCCGTAGCGCGCCCGCGCGCTTTCCCGGCTGCGCGCCCGCCCGGTCACGCGCCCTGCTCACCGCGCGCTCGCGTGGGGGCGTCCCCTCTGGCCCCGCGCACGCGCGCTACGTCCCTCAGACTGGCTGCCCCCGAGGGTTCGCGTGAGCGGAGCACGGGGCTCGGGGTGCGGGGGGCTGGTGTGATGGACGCATTTGTTCTTCGGTCCCTGACGATTGTTTCTCATTTGCCCTCCAAGCCCCAAATCCTGTCAGTCCACGGCCTTGATGGAGCGGCCCCCGTGGGACGACCCTGTTGATTGTGCTAGCGGATGTTGTCTCCATTCTGGATCTGGGAAAAACTGTGGAGTGAAAGCCGGACCTGTTAGGGTTGGGACCTGAAAGCGGACTTTTTCGCTCTCAGACGGGCCCCAGGTACAGTGAGAGGGGAGTTTGTGTGGTGGTTGTGAGCTTGAGCTTTGGAGAGAGAGATCTGTGACCTTGGGCAGGTGACCTCTCCGAGCCTCGGTTTCCTCGCCGTAAAATGAAGATCCTAATAGTCCCTACCAGAAGGTTGTGAATGAGACAATAGATGGAAGCCCTTTGCGCGGCCCCTGCACCCGTAAACGCTCAATCTTAGTTCTTACTCTTGTTGTTTTAAGTGTGCAGGCAAGATAGACACAGATACATAAAAACTGTTTAAGACCACTTCTCTTTTTTTTCTTTCTTTCTTTTTTTTTTTTTTTTTTTTTTTTTGAGACGGAGTCTCGATCTGTCGCCCAGGCTGGAGTGCAGTGGCGCGAACTAGGCTCACCGCAAGCTCCGCCTCCCGGCTTCACGCTATTCTCCTGCCTCAGCCTCCCGAGTAGCTGGGACTACAGGCGCCCGCCACCACGCCCCGCTAATTTTTTTGTATTTTTAGTAGAGACGGGGTTTCACCGTGTTAGCCAGGATGGTCTCGATCTCCTGACCTCGTGATCCGCCCGCCTCGGCCTCCCAAAGTACTGGCGTGAGCCACCGCGCCGGGCCCCCACTTCTCAACTGATGACTGCGACACTCCCTTGAGGGTAAAACTAACTTCTGGCCACCTCCACAACTGTAAACCTGGTGTCACTCTTGGTGACTCCACCTCAGCTAAGGCCCCCACTTCCTGATCTGCCTCCAGCCCCCTTGGGCAGCACTCCCTGGTGGGGCAGTGTGGACGTTGGCTGGAATCCGTCAGGTGGTGACCTACCTTCCCCTCCTCCACCAGACGGGAGCTCTTTCAGGCCAGTGGTTTGTTGTTCATCAAGATATCCAAGTACCCGGCAACATTCCTGGCATATAATAGGAAGGCAGATCTGGTGAATGAATGAATGAATGGCGGTATCTGGAGCAGAGACAATGTATGTATATATTGCTATTTATATAATGTCTGCCCCCCCAGTCATTTTGCCCTTCAGCCCCAAAATGGCATAGCAAAACCCCCCTTCCAGTAAGACGCTTAAGATGATTCAATTCCTTGAGATCCTTCTATTTTTTTAAGTGTTATTGCAATATATTGATATACAATAAACTGTACATATTTAAAGTGTGCATTTGGTTTTTTTGCTAGTACTTGTTTGCTTTTTTTTAAAATTATACTTTAAGTTCTGGGATACACATGCAGAACGTGCAGGTTTGTTACATAGGTATACACGTGCCATGGTGGTTTGCTGCAAGTGTGCACTTTTATATGTTTTGACAAATGTATAGACCTGTGAAAACAATACTATAATTATTTGTAATTATTATCATTTATGGAGAAAATGAAATGCTTAAAAAATAAAATTAAATTAAAAGTACTATAATTCTACTATCCAGACACAACCATTGATAAGAACTTATATTTCAAAACAGGATTTTTTTGGTTGTGCATTAACTTTTTTCAACATGGTTGAGGTTGTATTACATAAAAAGGTTTGCATCCTGCACTTCGCATATTTCAATACAATTAATAATTGTTCTCTTCCATTATGAGATATTTAGATTATAATTCCTCTGTTTTTAATAAAATACGGATAAATATCTTTGTACACAAATCTTTTTCCACATATTTGATTATTTCCTTAGGATAAATTGCCAAAAGTAGATTTCGGTCAATGGGTATATGTCTGTTTCCTTATTTTGTTCTTTTCAAAATAGAAAAGACTTTACTATTTTGTCAATTAAAAGATAGTGTATTACTGGCTGGGTGGGGTGGCTCACACCTATAATCCCAGGCTGAGGTGGGAGGATTTCTTGAGCCCAGGAATTTGAGACCAGACTGGGCAACATGGCGAGATCACATCTACCAAAAATTAAAAACAGAAAAATTAGCTGGGCATGGTGGCACTCACCTGTGGTCTCAGCTACTGGGGAGGCTGAGGCAGGAGGATCACTTGGGCCCAAGAGGATGAGGCTGCAGTGAGCCATGTTTGTGCCACTGCACGTCAGCCTGGGCAACAGAGCTAGAACTTGTCTCGAAGAAAAAATAAAAATGAAAGATAGTATATTTTTGTTGTAAATAATTCAAATAATACAGAAATTATAAACTAGGAAGCTGTCTATAGTTCTGTCCTCCTTCCTTCCCCCCTACTCATAGTTACCCTCGACCTAACCACTGTTAAAAGTTAAGCCTGTGATGATGGATATGTTTATGTAATAGGCAGTGGTGATGTACAGTTATCACCCAGCTCATCTAGTTATATACATTAAGTATGAGCAGCTTATTGTATGTCAATCATAATTCAATAAGTGGTTTTTAAAAAGTCACTAGCAAAGCAAAGATAAAGTTCTGACACCATTAAGAAATAGAAATAGGCTGGGCACGGGGGCTCACACCTGTAATCCCAGCAATTTGAGAGGCTGAGGTGGGTGGATCACCTCAGGTCAGGAGTTTGAGATGAGCATGGCCAACATGGCAATACCCCGTCTCTAACAAAAATACAAAAATTAGCCGGGTGTGGTGTCATGCATCTGTAATCCCAGCTACTCGGGAGGCTGAGGCAGGAGAATCGCTTGAACCTGGGAGGCGGAGGTTGCAGTGACCTGAGATCGTGCCACTGCACTTCACCTGGGCGACAGAGCTAGACCCTGTCTCAAAAAAAAAAAAAAAGAAATAGAAATATTATCATAAATTTTTTCATATATTATGAAAAAAAGAAATGGAAATGAGCCTCTTGTAAAAGCTTTTCCTTTTAATAACATAATACATGGCCAAATAAAAAAAGTTAAGCCCATGAGCATGAGAGAATTTTGGGGGACAATAAAAAAGGGTTTTATAACTAGATTATGGTGATGATTTTACACTTAGAATGGGTGAATTATATGCTTTGTAAATTATACCTCAATAAAGCTACTTTGAAAAAGTTAGGCCTATATATGTTTTTTTCTGTGTGTATGTATGTGTATGTGTGTATATATATATATATATAAATATATATATATATATATTTTTTAAGATGAAGTTTCCGTCTGTCGCCAAGGCTGGAGTGCAGTGGTGTGATCTCGGCTCACTGCAACCTCCACCACCTGGGTTCAAGCAATTCTCCTCCTCAGCCTCTTGAGTAGCTGGGATCACAGGCGCACACCACCAAGCCCGGCTAATTTTTTGTATTTTTAGTAGAGACAGGGTTTTGCCATGTTGGCCAGGCTGGCCCTAAACTCCTGACCTCAAGTATTCTGCCCACCTCGGCCTCCCGAAGTGCTGGGATTACAGGTGTTAGCCACTGCACCTGGCCGCATGTATATCTGTTAAGATATAAAACTGGCATCATCCAATACAGATCGTTGACATCTTTCCAAGCCATCCCAAATAGATCTGTCTAATCCTTTTTTAATAGCTGCACAGAGTTCTAGTGTCTAACTATACCATAATTTATTTAAGCATTTCTGTATTGACAGGCATGACAGGCATCTAGGTAGTTTCCAATTTTTTTGTCATCATAAACAATTCCACAGTTAGTGTGCATATACAAGCATCTTTGTGTATTTGTCTGATTATATTCCCTGAAGACACAATTCAAGAAGTGGAATTGATGAGTCAAAGATCATATTAAAAATGTTTTTGCTCTGTATTGCCTAACTGGCCTCTAAAAAGATTGGTGGCCAAACATGGTGGCTCATGCCTCTAATCTCAGCGCTTTGGGAGACTGAGCCAGCAGGTTTGCTTGAGCCCAGGAGTTCCAGACCAGCCTGGGCAATATAGTGAGACCCTCATTTCTACAAAAAATAAAAAAATTAGCCAAACATGGTGGCTCATACCTGTAGTCCCAGCTACATGAGAGACTGAGACGGGAGGGAGGATCACTTGAGCCCAGGAGGTCAAGGCTGCAGTGAGACACGATCGTGCCACTGCACATGAGCCTGGGTGACCGAGCAAGGCCCTGTCTCAAAAAGAAAAAAAGAAAAAGAAAAATGTTGACATATGAGAGTGTCAAATTTCACCACACCCTCAATAGCAACAAGGTATTATCCATCTTTTTTTTTTTTTTTTTTTTTTTGAGGCAGAGTCTTGCTCTGTCACCCAGGCTGGAGTGCAGTGGTATGATCTCGGCTCACTGCAACCTCCACCTCCTGGGTTCAAGCAATTCTCCTGCCTCAGCCTCCCAAGCAGCTTGGATTACAGGCGCCTGCCACCACAACTGGCTAATTTTTTGTATTTTCAGTAGAGACAGGGTTTCACTATGTTGGCCAGGCTGGTCTCGAACTCCTGACCTCAAGTGATCTGCCCACCTCGGCCTCCCAAAGAGCTGGGATTACAGGCATGAGCCACCGCACCTGGCCTATCCATTAATCTTTACCAAGCTAATAGCCCCAAAATAACTTATCTTAATTTAGAATTATCTGATTATTAATGATGTAATACTTTTCCATTTGTATATTGGCCACTTTTATTTCTTATTTTATGAATTGCCTAATCATATCAACGAATAATATCAAATAATGTTTGTCAGTATTCTATAAATGACATGAGCAAGTCTAACATACTTTGATGAAATGATCACAGAGTTAATAATAGCTTATATATTTTCACCATGAAGTTATAGCCACAGAAATTACTTAGTAACACTGGGTGTGATGTCATTTAGTCAGATCAGATATTCCCAGTGAAGGCCATGACATGTAGATGTTTGTGTTATTTATAAATGATAATTTGGCTTTCCTGAATTTTTAGAACTTTAAAAGTAAAGATGAAGCAGCGATCATGTATTCATTTTTTAAAAAATTTTTTTGGATTATACTTTGGTATGCAAATAAATTCATTTAATACATAATTTTTGGCTCTACCCACCTTAAAAATAGTTTAATATTTTCTCACTAAGCAGCTTGGTGAGAGGAATACTATCTTCACAATTTACCTGGTAAATAATCTTCTCTGGTAATAATAAGGATATCATCACAAACTGGAAATTTAGGCTGGGCACGGTGGCTCATACCTGTAATCCAAGCACTTTGGGTGGCCTAGGCAGGAGGATCGTTTGAGGCCGGGAGTTTAAGACCAGCCTGGGCAATATGGCAAGACCTCGTCTCTACAAAAATAAAATTAGCTGGGTGTGATGTTATGCACCAGCTACTCGGGAGCTTGAGGCCAGGAGTTTGAGGCTGCAGCGGGCTATGATAGCACCACTGCACTCCAGCTTGGACAACACAGAGACCCTATCTCTAAATAAATAAATAAATAAATGGAAATTTAGTACATTGTGCTTAGTGGTTTACATGCATCATCTCATTTAAACCTCATGGCAACCTCATGAAATAGGTACTATGATAATCCCTATGTAAAAGAGAGGAAACTAAGGCAGTGAGTTATGTAACTTGGTTATGGCCTCACGGGTAGTAATGGCAGATTTTCACTTGAATCCAGATCTCGGAAAACCTAACTCTCCAGTATTTAACAACTCCACTAAGACGGTCTACTTAGCCTCCTTGAGATTTTGCCATAGTCGTCTCACAGGATCGTTGCCAATGCTATGTCTTTCTCCTTCCTCTAAATTGAAAACATTCTACTCACTGTCTCCACTTTGTCAGCTCAGCTCCCACGTATGTATGTATGTATGCATGTGAGTGTGTATATGTGGATATATATGTATATATGTGTTCATATGTTAATACATATGTGTGTATATGTGTGAGTGTATAGTACTGAGGGTGTATGCATGTGTGAGCATGCATGTACATATTGTGTGAACGTGTGTATGTGTACGAATATGTGTGTATGGGTATGTGTGAATGTGTTTGTATGTGAGCGTGTATATATCTGCATATGTATGGGAGGCTGTGTATGTTTCTCCTAGACGGAAAGCATTTAGAGGGCAGGGACAGTCATGCTCATCCTTGTACCTCCTACATCTAGCCCAGTGTCTTCCTATTCCATACATTATTGTTGAATGAATAAATGAAAATGATAAAACTTTACACCTAGTGAAAGAAATTACATGTCAATTCCTTTCCCCTTCCTTATTTAGACAATAAATTTACTAGTTAGTTCTTTAAATGCTATTGTGTAGATTAGATGGAAGTAGCAAATTCCTTTGATATACAAGTATTCTGTGACGTAAATACAGTTTTCTGTCCCTGTGGAGTTATATTTTTAGAAAGGAATTTTTTAGATATTTTAAGAAGGTAACTAACCTGTGATTATGACAATTATTCTCCTGAAATAGAATTGTGTGTCATTCAGAAAATTCCAAATCAGGTTTTGGGTCTCTCTTTTTTCTATTTTGAAAACAAGAAAAAGTAAACAAGTCACCTGATTTAAGCTCTTTTTTATTTCATAAAAGGAATCGAAAAATATCCTCCCTTCTAATTCATTTCTCTTTCTGCGTCATACAGAACTGTTACACACACATACTCCCACCTTCTCCTCATCCCTAGTAACTTCTGCTAAAATGAATCATAAACATTTGGCAGTGCGATGAGAAGGCTTAATGCATCCAAATCTTGGGAAATTAGAAAATAAAAACTAGATAGACATCCTTCTTTTACAAGTGGTACTCCAATTCCAGTTTAAAAATCTAGACTCCCTAACATCTTTTGAACTTTAAGTATTTGAATGGTCAATATTAAATGTGTTTCACTCAGACACTGACTAAATGAGAGTAACCCAACCACAGCATCATCTGGCAACCGACACTTTGGGCTTGATAAAAGCCTCTGTGCTACCCCATTGCCCCCTACTTTTATGTATTACATTTGTTCTTTGTTTCATGAGACATATTTTGGATATGATCATTTTGATCATTAGCTCCAAATTATTTGTCCTCTTGTTAACCCTGTGACATTGGGCAAGTCACTAACTTCTCTGCACTTTGTGTCTTACACAGGAATTTCATGTTTAACAGAGGTGTCTTCAAGGAGATGAAACAATTCAGAATGACCTAGGCAATGGGGTAATTCCTAAGGTAAGTTACTATAAATGTGTAGTAGTTTGCTTCATCAAAATGACCATGTGATCTCTAAGAACCTTTGCAGTTGTAAAATTCGATTTTTATTGTGCCCCTAATTTTAGTGGCATTATATGGTGATTGTGTTCATTTTTCTGACATAATGGTGAATGAAGAGCAAATAAGTGCAGTTAGGAATTTCAAAAAGAAGGACATACAGTATCCATCAAAATTCATGGAGAACACTATTTCCACTGAACACTGTTCTTGGGGTAAGCCTTAAGAAATTTACCTGGTAAGATAGGAAATGCTTGCCACAGGCAATGGGGGAGACAGTGGAGATTTTTTTTCAGAGTAATATCAGAGGCTATTTTGCAAAAGAAATTTTCAGTTTCCCCTGTAAAGAAATAACTACTCAAGTCCCTACTACTGTCTTATACATTTCCTCCTTCCCCCTTCTAATCTTTCAGGACCTAGTACCTCTCCTAGGTTTTTAATGAAAACTTTTTGTTACTATGCATTCCTTTTTCACAAAGCTGTCATGACCATTACAAACCACAATTTGAGGCTTATTACATTATTAACACTGTCATGAGACACTGCCTATTTGTCTGGTAAATCCTAATCTTTTCTATTTCCATGACTCATATTTCATGTTGCTACAGGAGGAAATTAACCAATATAGATTCCTGTTAGAGGCAAATATATTCTTGTATTTTATATCAATGTTGTCATAAAATGATCATTTCTAACAAAAATGAACCAAATGATTTGCGATTGCGGGTTTGGTAGAATAAAAAAAGTATATATTTTAGAGCTGACTCTTTAAATAACTATTTAGAATTGGTATCTTTCATTCTCTCATTTGTTCAACAGATAGTCATCAGTTTTCTCGTATATGTCAGGCAGTATTCTAGGGACTGAGGAATCAGTCAAAATCAAAACAGACGAAAAAATCTCTTGGAACTTTAAATGACTAAGTGGGATTTAGACAAATAGATTTATTTTATTTTATTATTATTATTATACTTTAAGTTTTAGGGTACATGTGCAAAATGTGCAGGTTCTAATCCAGTGATATTTGGCAATTTCTGGAAACATTTTTTTTTTGTCACAACTAGGGGAGGGGATGCTGCTGGTATCTGGTGGGTAAAGATGAGGGATGCTGCTAAACATTCTGCAATGTGCAGGACAGCACAAAGAATTATCCAGCTGAGGCTGTGCTAATCTTTAGTATTGTAGGTCAAGATATTGGTTACCTATGAGGGGGTGATGCCTGGAGGAAGACCTAAGGGGAGGTCTTCTGGATACTGAGTGCATGGGTGAGTTTATTGTGTCAAAAGCTTCTGCACTTGTGATCTGTGCATTTTCCTGTGCGTATGATTTTAACATACAACCCCTACATTCTGTGAAACTCCTCCCACTAAGAGTTAGGGATCAATGTCCCTTCCTCTTGCATCTTGGATCCGTGGCTGCTTAACCAATATAATACAACAGAAGTAATATTGTGCCCGTTTCCAGACTCAGGCCTTAAAACATTAGCTGTTTCAACTTTCCATCACTTGCAACACTCACTCTTAGACCCCACCACCGTGCCCTGAGGAAGCCCAAACAACCCATGGAGACATCCGCATGGAGAGACCTGTGCCCTCAGTCCTGGTTGAACTCCCAGCTGACAGTCAATGTCAACTTGCCAGCCATATGAGTGAACCATACTGAAGTTCATCATCCATCCCTGAGTAAAGCTACGTGAGCTGACACCATGTGGAGAAGAAACAAGCATTCTTACTGAGCCCCGCCCAAATTGCCGATTCATGAACTAAAAAAAAAGATTGCTGTTCATTTAAGCCACTAAATTTTAGGAATGTTTAGTAAGCAGCAATCTATAACTAGAACAATGGTCAATAAATGAAAATTTTACTTTAAGAAGGCATACTATAGCCACATAACTTTGGGAAACTCTCTTGGTTAAAGTTTTAAAAATTTCCCTTACTGCAGAGCTTTTAATGGGCTAATGTGTTTCATGTTCCCTCACAAGAGTATCCAGTGTTTCTCAAACATTTTTAACCACAGAATCTGTATTGTAAAGTGCCATCTTGCGAGATTGGGGTTAACGGCCAGACTTTAAGAAAACCAAATGAACTTTTCAGTAATTCAATAATTGAAATTCTAATTCTTAAAATTGCAAAGAGTTTACATTAGGATAGTTTTAATTTGAAAAGTCATATGTTATAGAGTTAATTCTGGTAATAAAGTAAAATACCCTAAATTTGCCTCAATGTCTTTTTAAACTATTTGCAAAGCTTTGATGACAGTTAAAAAACCTAGATGACCCTTCTGTAGTTATTCCAAAGTCCCTGAGGTCATAATCAATGGTTACATAAGTTTTTTAAAAAAAACCTAAATTCTGTTTTTCCTTGGAAAGTAATAGTAGCAATGTATATGCTGATTTAGAGGTTGAATGCTTTCCACATTTCCTTAAGTTCTTTCCTGATCTTACACAACATACTTCTAATATACTGATACAAAGTTGTATGTTTATTTGTCCAGACCTTAAAAACAACATTGGACTTAAGTGAATAAATTAAGAAGATATATCCTGTTTCATGTCTGGTGGAAGCCAAATTTATTCCTTTTTGCTATCATTCAAAATCAAAATCAAATGGAGGTTTTTTCTTTTCTTCTTTTTTTTTTTATTTTTTTTATTTTTTTGAGATGGAGTCTTGCTCTGTCGCCCAGGCTGTAGTGCAGTGGTGCGATCTTGGCTCACTGCAACCTCCACCCACTGGGTTCAAGCAATTCCAAATGGAGGTTTTTCTTTAGTTTTCCCACCAAAGGCCAATTCTCAGTCTCTGCAACACACATTCACCTCCACCATGTCTCAGCTCAAACATATCCTTTCAGCAGGAGGGAACTTTGGAAAAGAAATACAGAGACAAAGCATAGTTTCATGAGGGCTAAGATGCTGACAGTTTCCCAGCTGCCCCTTGTCATTGTTCTTTAGCCTTTCAGTTACTCCAACAAAATGTGACCCCTGGAGATAGAGTTCTCCATTTCATCTTCTGTATTCCACTCTTATCTTGCATCAACAGTGCCTTGATTTCTATCCTGTGATGCCACCACCAAGTCTTATCCACTCTGATCTCTACCTGATTGCTGGAAAAGTTATTTTCTGTTGAAACCTCTGGGTTTAAACTGTGCTGACTCTCATCACCTCACTCTCAAATCAACTGAGTTAGGAATTCTGGTTTCTAGATTTCTCTTTGGCTTATGGAAAGACCACTTGTTTGGCTTTTGTGCAACTACATAAATACACATAGCCAAGGGGATAAGGGAAGACTGAAATCTAGCCCACACTTCATTAACCAGGGTGAGTGCCGGTGAATCTGTGTTGGCCCACAGGAACACTATTTTCTAGTTTTACAAAGGTGACTTATAAAGTAGTCTAGTCCTGGCCTGTGACATAGACCTTGGCATAGCCATTTGAACATCCAAGATCGGCCGGGCACAGTGACTCGCGCCTGTAATCCCAGCACTTTGGGAGGCTGAGGCGGGGAGATCCCCTGAAGTCAGTAGTTTGAGACCAGTCTGGCCAACATGGTGAAACCCCATCTCTACTAAAAATACAAAAATTAGCCAGGTGTGGTGGCGGGCGCCTGTAATCCCAGCTGCTTGGGAGGCTGAGGCAGGAGAATCTCTTGAACCTGGGAAGCAGAGGTTGCAGTGAGCCAAGATCGCGCCACTGCACTCCAGCCTGGGTGACAGAGCGAGACTTCATCTCAAAAAAAAAAAAAAAAAAAAAAATCCAAGATCTTATCTGTTGCCTTAGGCTCTTCTCTGTCCTGTTCCATGGTATTTCAGATGTTCCCTTTAAATATGAGTAGTCTGACTGAGTGATCTTTTTTTTTTTTAAGATGGAGTTTTGCTTTTTTTTTTGAGCCAGAGTCTCGCTCTGTCTCCCAGGCTGGAGTGCAGTGGAGCGATCTTGGCTCACTGCAAGCTCCACCTCCCAGGTTCACCCCATTCTCTGCCTCAGCCTCCCGAGTAGCTGGGATTACAGGCATGCATCTCCACGCCCAGCTAATTTTGTATTTTTAGTAGAGACGAGGTTTCTCCATGTTGGTTAGGCTGGTCTTGAACTCCCGATCTCGGGTGATCTGCCCGCCTTGGTATCCCAAAGTGCTGGGATTACAGGTGTGAGCCACTGTACCTGGCCGACTGAGTGACTTTTAAAGATCCCCTTCTACCCTCAAGTTCCATGATTTTATATGCCGTTCTTCTTATCCCCCCTCTTCTTATGGATGTGGTGCCCTATCCCTCCACTTGAGAGGCTGTCATCCACCCACCTGCTGCATCAGAAGTTTCCATTCTTCCTCACCCATCTGAACATTATCACCTTTTACAATAGCCTCAGTTAGAGATGCCCAAACATCACATTGAATTTTAAAAGTAAACCTTATTGACATAGGTTATAACTTTTAAAATAGTGGAAGTCTGTGATCACTTTTTAATGATGTTTTTTTTAAAGAAAGCCTAAAATAATACTAACATGCTATATATATATATCTTACTCATATGTAATCTTTTCATTGAATTTTTAATGAAAACAAAGTTGGTGAATGACAGTCATTGTTGAACATATCTGTAATCTCTTGTTAAGGTGATATAAAATGATATTATGAGTTTGAGGGAGGAGGATACCATTTATTGTAAGAATGAATAACACAAAAGGCATAAACTATAAAAGAAAGAAATTAATGAATTGGAATTAATCAAAATTAAAAACTTTTCCTCTTTAAAAGTTCTATGAGCAAAGGCACAACTTCATGCAGCCCCCACATATTTTGGCCTCCCTCTATTCTGAGGCAGTTCTAGTCTATTGCTTCTTAAGAGGAAATACAGACCTTGATTTCAAAAATACATTTTCATAATAGTTTATAATCAACTAATTTTTGTAACCAGTTATTGTAACCAGATATTTTACTGGGAGAAATAAAAGGAGATCCAAATAAATGGAGAGGTATACCATCTTCATGGATTAGAAGACTTAATATTGTTAAGATGTTCATTCTCCCCTAACCGATGTCTAAATTCAATGCATTCACAATCAAAATCCCTTCAGGGTTTTGTCTGAAAATGGCAAGCTAATGCTGAATATGGAAAAGCAAACAATCTACCATATAACAAAAGAGAGAAAAAGAGAACAAAGATACAGGATTTACACTACAAGGTTTCAAGACTTATCATAAGCTATAGTAATCAGGAGAGGTTCTGGTCTAAAGATGGGCAAAAATGAAACATAAGAGAGAACCCAGCATTAGACATACATACATATATATACACATATACATGTATATGTATACATACACATATGTATATGCACACACGCACACATATAGTCAATTGATTCTTGGCAAAGGTGCCAAGGCAATTCAATGAGGAAAGGATAATATCTTCAACAAATAACGCTGAAACCATCAGCCACATGAAAAAATAAAAAGTAACCTCAACCCCCACATTATACCATATACCACAAGTAACTCTAAATGGAATATAGAGCTAAATGTAAGAGCTACAATTAAAAATTATAAAATTATAAAACATCTTTTAAAAATCTTAGTGATCTTGGCTTTGGAAAAGATTTCTTAAATATGACACAAGAAGCATAAACTATAAGAGAAAGAAATTAATGAATTGGGTTTAATCAAAATTTAAAACTTTTTCTCTTTAAAAAATGCTACTAAGAAAGGCAAGCCACAAACTCAGGGAAAATATTTCCAAAACATATACCCAACAAATAACTTGACTCTTAAAGAAGACTTACAGAGCAGTGGGCTTAACCTCATTTGCAAAGGGTCGAGAGAGGCAAGAAATCTGTGGTCAAATAGTATGGCAACACTGGGACCAGATCTAGAAATAGAACTCAGGTGTCCTAACTGCCTGGAGTGTTTTTTCCAAGCCAACTAACCCAATTTAAAAATTGGCAAGATATTTAGACACACATTTCAACAATAAAAAAGATATATGGAGGGCATACAAGCATATGAAAATATGTTCAACATCATTAATCATAAGGGAAATGTAAATGAAAACCACGATGAGATACCAGTCCCCAACCACCAGAATGGCCAAAATTAAAAAGACTCTCCCCATCAGGTGTTGGCAAGGATGCTGAGCAACTGGAAAAACTCATATATTGCTGGTGGGAATGTAAAATGTGCAACTAATTTGAAAATCAGTTTGATGGTTTCTCAAACTGTCAAACATATATTTACCATATGATCCAGCCATTTCACTCCTAAGTATTTACAGAAAAGAAGGTATAGGTCCAAATACTTGCCCATGCATGTTTATAGCAGCTTTGTGTATAATAGCCCAGGTTGGAAACAACTCAAATATCTATCAACAGGTGTATAGGTAAACAAATTGCAGCATATCCATACAAGGGTATACTACTTAGCCATAAGAAGGAATGAGCCATAGATATACCCAACAATGTGGATCAATCTCAAAATAATCATGCTGAGTTAAAGAAGTCAGGCTCCCCCAAAAAAAGAGTACATTCCATTTATACAGTAAACGGAAACAAATGAAAACGAAACTATAGTGACAGAAAGAAGATCAATAGTTGCCTGTAGAGAGAGGAGGGAAGAGAGATTACAAGTGAATATATATGTCAAAACTTTATTATAAAGCTGAATTATAACTTTATAATTGTGAATTATAAATTTGTATGTTCCTGTATAATCTCTCCCGCCTCCCTCCTCCGTCTTCAGGCAACTATTGATCTGCTTTCTGTCACTATAGTTTTGTTTCATTATAATCAATTTTATGACCTTGTATTTTGTTCAAAGGCAAATTCATAGGTTTACCTTAATGATATTAATAAACCCAAATTTACGTTACTGTTCTGCAGTTAACATAGCTTTACACTCAAAGACCCCAAGCAAAATGTTAAGAAATCACCTTTCATTGGTCACATTGTTCATTACAATTTCATTTTCATAGGAAAGAAAAATGGTAGCATGTAGGGATGATGTGAATGGACTTTGGCGCCCCCATCATTACCATTGACAACCACCTCCTTCATTCTTTGACATGGACAAGTATTAATATTATAGACGTAGTTTTTCTCAACATTATGTAAAGTGATATGTAAACACAGCTTAGAGGTAAGTCTGCCAGTTCCAAACGAATAGTTTAGACCCCCCTAAGCCTCTTCCATGTACGATTTTGAGCAAGCACTAGGGGAGGCCTTTCCCTTTCTGTGATTCTTTCCATAATAGGGAGCCACTGCGGTGGTTTTTATACCTGATTAGCACCAATAATCATACTGAGATTTGTAGAGCATCTTGCTTATAATTGATATTTACTGACTTTCACAAAATGTAGGCTTCTGTTGGAACCCTGAAAGTCCTTTCCTCTCACTGAATCTTTCTGCCTCACTCAGGAGACCATCCTAATTCTATTCTACAGCTTTGCCTTTCAAATGTTTGCTGGTTCACATAACAGCAAGGATTAGGGAATTATTAAGGGATAAAGACTGCTTTGAAGCCAAATATTACTGCCATCCCACACCAGAACCAATCCTGCTAAACTAACAAACTCAGAAGCACTTGTTCCCTTCCAGAGAGCTTTCCTTTGTTCCAGAGAGCTTTCCTTTGTCCTCCCCTCAAACCACACGATTTAGTTTCCCGAGGAAGCCTATGTTCCATTATGGTTTGATAGTATCCAGATTCTCCAGATAAGCTTATTTACAATGTGTTATACGCCTATAAACCAGGCCAACTGAGTTGTTTTCAAATTATTCACTCCTTCTTAGAGCGGGCAAAACAAACTAGTTCAAGTATTTGATATAAAAGCATTGTAAGGTGATGTGCTTCTCCAGCTTCAATAAAACATCATTTTATTAAGGAACAAGGGTTTCTGTGTAGTCAAAGTATTACTTATTCATGGGCTACACAGAAGGAAAAATTCAGTATCCCCTTAATTCCCAAGACCGTGTAGCAAATTAACCAGCAGATTTAAACCCCCTTTATTAGAGTTTTAAATAATGAGTGGAGGCACCATCTTAAAAAAGAAAAAGAACAGTGATGTTTCTGATATGGAAGACGTTTCATCTTTTTACAGTTTGCTGAGCATTGGGGGTAGGAACTCAAAGAGACCAGCAATCAAATGACATGTCAATATTTTAATATGGGAAGCCAGAGCCAAGGAGAAAGAGCCAAAATCCAGTGCCGTTCTCAGCTGCAGCAGCTGCCTTGGAAAGGTCTGAGAGGGGTTTTGACAAATTTAAATTGTCATTGAACCTTTGGAAAACAATTTTGTTAGAGAAGTGGTGCTACAATGTGCCCCCTTCAGGAGTCTTCAGAACTGTCCCAGCTGAGGCTCTCCTCTCCCTAGGCCACATCCTTTTCCTGAGACAGCCCTCATCCACTGACTGCTTGATGCCAGGGTCTGTCAAGGTCTAGCCCCCCTGTCTCAACTCAGGACGACCCTGAAGGGCTGTTCCAGCTTCAGATATCTCAGTGGGGTTAACTGAGGCCTTCACTGAGACTGTTTCATGATCCAACTTCTTCCTGCCCAATCCTGCTTCCTTCCCCTCTCTAAGTATCAAATCCAAGAGTATTTGCATTTCAGCACACTCTTGTCTCACACCTGTTTTCCCCCAAAACCCATTAATTTGTTCTCATCTTATTCTTAAAAAATAGTTGAACAAATAAGATATAAAGTTAAAGATTAGGATCCCAAGGCTGGGCATGGTGGCTCACACCCTTAATCCCAGCAATTTGGGAGGCCAAGGTGGGCAGATCACCTGAAGTCAGGAGTTTGAGACCAGCCTGGCTAATATGGCAAAACGCTGTCTCTACTAAAAATACAAAAATTAGCCAGGCATGGTGGTGCACACCTGTAGTTCCAGCTACTTGGGAGGCTGAGGCAGGAGAATCACTTGAATCCAGGAGGTGGAGGTTTCGGTGAGCCAAGATTGCACCACTGCACTCCAGCCTGGGTGACAAGAGTGAGACTCCATCTCAAAAAAAAAAAAAAGATTAAGATCCTGTACCTCTATTCCTCTAGTACCACATCCTGGAAGGAATCACTGTTAACTATTGTTTGTATATCCTTCCAGAAAATAAGTCTACAACCATATACACACATTTATGTCACTTTTCTGCAGAAGTAAGAGTATCACATGCAAACTGCTCTGCAACTTGATTGATTTCATTTAACATATTCTGCATGTCTTTTCATATCAGTGCATACACATACTTTCATAGTAGTTTCATATTATTCCACTACATAGATGTACCATAAATTTTTAACCAGACTTTCCTACATGAATATGTGGATAGTGTTTTGTTTTTCACTTTTACAAATAAGATTACAAGGAACATCCTCAAATATCCTCTTTGCCCTTTTGTATAGTATATATATAGGATAAATTCATAGACGTAGAATTCCTGATCAAATGTTGTGAGAACTTAAACTCTTTTTAAATTGTAAAATTGCTTTCCAAAAAAACAGCACCAATTTAAATTCCAAAAATTTCCATAGTCAATGTAAGAGAATGCCCCTTTCCTTGCACCCTCACTAGATGTGGACATAACAAAATTTTTAAACCTTTGTCCATAATAAGAGGTGAAAAGATTATATGTGGGGTGCTGATATAGTTTGGATATTTGTCCCTCCAAATCGCATGTGAAATGTGATCACCAATGTTGGAGTTGTTCGGGTCATGAGGGTGGATGCTCATGATTGGCCTCATGGTAATGAGTGAATTCCCATACTTAGCTCCCGAAAGAACTGCTTGTTGAGATGAGCCTGGCACCTCCTCCTCTCTCTCTTGCTTCTGCTCTCTTGCAATGTGACCCCTGCACACACCAGCTCCCTTTCCCCTGCCCCTTCCACTGTGAGTGGAAGAAGCCTGAGGCACTCATTAGAAGCAGATGCTGGCACCGTGCTTCTTGTACAGCCTGCAGAACCATAAGACAAATAAATCTCTTTTCTTTATAAATTACCCAGCTTCAGGCATTCTTTTATAGCAACATAAGCTGACTAAGACACATGCCTTTGCATTAATATTTTTCAAATCCCTTTGGGCAAAGGAATTTAAAAATCTCCCTCCTCTCTTTGCTTCCTATAACCTCCTAGGCGGACTGAGACCATGACAGAACATGGAGTCTGCCATTCAGAATTCCATTTTCACTCCACTTGCCCTTTGGCCAGCCACCTTACACAGTGCTCAAACCGAACAACTACACATGGCAGCACTGGAGCCTCACTGTTTTGAATGATATGTCTTTAATTATGAGTAAGTCTGAACATCCTTTAGTATTTTTTATTGGCCATTTGTGTTTTGTTTTGTTTTTTCTTTATGGAGAGCTATTCTGAGTAGCTGAAAATCCATTGAGGCAATATTTTCATGACTCTGTACACTATCCCAATAGAATGAGTGAATGGTAAATGAAAATATTTCGTACTTTATTTATTATGTTGAAACAAGTCATCTTTAAATTTAGTGATTTTAGGCCACTAGTTCATCAGCCTCAACTAAAATTGCATATCCAAATGTATAATGTAATTCCTATAGAGCTGTCCTCTTTTGATGGTAATAAAGATAATGGTAATGATAATAGATACCATTAATCAAGCATCTAATATATGGTAAGCAGATTAGGAGGCAGGAGAGCTTAGAAGCCTCATACCCTCACCAGCTGTGCCTAAAATACAGCACAGGCTCTGCAATCTGATCAGTTCTATTCTGATCCCTGCTCTACAAACTGTGTAGCTTGGAGAATTTACTTAGCCTCTCTGAAACTTAGCTTCTTCACCTCTAAAGTGGGAACGTTATTATCATCATTATTTTTATTATTAATAATACATTCCTGATGGGGTTGTGGTAAATATTAAATAGTATGTCACTTAACATGGTGCCTGCTACCTGGTAAGTGCTCAACAATTGTGAGTTATGTTGACAGGGCATCTTATGTACATTATGGAACTCTCCTGATTTAAACAAACAAACTTCAGCAATTCTCTGTTGCCAGCACAATACGATTATGTTTGACACTGTGTTCCTTTGAACTGTAGAGATGCCCTAGGGATTGCCGCAGGGAAAAGCACTGAGAGAGAGGTAAGGCCAGTAAGCCTTCTAGGCCCCTCCTCTTCGATCCAGACAGATCCACTTGTATCTGTCTTTTATGCTGCAGTTCCAAATAACAGTATTATTTGTTATTTTAAAAGTTTCCACTTTTTTTTTAAGTAGAAGTTTCTCTGAACTGCAGGAGAGAAATCCTGGTTTTCAAAGCCTTCCACAATTTGGCCTTAACCTACTTTTCCAGGCTTGTCTTCCTTGGTATTCAACCATGAATTTACCATCCCATTCTCTGCAATGGCTTATTTGCTGCCTGCACAATAGATTACTTATTCCTTAAAGATGGGCGCTGGGTCATTTATATTTCAGCATTTTCAGAGACTAGCAGAGTTTCTGACACCTACTAGGCATTCAGTAAATATTTGCTGAAGCAATAAATGAGTCAGTAAATGAACCTTCCATTTAAATTTGTCTCCTAGATACCTCTCTCAAATGTGTCTTGTGTCTTTCTCCTGCCCTTTGCTCATGAAGATTCCCTTGTCTGCATGGCCTCTCCCCATCTCACCCCCACCAAATTCTTAACTCAGTCTATAAGACTAAAATCAAATTGTGTGGTTACTATAATGTCAACTCTGGTCATCCTGGTTGGAAGGCTTCTCTTCCTCCCCGAAACTCATATGGTTTATGAGTTGCCTGTACATTCACCGAGTGCTTTAGCATGCATTACTTCCTATTGACATTATCTGCATGTCATATCTTCCTGTTGTGGAAAGCAGTAACCATGTCTTAAAGTCTTTTTATGCTTCATTGCTTAGCCCAGTCTCATACATAATGTGTGTTCAATATACATCTGAAAAATGGATCAACAAATAAATGAATGTTTGGTTCCTTGATATCCCAGCCAGGGTAGCCCCAGAAAATGAAAGTTATACAATAGGAAAGTGAGAGTGAGACATTGTTTCTCAAAAGTTTTAAACACTGGACTCCTTTTTGTTTGTTTGTTTTTTTCTTTTAGACAGAGTCTTGCTCTGTCGCTGTTGCCTAGGCTGGAGTGCAGTGGTGTGATCTCGGCTCACTGCAACCTCCGCCTCCCGGGTTCAAGCAATTCTCCTGCCTCAGCCTCCCAAGTAGCTGAGATTACAGGTGTCCACCACCATGCCCAGCTAATGGGCTCCTTGATATGAGGACACTTGCCCCTGGAGTAGTTGGTTAGAGGACCCTCAATTCCATACTTACCAGCCATATAGATTTACAATAGTGTACATTTAAGTTCAGGTTACAAAGCACAAGTGAAAGGAAGCATTTTTTTACTCTCTACAAATTGCACAATAAATTAATGTCTTTGGAGAGAAGTCCCTTCTTTCTGCAGCCCCTTTGAAGTAGACAGTGTTTGGGTAGCACGGACATCTATGAAGAGCAGTGTTTTAGATATCTGCTCTTGCATAACAAGCCACCCCAAAACATGGTCATTTAAAATATCAATGTTATATTGTGTCTCACACTCCTGGGCTCCTCTTTTTCAATCTCGCCTGGGGTCACTTATGCAGTTCTGGTCATCAACCTCCTGCCTAGAACTGGAGGGTCCAAAATGGTCTCAGTTACAGGTCTGGCTGTTGGTGCTTGCTGTTTGTTGCAGCCCATCAGCAATCCTTCCTATAAACTAAACAAGGCTTCTCACAGCAGAGAAAGTCTCAGGATTTCAAGATGGGGAAAGTGGAAACTGCCAGGCCTCTTAAAAACCAGGTTCTGGAATTCACACAGCATCATTTTTGTCAGACATTTCTTCATGAGACAAAGCAAGTCACAAAGCAAGCCCAAATTCAAAGGGTGGAAAATTAGACTCCATTTATTGATGGGAAGAGCAGCAAAGCCACACAGCAAAAGGATATGAACTAGAAAGGTGGGATTCACCAGGGGCCTTTCTAATGATCTGTCACAGGAAGCTCTACAGATGTCATTAACACTGCTCATCCCATTTCTACCCTTCATCATTGAGCAAGTGAGAACCACCTGAGTACTTTTGGTCAAAGGAGGCTAACTTCTGAATTTTCTTATTAAAAAAAAAAGTAATATTGACTCATGAGAGAAATTTTAGAAATACTGTCAAAGCAAAGGAAGGAAAATAGCACCCACCTGCAATTCCACAACCCCAAAATAACCATTTTTAGGATTTAGGTATATATCCATCTAGCCTTTGTTCTAAAATATTGGTAATAAAATATAGACTATATATTATTATATGCCTTCCAGGCACTATACTGTGTACTTTGCATGGATTATCTCATTTAATATCATGACTCTATGAGATAGATATGATTACCTTCTTTACGGGAGAGGAAATTGAGGCTTAGAGACCTCAGCTAACTTAATATTTTATATATAATGCCATATAAGTTATGCATATATCTTATACATCTATCTTATATATCTCATACTGTTTCGTAAACTCCATTTTTCGTATAGTATTATATCATGTACATTTCATTACTTAATAGCTTTTGAACAGGCTGAATCAAAATTGAAAAGCAACAATGACTTCACAATATTTGGATTTCTGGTTCCTGGCCGTGTTTGCTTCTTGAGCCTGTCAGGTGTTTGCAGATTAGAACAAAATAATGATGTGTGCCCTTCACTGAAAAGTGCTAGCTTTGAAATTTTAATCTTTTATAAGAGTCTCAAGGCTTGATCTTGGCAAAGTTGGTTGTTGGAGAATATAGCATCTGAGTTGTTTTAAAATTAAAACACATTTCCTAAAAGCCCAGCAATGCGGGTGCCACGCTGGAGCTCATCCACCTCCCAGGAGCCGGAGTGGGAAATGACAGTATCAAGGGCCACAGGGACACCCATAATCTTTTCAGGCATCAGATATTTGTGTTTTTATATGAGATATTACTTAATGAAACAATCAGCCAGCTCTCAATAAATGAACAAGTCCTTCCAGTGACATGGGCCTTGCATTTATATCTTTAATCTCTAAATTTTGTATATTCTAGGGCAAAAATTGACAGGGGTTTGTGGTATGTGGGAGGGAAGGTAGAAATGCCTGGGAAGAGAAACTCAGTAATGTCCCTTTTTACAGGAAATCATAAATTAATAACCTGAAAAGATGTGAAAATAGCAAATAGGCTGTGAGAAGCAACATAAATATACAACATAAAATGACTTGCTTTACAATTACTCTGTAAATTTAGTGCCTGTTTGTTCTTGTTTATAAGGGGATGACATGATTCACCTCTACTTCTAGCTGTCAGAAATAGAAGACTCAGCAAGGTTCGTGGAAAAATTTTTCGAAATAAAGACCTTTAATCCACTTATTAAAATGATGCTCACAGTTCTCATTTCCAGCCTGCAATATAATAACAAAGATAAACATAGGAACAAAGCACTTTACTAATAAGGAAGAAATATTTTCATAGGCCTGATGTTGCCTTTTTACTTAACAGATATCATTGTGTTTTCAATTTATGGAGAAATACACAAGAAGAATAACCCAATTAAACAGACTGAGCTTTCCTAAATGCTGGTGATTATGTAGCCCTCCTGTGGATATTTACTTTTGGGAATGAGAAACCCTTGATTCCTAAATTTCTCTTTCATAACAGTACCATATGCCCAATTGAGTAGAGATTCAATGTTATTGGCTTGGTACCAAACCAGTAGTAAACTGGTAAATAAGTAAATAAGTTTCTTTTCATATTCCAATTATAATAGATTGGAAATAGCTGCCTAGAACACTAAGTCGAAATGGATTCTGAGGTTGACAGTCCGAGCTCAGAAGAAGCCTTCTGAGATAATTCAGTAATTTTTTGCCACTGGCAGGCAATGCAGGGGATACCAGCATGAATATCTCAGTGTTGCCATCCCTGTTAAGATATAAGGAAATAATACTTTGCATGAAACATCTGTTTAATATTAATACTGTTTTCCACAATTATCCAACACATATTTATGGAGCACCAATTAGGTTCCAGAAAATGTTTTAGGTACTGGGACACAAAAGTGAACAAACAATATATACACACTAACTGACATTTGAATATAGTACTTCACTATTTCCAGTGATCTTTCCTGTATGATACCTTATTTAATTCTCACAATAGACTGGAAAAATAAATAAAACAGGCATTGATATCTACATATTACAGGTGAAGAGACTGAGGCATAAAAAATTTGAATGTATTTCTTTAGCTTAAGTATACCCATACAGCAAACAAAATACTTAATAGTGAAACTGTAAGAACATTTTTATTAAAATAAGAATAAGATTCAATAAGATTCACCATTTTTATTCAATACTGTATAAGAGGAACATAAGAACTGAAAATGTATTATATAAGTTACTCTTATTAAAGAATATACATTGTGGACAAATTCCAAGGACTCTATGTACACAATTAATATGAGGGCACAAGATTTCTGGATACAAAATCAATGTATGAGAATCAACAGCATTTCTATGCATCATTAGTATTAACTAGAAAATGTAATAGTAAAAAAAAATTATTCTCAACCACAGTAACAACAGGATGCAAATACAATTTCAACCAAAATCCCAACTTAGTTATTTGTAGAATTTGACAAGCTCATCCCAAAGTTCATATTGAAATACTTAGGGTCAACAAAACATAAGACAATAATGAAGATCGAAATGGAGGGATACTTACACTACCACATATCAAAACTTATTATAAAATTATAGCAATTAAGACAACATGGCCTTGGCCCAGGGACAGATGAATAAACCAGTCAAACAGGTTAAAGAGACTATAAACAGACCTGTGCATCAATGGAAACTTGATATACGGCAAAATTGTATTGTCATCAATGGAAATGATGAACTAGTCAATAAATGGCCTTGAGAAATTGGCTATTTTATGGAAACAAATATGTTCTTACATTACACCACACACACACACACACGCACACAAACTATTACTGTACAGGTAGATTAAAGACTTACAAATGAAAATCAAGTCTTTAAAACTTTCAAATTCACATCACTGTAGAAAGAAAAAAATTTTTCAAAAGAGAATATAGAAAAATATATTTAGAACTTTGGGATAGGAAAAAATTCTTACACAAAGCATAAGAAGACTGGTAAATTTAAATTTCTATACAACAAAGATACTTTAAACAAAGTAAAAAGATAAGCTGCACACTTGGAGAAAGTATTTGCAATGAATGCAACTGATAGGAGATTGGTTTCCAAAATATATAAAATCATCCCACAGAACACTAGAATAATGAACTCCCCCATCCACCATGGGCAAAGGATACAAACAGGCACTCACAGAAAAACCCAAATGACAAGCATTTGGAAAGGTGTTCAGCATCATTCAGGATCAGCAAAACACAAATTAAAACAATGATTTCACACCATCAAACTGTCAGAAAAGTTTTTAAAGCTGGAAAAGCTCAGCATTGATAAAGATGTAGCACAAAGGCGATTCTCATACACTGATCCATACAGATATTCAGGGGTATAGACTGATGGAGGCTCCAGGGTCTTCTGATAACACTGTTTTCAAACGTGGTTTCCAGGATCACTGCAGCAGGGAAAGAGAACAGAGAACTCAGTCATTCTTCTATGCTTACCCTGGAAGTAACACATAGCACATCTGCTTACAGTCCATTGGCAGAACTAGTCTCATGACACCCATCTGGCTGCAGAGGAGGATGAGAAATGCAGTCTTTTTGTGTGCCCAGAAAGAGAAAAATGAAACAATATTTGATGAACACATGGCATTCTCTCAGCCATATTTGACAAAATAATATAAAGCTAGGTAGCAGATAAATGTTAATTTTACCCTTCTTTATATTTGTGTATATATTTAAATACTTCATAATTTTTCAAAAAGGGGGAAGGTAAAGAGAGATTAAATTATCTGTTCTGGTTTACAGATCTAATAAGTGGTGGATTGAATATAACTGTCTCTATATAAACTGTCTTCCTTCAAAAGTCAAATCCATGTACTGTATTCAGATTATTCATTCAAGAAATATTTATTGACCAGGCACATTGGCTCATGCCTGTAGTGCTAGCACTTTGGGAGACTGAGGCGGGCAGATCACCTGAGGTCAGGAGTTTGAGACTAGCCTGGCCAACATGGTGAAACCCCGTCTGTACTAAAAATACAAAAATTAGCTGGGTGTGGTGGCAGGTGCCTGTAATCCCAGCTACTTGGGAGGCTGAGGCAGGAGAATTGCTTGAACCCAGGAAGCAGAGGTTGCAGTGAGCCAAGATCACACCACTGCACTCCAGCCTGGGCTACAGAGTGAGACTCTGTCTCACAAAAACCCCAAAAAGCCAGAAATATTTATTGAGCTCCTATTATATTCCTGCCTTTGAGCCTTGAGGAGTGTACAGTGCAATGGTAGAAGAGAGACACATAAATGATTACAATACAATGGGACATGAAGCAAATTATATACAAAGTGCTCCTGACCATTATAACCTGGTAACATAGTCACTGGAGACTTACTCATGATGGTCCTGACTCCCTGAGAGTTTTAAAATGTACATTGGCAATGCATGAGATCAATGTCATCTTCAATTATGAGAGCTGAACTTTTGTGGAGTGATTTTAGAAAATGCCTGAAGTAAAACCTGGTCATAATCTCCGCCTGATTCATACTCAGCCTGTACAGACTTGCTAGGGAGATGCTGCTAGAACAATACAGTCTTCTTAGACTTCATGTCTTCAGATAAGAAGTTCTTTGCTCATCTACCCCAAAGCAGAATTGAGAGAACCAAGTTCCCAAGGGAGAGGAGACTTGCTCAGCCTGCTAGTACTAAAGTCTTGTGCCACATTGGTGAAATGTCTAAGCTGACAGTTCTCAGTGTGTGGCAAATCAGTGGAGGTCAGAGACGAAAAGACCTAGCATATTTTCTAGGCTCTTCTATGATCACAATTTGCTTCTGATAATTTATCTCCTGATAGTCTCCTCAATGTGATTTTTAAAGTTTTCCATTACACACACAGCTCTGTTTCTCCAGGGAGTTCCATAGTCTAGTTTATTCATTCATTCAACACAAATGTTTGAGTTGGAAATATAGTAACTAGCAAAACAGACACAGTCTCTGACTTCATGGAGTTTATATTCCAGCTGGGGAATAGACATTAATTAAATAGGTATGCCATTAAACTTCTTATATGTTGGTAAGAGTTATGAAGAAAAATAAAATAAAAGGTGTTGTGAAAGAGAATAAAGGCTACTAGGAATTCTAATTTAGAATGGAAGGGTTAGGGAATGCAAAGCTAGGCTGGTGGTGGCTTGGCCTAGGGAACTGGTAGAGGAAAGTCTATATATTTGTGATATTTTTTGGTGGCTAAATAGATAGGATTTGATGGTTCATACATAGGTGGATGGAAGGAGACAGACTATCTGGGGTGACTCCTAGGCCTGAATCCATAATATAAATATTTCCCTTACCTTGTTAGAATTTTTTCTCTTATCTGTTTAAAAAAAACATATTGGCCAGGCACGGTAGCTCATGTCTGTAATCCCAGCACTTTGGTAGCCCGAGGCGGGCAGATCACCTGAGGTCGGGAGTTTGAGATCAGCCTGACCTGACCAACACAGAGAAACCCGTCTCTACTAAAAATACAAAATTAGCCTGGTGTGGGGTTATGCACATGTAATCCCAGCTACTCGGGAGGCTGAGGCAGGAGAATCACTTGAACCCAGGAGGCAGAGGTTGCGGTGAGCGGAGATCGTGCCATTGCACTCCAGCCTGGGCAACAAGAGCAAAACTTCGTCTCAAAAAAAAAAAAAAAAAAAAAAAAAAAAAAACCATATTTATCTGTATGTTGCATTCCTTGCACACGTTTGATCCTTAAACATAGATATTTCCTTACCTGACCAAAGGATCATTGGGATATTGACCACCTTTCACCTTTCTGTATTCAATGCCACTAGTCCTTTTGTCCTGTAGGCAGGATGTTGCTAAATCCAGATATGTGGGGCTCTCATCCCTCTCCTAATCTCTGCAGTTAGTCTATACTCTCAAAGAATAATTTAAAATTTAAATTTCATTTATTTACATTGCAGTCACATGTACATTAACATGGTGCACACAAGGATGTATACACAAAAGGGTGTACAATGAAAAGTAGACCTCCTTCAACCCCAGGTTGTCTACCTGCTCTGCCAAAGTCAAGCACCATTATACATTTCTTAACTGTCCCCCAAAAGATCATTTTTGCGTATGCAAATGAATACTTTGTAAACAAATGGAAGTATACTATACACACTGGTCAACACCTTGCAATCTTCACTTAACGTGTCTGGAAGATCTTTTCATGTCATCTTTTTATGATGGCATACAATATAATTAATTAATTATTTTTATTTTTATTTTTGAAATGGAGTCTCTTGTCACCCAGGCTGGAGTGCAATGGCGCAATCTTGGCTCACTGCAACCTCCACCTCCTGGGTTCAAGTGATTCTCCCACCTCAGCCCCTGAGTAGCTGGGATTACAGGTGCCCACCACCACGCCTGGCTAATTTTTGTATTTTTTTAGTAGAGATGAGGTTTCACCATGTTGGCCAGTCTGGTCTCGAACTCCTGACCTCAGGTGATCTGCCTGCCTCGGCCTCCCAAAGTGCCGAGATTACAGGCGTGAGCCACTGTGCCTGACCACAATTTAATTTAACTAATTTTATTTGTTTATTCTGCCCTTTATTGATGAACATTTTCATTGTTTCTAACCATAGGCCCTTACAAACAATGCTGCAATAAATAATCTTTTACATACCTCATTTCACAAATATGAAAACACCTCTATAGAAAAAAAATCCTATATACAGAATGTGGAAGCAAAGGGATGTGCATATGTAATTTTGATAGCTATTGCCATAATTTTAAAGTATATTCCAATTTACACTTCCACTTGCAAATGTGTTAGAGTTCCAGCTTTCCCACCTCCTCACTCACACATTATGTCATCAAACTCTTTGATCTTTGCCAATCTGAGAAGTGCAAATATTATTGCACAATTCTGATCTGCATTTATCTCACAGTGAGATTGAGCATCTTTTCCTTTGTAACAGCACTAAGATTATACCTCTTCTGTAAACTTTGCACATCTGCTATCTTATGTGAAAGAAGCTTTTCAAAATGAAAACTAATAAAAAGTGTTCTTGATTAACCATGAGTAAATATAGATTATCAAATCTGGTTGATAATGTACTGTCTTTTGAATATGAAGAAACAAAGATCAATTTTGATGAAGTCATTACCTAATTTGCAAAAGTTGTCATAAAATATTACTATTTATCACTGAGATAGAACTAACATTGGCATATTTTCCCTTTTTCGAAAGGAACAAGCTATTCATTCATACAGCATGGACGAATATTAAATGCATGTTGCTGAGTGAAAGAAGCCAGAATGATAAGGCTACATCCTGGAAAAGTTTATATTCTGGAAAAGGCAAAACTTATAGAGACAGAAACAAATCAGCCAGTTGTTGCTGGGGTTTGGGAGAGAAGAATGTTGACTATGTGAAGAACAAGGGATCTTGGGGGGCATCTATTCCATATGCTACTGTAGGGGTGGATGCATGATACTATCATTTGTGGAAAACCATAGAACTTTACAAAACTAACAGTGAACCTTAATGTCTGCAAAATTTTACAAAATCAACTAGGAGGCTGGGGGATCCCAGGATGAAATACAGGCAATGACAAAAGAGCCTAACTCTATTACACATTTATAACATAACCGCACCGAAGAGGACTGGTATTCTATAACTGTGGAAATAATGGAAACTGGAAAACTGAAGACAAAAGGAACTGTACTTAGCACTATACTCTAGTTGGTAAAGGCGTTTCTCAAGGGGTACCAGTTAACAATTCTGAGACTGCTGTACATGTATGCAGAGACTGAACAAATAAGTAAATGGCTGGTACATGCTCACTCTCAGGGAGGGAGGCCACAGATAAACAAGAGGAAGAGGCTCTAATGTCATGTGTGGTTGTGGATTAGAACCAGAAACATAAATATGAACTCATGTTTAGATTAATATAGATATTAATGGATTGATATAGAAATAATGATGATATGGGTATATATACAGGTTAGTATACAGTCATATATTTCTTATCCCTATCCACTGAGAGGGCCTAGAAACAACAATACTCCAGTAGCAACACACACATCTCGTGCCCATATCTTGATTTCTTTTGCCATTTCCTAACAAAAGGAGCCAGGACTTCTTGGAGAAATGGCTGATTCTAAGACTGGGTCAGAGAGTATACCAGATGACGCTGGCACATCTTCTACTGCTAGAAAGTAAGGAAATGCTCAAAAAATAAAACCACGGAGATATTTCAAAGGAACACAGAAGCCAAGTGGAACAGCTCCCAGTGGCCAAAGCTGGAAAAATTGGGGCAAAAAAAAAAAAAAAAGTATTAGGTTATAATCCAAAATATAAAATAAATAATCACCAGCCCGTACTAATGTGCATAAATTATTGAATAAATAAGTAAATGGGTGAAAAGAGAAAACTCTCTCCCATACAAAGGAAGCCCAAATAATTTATGTAGATGATCGCCCTGCAATGAGGCAGAGGGCAACTCCCTACCCTGTGTTAAGTGTGGATGGCACTTAGAGACTTGCTTCTGAAGAGCGCAATACGGAAAGGAGGGGAGAAGTAACTTGGCAATGAAGAAACCTGACAAACACCATCTTCTCCAGGCAGCCAAGGTTAACACCATCAGTGATAAGTTACGTTGATAGCCTGTATTTTTGATATGATGTGTTGAGAATGTACTTAGTTTCTGTGGTCTTCTTCCCAAACACCTGACACCAGGCTCACCAGGAGAAAATGAATCCAAATTAAGGGACATTCTACAGAATACCTGACCAACACTCCCTCCTAAAAACTGTCAAGGTCATCAAGGAATGTCTAGGAAGAAGGAAAGTCTGAGAAGTTGTCTCAGCCCAGAGGAGCCTTAAGAAGCCATGACAGGTAGGGCGCGGTGGCTCACGCCTGTAATCCCAGCACTTTGGGAGGTCGAGGTGGGCGGATCACAAGGTCAGGAGATTGAGACTATCCTGGCTAACATGGTTAAACCCCATCTCTACTAAAAATACAAAAAAAATTAGCCACACGTGGTGGCGGGCACCTATAATCCCAGCTACTCAGGAGGCTGAGGCAGGAGAATCGCTTGAACCTGGGAGGCGGAGGCTGCAGCGAGCCAAGATCGCACCACTGCACTCTAGCCTGGGCAACAGAGCTAGACTCCAGCTTAAAAAAAAAAAAAAGAAGCCATGACAACTAAATGGACTGTGATATCCTGAACGGGATACTGGAACAGAAAAAGGGTATTAATAAATCTGATCAAAGCAGAGAGCTCAGTTAATAAAAATGTGTCACTATTGTTTCCTCATTTGTTGTAACAAATGGTGCCATACTAATGTAAGATATTAATAATAGGGGAAACTGGATGCAGGATGTGTGGGAACTCTGTACTATCTTTGCACTTTTCTGTAAAGCCAACACTATTTTTATTTATTTATTTTTGAGACAGGGTCTCCATCTGCCTCCCAGGCTGGAGTACAGCGGTGCCATCACAGCTCACTGCATCCACGACCTCCTGAGCTCAATAGATCTTCCAGCCTCAGCCTACTGAGTAGGTGGGACTACAGAAGTGCATCACCATGCCCGGCTAATTTTTGTATTTTTGGTAGAGATGGGGTTTCGCCATGTTGCCCAGGCTGGTCTCGAACTCCTGGGCTCAAACAATGTACCCACCTCGGCCTCCCAAAGTGCTAGAATTACTAACACTTTTGTAAAGTAAAAAGTTTAAAACAAAAAATAAGATTGGTAGATGGATAGAGGGTTGGATAGATAGCTGCGTGATAAAGCTGTGTGATAAAATATAAGAAAATATTATTGGTAAGATCTAGGTGCTGGGCATAAAAGTGTTTGCTGTAAAATTTCTCTGACTTTACTGTATGTTGGAAAATATGCACAATAAAATGTTGGCAAAAAGAATATTAGTATAATTCAGAGTTATTAATGTTGCTCATGTTTTTCTTTTTGCACTGTCATCTTTCTTTTTTCCTTATTTATTTATGGGCATGATTATATATAGAAAGTTTTAAAAAAATTTTTCCTGTTGCATTTCATTTCTGACCATTACTACCATTCATTTTTTCATGATTATTACTGAAAATTATTTTGTCATGTGGAAGATTGTTTTAAAATTATACCCTCTGGGTATCAAATCATTAGATATGCCACTGCCAAGTATAACCGAATGTGTACTACCAAGGGGATCCCCCAGCCAGCTCCTGTCCTGGGGAGAGGCTGTGTAGGCAGCATTCACTGGGCTCTCTGTAGGGCGCTGTGAGCCCAAAGGGCAGCAGCTGCAGTGGCGGCGTGAGGGCTGGCAGCCTCGACAGTGGCCCCACTGCCCTTGTGGTGGTGAAGAGCCTGCTGTCAGCTTCAGCCCAGGCATCTGCAGGAGACACTGGGCACTTTTGGCCCAGACATTGGCAGCCTCGACAGCAGATAGATTCCCAGGGAGCTGAAGCAGAGCAGGAGGAGGACCAGGGCAATGCCACCTGGTATCTGGGGAAAAAGCCAAACAAACAGGATTGTATGTATGTAGGCATGTATGTATGTATGTCTGTCTGTATTTTAGAGCCAGGGTCTCGCTCTGTTGCCCAGGCTGGAGTGCAGTGATGTGATCATAGCTCCCTGTAACCTCAAACTCCTGGGCTCAAGTGATCCACTCACCCTGGCCTCCTGAAGCGCTGGGATTACAGGCGTGAGCCACTGCACCTGGCCTTGTTGCCTTTTATAACTCATTTTTCTCATTGTGGTTTTGACTTGTATTTCTCTAATGATCAGTAATGTTGAGCTTTTTTTCATATGCTTGTTGGCTGCATGCATATCTTCTTTTAAAAAGTGTCTGTTCATGTACCTGCCCACTCTTTAATAGGGTTCTTTGTTTTACTCTTATGAATTTGTTTAAGTTTATAGATGCTGGATATTGACTTTTGTCAGATGCGTAGTTTGCAAAAATTTTCGTCCATTCTGTAGGTTATCTGTTTACTCTGATGATTGTTTCTTTTGCTGTACAGAAGCTCTTTAGTTTAATTAGATCCCACTTGTCGATTTTTGCTTTTGTTGTCATTGCTTTTGGCACCTTCATCATGAAACCTTTGCCCATTCCTATGTCCAAAATGGTTTTGCCTAGGTTGTTTTCCAGGGCTTTTATAGCTTTGGGTTTCACAGTTAAGTCTTTAATCCATCTTGATTTACTTCACACCAGTCAGAATGGGTACTGTTAAAAAGTCAAAAAATAGCAGATGCTGGTGAGGTTGCGAAGAAAAAGAAACGCTTATACATTGTTGGTGGGAGTGTAAATTATTAGGCAAAAACCACAATTACTTTTTGCACCAACCTAATAGTTCAACATTGTGCAAAGCAGTGGGGCGATTTCTCAGAGACCTAAAAACAAAACTACTCTTCAATTCAGCAATCCCATTACTGGGTATATCCCCAAAAGAATATAAATCATTCTCTCATAAAGACACATGCACACATATGTTTGTTGCAGCACTATTCACAATAGCAAAGACATGGAATCAACCTAAATGCCTATTAATGATAGACTGGATAAAGAAAATGTGGTACCTATACACCATGGAATATTATGCAGCTATAAAAAAGAATGAGATCGTGTCCTTTGCGGGAACATGCATGGAGCTGGAGGCCATTATCCTTAGCAAAATAATGCAGGAACAGAAAACCAAATACCACATATGCTGATTTATAAGTTGGAGCTAGATGATGAGAACACATGGACACAAAGAGGGGAACAACACACACTGGGGTCTACCGAAGGGTGGAGGGTGGGAAGAGGGAGAGGATCAGGAAAAATAACTAATGGGTACTAAGCTTAATACCTGGGTAATGAAATTATCTGTACAACAAACCCCCATGACACAAGTTTACCTATATATCAAACCTGCACATGTACCCCTGAACTTAAAATCGAAGTCTAAAAAATAAATAAAATCACATTTTAAGTGATTCAAAAATTTGTGGGAAAAAAACTCATTTTTCTCATTTTTTAACAAATCCTCCCCACCTTCCTAATCTGTATGGTGATGACTTAGACGCGTAACCCAGTTATCAGCTGGGGCCTCCCTGCACATTCCATCCTTGCCTGAGTTTCTCTGGTTTTCTGAAAATTTCCAGAGGTACGTAAGTTCTCCATGGTCTTGGAGTTTACACGTCCATATTAGTCTCTGTTTTACAGCACATGAATCTGGATGTGAAACTCCACTGCCTCTCACACCCACCCGTGATGGGAGGTACCTCTTCACTAAAGATTTTGGGAGTGGGAGGCCAAGGCAGGAGGATCGCCTGAGGTCTGGAGTTCGAGACCAGCCTGAGTAGAGAAACCCTGTCTCTACTAAAAATACAAAATTAGCCAGGCGTGGTGGCGCATGCCTGTAATCCCAGTTACTTGAGAGGCTGAGGCAGGAGAATCGCTTGAACCTAGGAGGCAGAGGTTCCGGTGAGCCGAGATTGTGCCACTGCACCCTAGCCTGGGCAACAAGAGCAAAATTCCATCTCAAAACAACAAAAAAGATTTGGGGAGAGCGATGGAGGAGTTTACATGGCAATGCAAATGACTTCAAATGCATAGGCCTGCTGGCTACAAGGCCACAAGTGACAGGGCTGCTCTCACTACATCCTGGACCGGCTTCAAAGCCTGGATCAATGCTGGACGTCTTCCCAGTCACCAGCAAAAGGGCTGAAGCAGTGTTTCCGAGTGTGGAAGATGCTGCCTCCAGAGCCCTACCAGGCACTGTGCTTCCTTTTCAGTAGTGGAGGCATGAAATGCAGACATTTGTCCTTTACTTTGAAGGGGATATCCCAGGGTAACCCAGGCTCTGTACTTATGTGGCACTGTGTGGACTAAACATTTCACTGACATGGCAGAGCTCCAGCCTCTGAAGCACAAGTGTCTTATCAAGGCCTCCAATGTACTTGCACTTCTTGCTCACCCAGTATGATTAACATGGTATCATTGATATAGTAGATCAATTTGATGTGATGTTCTCTCTAACTTCCAAGAGGCATTCTAGCAGTGCAACAGCTAGTGTTTCCTGGGTCCTTGCCGAGGTGAACTCCTACATCATGGGAAAGTGCTCTCTTATCAATGAATTCTTCTTTATCCAACTGTATGCTCTACCTCCCTCGATTATGCATACTCAGGATTGTTAAAAGAAAAACTTTAGACAAATTAAATTTAACAGAGTTTAATTGAGCAAAGAATGATTTGCAAATCAGACAGCCACTTCTCCCCAACCCCGTCTCCCTCCCCTCCCAACCAGAGAGGATTTATGGACAGAAAAAGGAAAGTGATGTTCAGAAAATGGAAATGAGGTACAGAAACAGATGGATTGCTTACAGCTCAGTGTTCGCCTTATTTAAATACTGTTCGAACAGTTGGCTGCCTGTGAGTAGTGGAAGTGTGGTTTCTGTGATTGGCTGGGACTTGGCTACTTGTTACAAGAGTAGATTACAGTCTGTTTACACATCCAGTTAGGTTACAGTTAATTCACTATGTACAGAAAAACCTTTAGGCTGAACTTAAAATATGAGAAGAGGCAGCTTTAGGCTAAACTGAATTTAACAGGATCCCTATGTACTCTTCCAGCTTCTGACAACATATGTTGTCCAGGTCCTGCAGCTCCTTTGAGGAATGGTCTCTTTTCTCCCTGAGCAGGCTCTTCAATTATGTTGTAACCTCACCCTCATTACTGGTTTGGTGGCAGGATGAAGGGAGACGTTGAGATTCTGTGGGGAAAGAAGTTGTTTTCTTGCAAGGCAAAAATCTCTGTATTGACTTCAAAAGTAGGGAGTGTTAACCTTTAACCAACCAGGAGAATGGGCCCCTTCTGCAGGCCCAGAGAATTCAGAGGAAATCTGGGAAGTCAAAATTTACAAGGACACTTGCCTATATGTCCTCACCCCAAATCTCAGGATCCCACTCCCTCCCAACTAGGATTGTGACTTTGACATAGACAGCTCACTAGGATTGAGAATTCTGCCTTCACTGGAGCTCTGCGACTTCTGTTTGCTTGGTTGGTTGGTTTGTTTTGTTTTTGAGACAGGGTCTCACTCTGTCACCCAGGCTGGAGTGAAGTGGCACGATCACGGATCACTGCAGCCTCAACCTCCTGAGGCCCAAGCAATCCTCCCACCTCACCCTCCCAAGTAGCTGGGACTACAGTCACGCACAATCACGCCCAGCTAATTTTTGTGTTTTTTGTAGAGAGAGGGTTTCACCATGTTGCCAAGGCTGTTTTGGAACTCCTGAGCTCAAGCAATATTCCCTCCTCCGTCTCCCAAAGCGCTAGGATTACAGGTGTGAGCCCCAGCGCCCAGCTGTGGCTTTCTAATTTAAGTTCTGGGTCTCATCTTCAGGAGGTCCAAACTCTGACTGCAGGAGATGAGAGTCTCTTGTGCTGCCAAGAAGATCTTCTGGTTTTTACATTCAGCCTGAAATTGGTGGTTAATCACCCATAACCTTTCATCGTCTCTCTCCAATGCATTGAGAGTGGCCAGTAACAACCATGCCATTTTATTGTCCTTAAATTACTACTTTCCCCAAACCTCTGGATGGGCCTTCAGCCCATTCCAGTTTACCACTGGTGAAAGTCTTGCCCCACCAGGGACTCCATCTACCACTAGGGAAGGGTTCTCATCACCAGCCAGTCAGCAGCGACCCAGCTTCAAAATCCTACATTAGACGCTGCTTCCTAGGACCACTTTACCCCTGTGCCTGCTGTTGTAGGTCAGGTTCCTCTGGGCTGTCAGACTCTGAGATTTGCCTGATAGGGAATATTAGAAAATGCTTTCAGGAGCTGAGCCCTGAGGGCATGAGGGAAGCAGGATTGCACAGAAGGACAAGTTGAATTGAAGGGCAGTTACAATAGAGGCCTCAGCTGATCCCACAGAAAGTTCTAGAGCTGGGATAGTTAATCAGAAATGTCATGCACTAAGTTCTGGGGATGTGTCAACTGGTTACTGTCCCTGAGGGCAGGGCATAATTTTGGATGAGGTCACCCTACCTTGAAAGTGGCCAGTAAAACCCCATTTTCCCTCTACTCAATCCTGCTTCCCTCACCCACTCAGGGCTCAGCTCCTGAAAGTGTTTGCTAATATTCCCCTACAGGGGATCCTCAGAGTCTGAGAATGGGGAACCTGACCTACAGGTAGGATGACCAGGAGCAACCAGGACTGAGAAAAAGCCTAGGGCATGGGAACATCAGCGCTAAAACTGAACAGTCCCAAGCACGCAAGAATGTTTGGTCACTCTACAGCATCTGTCCATAAGCCCTGGCTTTAAAATACACTACAGGGAGCTGCGATTCTGTCAGTTATAATCTATCAATAACAATGAATATATCTGGCTGGGTGTGATGGCTCATGCCTGTAATCGTAACACTTTGGGAGCCAAGACGGGAGGATCACTTGAAGCCAGGACTTAAAGACAAGCCTGGGCAACGTAGTGAGGCTTCATCCCTACAAAAAATTGAAAAATTACCTGGGCCTAGTGGCACACACCTGTACTCCCATCTGCTGGGCAGACTGAGGTGGGAGGATCTCTTGAGCCTAGCCAGTCAAGGTTATAGTGAGCTATGATCGCACCACTGCACTCCAGCCTGGGTG